>NC_000014.9:49914743-50217773 GCF_000001405.40 Homo sapiens
AGGAGGTAGGTGGAGGTTGCAGTGAGCCGAGATCCTGCCACTGCCCTCCAGCCTAGGCGACAGAGTAAGGCTCCATTTCGAAAAAAAAAACAAACAAATAACAAACAAAAAACAAACAAAAAAACTTTGGGCAAAGATTGCACAGGATATAATTATACTAAAAGATTATTAGTTATTAAACCTGAAATTTAAATTTAATGAACTGTCCTGTATTTTATTTGATAATTCTACCACATGGGTTAAATGAGAAAAGTCTTCATAAGTACTTAGAACAGTGGTGGTACAAGTAGTGCTCAATAAATGGTAGTCTTTATTTTTTCCTTTTCTTCTGCCCACATGATCTGCAGGAATTATTTTTGAAACTAAAAATGATAACTAATACTTTACAAATGATGGAAAACTCAGGTTAAATAATTTGCATTTGGTTCCATAGATAAAAAGTAGTTCATCTGGATTGTAAAATGCTGCAGCCACTTTAGAAAAACAGTTTGGCAGTTCTTCAGAATGATAAACATAGAGTTACCACATGACCTGGCAATTAAGTCCACCCACACTTCAGGGTAGGGGATTAAACAGAGAAGTAGATACCAGGAGGTGGAGATTATGGAGGGCTACCTTAGAAGCTGCCTCCCATAGCATGGGATGGTTATCTGTCCAAACTGGGACTGAGGATACTTCTGTATGCCACTCTGATGGTTTGCTCAGCTTTTTTTAGATGGGAAAGCAAAAGGTTAATATATGTCAGTAAAGTCCAGTCTCTCCATACGTTGGAGGATGGAGGCCATTTTTTTTTAAACCAGTGGAAGAACAGGGATTTGAGTATGAAAATGCTGTAGGAGAGTGACTTTAAAATTGCTTTATCTTCCTTATTAAGGTAAGGGACTTGCCTTCCTTATTCCATTTTAACTTCAAATTTTTTTTCTTTTCTTTTTTTATACAAGTGTGGCACAGATTGTCTAGCAATTCACAGAATTCTTTTCCTTTCCTTCTTTTGTGTACTAATAGACTACATTTCCCACCCTGCCTCGCAGTTAGATGCAGCCTCACAGCTGAGTTCTAGCCAGTGGAATGTGAATGAAAGTGATATATATTGATTCCTGGTTTCATACATAAAGTCCCCTCAAGCTCTCTTCCATGCTACTTTCCTTTTTTCTGACTTTATACAGAATATCACAGCTTATTTGAGGATGGAGGAGCCCTAAGATATAAGGAAGAGGTTTTCTAGATGGATCTTTGTAGGAGGGCTGATCAGGAACTCATTTTGGACTAACTATGGGCAAGAAATAAACTTTTCTGGTTAAAAAATTTAGAACTTGGCACTCCCTATTCTAGTTTCTGTAAAGGAGAATAACTTAACCATATCACTACTGAAGAATTGGAATTCTCCCTTTAACTAAGAGAAGTACTTTGTTATTGTTTGTTTTTGAGACAGGGTCTTGCTCTGTCGCCCACACTAGAGTGCAGTGGCCTGATCATAGCTCACTGTAAACTTGAAATCCCGGGCTCAAACAATCCTCCCACCTTGGCCTCCCAAAGTGCTGGGATTACAAGCATAAGCCACCACGCTTGGCCTACACTTTTTATTTTTCAATAAACTGTTACCCTAGACTCTGTGAACCTCAGAGAGAATAGCTGCTGCAAAAAGCCATAATTGGTGGAATGTTTGTGTGCCTATACATTCTAGCTTGCTTCGAAAAACAGTTTGTCATTAGATACATGTTTGAACTATCAAGTGAGTTTTTTTTTCTGAGATGGAGTCTTGTTCTGTCACCTAGGCTGGAGTGCAGTGGTGTGATCTCGGCTCACTGCAACCTCTGTCTCTCAGGTTCAAGTAATTCTCCTGCCTTAGCCTCCCATTAGGTGAGATTACAGGCCCACACCACCATGCCCGGCTAATTTTTTGTGTGTGTATTTTTAGTAGAGAAGGGGTTTCACCATGTTGGCCAGGCTGGTCTCAAACTCCTACCTCAGGCGATCTGTCTGCCTCGGCCTCCCAAAGTGCTGGGATTACAGGCGTAAGCCACCAGGCCTGGCTCTTTTTTTTTTTTTTTTTTTTTTTTTAAAATAGAGACAGGGTCTCCCTATGTTGCCCAGGTTGGTCTCGAACTCCTGGGCTCAAGGGATCCTCCCGCTTCAGCCTCCTGAAGTGCTAGGATTATGGTAAGAGCCACACGCACAGCCACTGTCAAGTGAATATTAATCTTTGTGTCATAAAGACTGTCATGAATTTGTTTGCTATAGGGCGTGCTACTGCTTGGAAAAAAAAAAAAAATATATATATATATATATATATATATATATATATATATATAAATTTGGAATGTTTTCTGCAGCAAAACCAAAGAAAAAAAAATAGATAGGCAACTGTAGCCTAAACAATTAGGGACTTATTTCCTGACATAGTAAATCCAAGAAATAGGCAGTCCTGGCCTGGTGTGGCTCAGGGATTTGGTCAAGAACTCCAAAATTTGTGTTTTACCACTCTGTAGTCCTTAGTGTGCTGGCTTGTGGATTTACGATTCCAAGATATCTGCTGCAGCTCTAAGTACTTGTGCCTGTTTTCAAGGCAGGAAGGAAGAGGAGGCAGAACCATTGGCTGGAATTCATCACATGGCCTTTCCTAACTACAAAGGAGTCTCAGAAAAGAAGCACTTACCTTCTATACTCTCTAGTGGAAGAGGACAGGATGAAAGGGATTGATAATGGGTTTTGAGTTAGCTTTATCAAAGAGAATCATGGTCAAAAAGCTGGCTGGGCGTGGTGGCTCACGCCTGTAATCCCAGCACTTTGGGAGGCCGAGATGGGGGCCAATCACGAGGTCACGAGACCATCCTGGCCAACATGGTGAAACCTCGTCTCTACTAAGGATACAAAAATTAGCTGGGTGTATTGTAGCATGCCTGTAGTCCCAGCTACTTAGGAGCCTGAGGCAGGGGAATCGCTTGAACCTGGGAGGCAGAGATCATGCCATTGCACTCCAGCCTGGCACAGAGCGAGACTCCATCTCAAAAAAAAAAAAGAAAACTGAGAGACACTGTTTTAAAAGTTCTTTTAGACCAGATTTAGATAAGCCAAGAGTAGGAAATTCCAGGTAATGGGTCAGCATGAGCTTAGAATGGAATGAACATTGTGGGTTGGTTCACAGGACATTGATGAGCCCAGCCCTATTAGGTGGAGAATAATGTTAAGAAGCAATGGAAGGTGAGGGTGGGGCTTAGCTTGGCTGTAGTAATTAATAGGGCACCTCTAAAGGGTTTTGAACAGGGGAGTAAGATGTGAAGAACGGGTTTGGAGAAACATTTGACAATATGAATTATAAGATGAGCTAGGAGGTAAGGAATCCAGGACACTGCTGTGATAATACAGCTGTGAAATGCTAATTATTAATGTTGAAACATTGTATAATTCCAATATTCAACCATTTTTGACCTATAATATCATTAGATTCATTCATATTTGAGGTGATGGTAGGATGTCCAAATGGAAAATCTAATAAGTAGATGACAATATAGGACTCAGTTTTTGAGAGTAGAATATTGGAGGAAATTTTGAATTTCTTGATGAAAGTAGATACTTTCCATCCTATATTATCCGGATTTCATTTCCTTTCAACATTGAAGCTGTCACTTTGTGATGGCTTTAGCGCCCACATTTCTTTCTTTCTTTTTTTTTTTTTTGAGACAGAGTCTTGCTCTGTCTCCCAGGCTGGAGTGCAGTGACGCAATCTCGGCTCACTGCAACCTCTGCCTCCTGGGTTCAAGCGATTCTCGTGCCTCAGCCTCCTGAGTAGCTGGGATTACAGGCGCCCGCCACCACTCCCAGCTAATTTTTGTATTTTTAGTAGAGACGGGGTTTCACCATGTTGGCCAGGATGGTCTTGATCTCCTGACCTCGTGAACCACCCACCTCGGCCTCTCAAAGTGCTGGGATTACAGGCGTGAGCCACCGTACCCGGCCTTGACCCACACTTATTTCCAGGCTCCATACTCTTATATTCAACTGCTCACAAGGCATCTGCTCTTGGATATCTCAATGGACTCTTCAAACTCAACATATCTGAAAAAGATATTTTCTTCCTTCCCCTTGCCTCATCCCTCTCATTCTTGTCTCATATTCTTTTTTTTTTTATTTATTGGTATCAATGTCCAACTAGCTGACTAGACTCAAAACTTTGGACTTTGATTGTTCCCTCTTTTTACCTCCTACATTCTTTTGCTCATAGATCTGATAAATTCTGCCTCTTGAATCTATCTTTCCTCTTCGTCTCCTACTGCCACTCTCTTAGTTTAGGCTCCTATCACTTCTCACCTGGATTATTGAAATGCATCTTACCTGCTTAAGTCCTAGCGGGGAAATAGCCACACGGTTACCAAAGGGGTCATTTTAAAATACAAATATGGGGCCGGGCGCGGTGGCTCACGCCTGTAATCCCAGCGCTTTGGGAGGCCGAGGCGGGCGGATTATGAGGTCAGGAGATCGGCCATCCTGGCTAACACTGTGAAACCCTGTCTCTACTAAAATTACAAAAAATTAGCCGGGCGTGGTGGCGGGCGCCTGTAGTCCCAGCTACTCAGGAGGCTGAGGCAGGAGAATGGCGGGAACCCGGGAGGCGGAGCTTGCAGTGAGCCCAGATTGAGCCACTGCACTCCAGCCTGGGTGACAGAGCAGGACTCCGTCTCAGAGAAAAACAAAAAAACAAAAAAACAAACAAAAAAAAACACAAATATGGGCCGGGCGCGGTGGCTCATGCCTGTAATCCCAGCACTTTGGGAGTCCGAGGCGGGCAGATCACGAGGTCAGGAGATTAAGACCATTCTGGCTAACATGGTGAAACCCCGTCTCTACTAAAAATACAAAAATTAGTTGGGCGTGGTGGTGCGTGCCTGTAATGCCAGCTTCTAGGGAGCCTGAGGCAGGAGAATCCCTTCAACCAGGGAGTCGGAGGTTGCAGTGAGCCGAGATTGTGCCACTGCACTCCAGCCTGGTGACAGAGTGAGACTCCGCCTCAAAAAAAAAAAAAAAAAAAAAAAAAAGAAAGAAAGAAAGAAAGAAAAAACATAAATAAAAATACAAATATGATCATGTCTCTTTCTTGCTTAACCCCTTTCAATGGCTTTCAATGCATAGTGAATAAATTTGAAACTCATTAGCAGGGCTTAGAAGACTTTCCACAGCACCCACTTTATCTCCAGCTGTGTATCTTTGCATCTCCTTGCACTCCCCTAATTGCTCCACACCAAACTTCTTGTCCTTTTCTAGACATGCTATGCTGTGTCGTAATTACATGCCTTTGCATCAATTGTTCTCTTTGCCTGAAATTGTCATTTTCACCTTTGAACATTTTGGTCATCCTTTAGCAATGTACTTTTATGAAGACTTCTCAGACGTGTCATTCCCTTCTTTCTGCTTTCCTGGTAATTCACATTAATCTTTAGTAGAACAGTTACCACAATATATAGTTGTTATGCAAGTGTTTCTTCTCTGCATCATGAACAATGTGTTCTTGGTGTGTCCTGGTGCCTGGTTCATAGTTGGTGCTCAATATATATTTCTTCAGTACATTGCCATGAATGTGGATAAGTTGTCCCCTGAAGAAAGAATAGGACAGGGTGGCAAGGACTGCTCAAAGGAATGCTTATAATTAGAGGATGGAGAAAAACCAATAATCAGAGGATCAGTCAGACAAGAATAATTCATTTCCCATGTTATGGAGCCCCATACTGGGTATAAGGAAGTATACTGGCATGCTAAGCTAATGATAAGTTTGTTTTGGCTTTGCTTTGTCTCCAGGTTACAATCAGTACAGATATCTAAGGCAGAACTTTTCTGTTACCTTGATTTGTAATTTCAGAAACAACTCTTATAAGTACTGTTTATTTTCTTTTCTTTTTTCTTTTTTTTTTGAGACGGAGTCTTGCTCTGTCGCCCAGGCTGGAGTGCAGTGGCATGATCTCGGCTCATTGCAAGCTCTGCCTTCCGGGTTCATGCCATTTTCCTGCCTCAGCCTCCCGAGTAGCTGGCACTACAGGTGGCCACCACCACGCCCGGCTAATTTTTTGTATTTTTAGTAGAGACAGGGTTTCACCATGTTAGCCAGGATGGTCTCGATCTCCTGACCTCGTGATCCACCCACCTCAGCCTCCCAAAGTGTTGGGATTACAGGTATGAGCCACTGCACCCGGCCTCGTTTCTTAAAGGTACTCAACCATTCAGTTTTTGTACTGAAGTACGAATTAATTTTAATTTGGTGAGGAGACACATGGAGGGAAAATACCTTAATCTAGAAAGCCCAGGGGGAAGGAAGTTCCCTTCTAGAGTCTCAGCAAGTTGACACAGCCCCTTTGTTGTATTTTGAAATCATATATACTTGCTGGGGATGTTATTGGCCATGCTCACTGTTGGTCTCCTGACTACTCAGCTCCCAGAAAGTGAAAGTTGAGTGCCAGACATGGTGTTCAGTCCCCTCTTACGCTTATGCTTACTGACCACAGAAGTGACATTATTATATTAATTGTAACCAGAGGCAAAAATGAACATTATGCTCCAATATTAATTTCCAATTATGTATAACCTAGTGCTTATATTCCATTCCATGTAAAAAAAAACACTCCTTGATTTTTTGTGGTTTCACGGTCTAGTGATTAACTCCAACGTGTAACATGTGTTATCCAATGCCTATATAGAGTATTTACACTAATCTTCCTATTCTGGCTGTTATTTAGGTGATCACTATGTTCATATATTCTGTTGAATATTTTATTTTTTACTTCCCTTTGGTCTTGATTTCTAGGACTCTAGGACTCTAGGACTATTTCTAGGAATAGAGTTTATACTCTATTCCTCTTGGGTTTGTGCCATATATGTTTGCTTATTTCCTAATCCAATTTTCCAAGTCATAGCCTCACCAACTGCCTCTCCTTTCACTAACCTATCTTACTGCCAACATCTTTTTCTGACCAACCCCCAAGATACCCTCCGTAGACTCTGGGCTTAGTTAGCCTACCTATAGTCATCCTCTTTAACTTTTTTCCTTAATTTTTTTTATTCTCTTGAATTTTCCTGTCTGAATTTTAACTTCTCTAACTAACCTCACATTAAGCCTTTATAATTATAAAAGTGAGCCATGGTCTTTATGAAAAATTGGAAAAATATAAAAACAACTGGAGTGGAGAAGAAAATAATCTCCAGATTCACTACCCAATGAAAACTACTAGTATAGATATTTTTATTCTTTTTCAATTTTCTCTTAGCATGAAAATGTATTTCCCTATGTTATAAACTCTTTAGAAATGTAACTTGTAATGATACTATATGTTCCACCTTTAAGATTACAATACCATTCTTTTGTATTACGATATTGACTTAAAAAAGACTGTTGATAGCCGGGTGCAGTGGCTGATTCCTGTAATCCCAGCACTTTGGGAAGCTGAGGCAGGAGGATCACTTGAGCTCAGGAGTTTCAGACCAGCCTGGGCCACATAGTGAGACCCCATCTCAAGAAAGCATCAAATAATTATCCTGGCTGGGCACGGTGGCTCACGCCTGTAACCCCAGCACTTTGGGAGGCCGAAGCGGGTGGATAACTTGAGGTCAGCAGTTCAAGACCAGCTTGACCAACATGGTGAAACCTCATCTCTACTAAAAATACAAAATTAGCCAGGCATGGTGGCACACGCCCATAATCTAAGCTACTTGAGAGGCTGAGGCAGGAGAATCGCTTGAACCCAGGAGGCGGAGGTTGCAGTGAGCCGAGATCATGCCATTGCACTCTAGCCTGGGCAACAAGAGCAAAACTCCATCTCAAAAAAAAAAAAAATTATCTGGGTGGGGGGCACGTGTCTGTGCCTGTAGTCTCAGCCGTCCAGGAGGCTGAGGTGGCAGGCTTGCTTGAGCCTGGGAGGTCGAGGCTGCAGTGAGCCATGATTGTGCCACTGCACCCCAGCATGGACAACAGAGTGACACCCTGTCTCAAAAAAAAAAAAAAAAGAAAAAAAGTAAAAAGACTTGACATAATACCAAATTGCTTTCTGAGGGGATTAAATCAGTTTATGTTCCAACATCAGTGTGTGAGTGCCAGTCTCCTTGCATTTTTTCCAGTATTGAGTATTATTATGCTAATTTTATAGGCAAAATTTTCTCTTTAAACATTATCAAGAGCCCTGAAAAATAGCACCAATGATGTCATAGCTCTTAGGGTCAGAATTTAGGAGTTAAAGGGAGATACAGAAATCATCTAGTCTAGTTCTCTCATCATTCAAAGGAAAAAAAAAAAAGGATCTGCAGCAAGTTGATTTGCCAAGTGTCACAGGCAAATAATGATAGAGCTAAGGCTAGAGTTTAGGTTTCATGAGATGTGGTTCATTTTTTCCCATTCTGCTTCTTAACTTAGTATAGAAATTAAACCTCATTTTGTATTAGATATTGTCTTAGCTACAGTTTTTAAGATGGATCAAAAGACAGATTTTTTTTCAAAGAACTCCTTTAGTCACATAAAATTTTTATAGCTGTCTTTTTTTTTTCTCAAATTTCCTGAGTAGTTTATCAGTTAATAAAAAATTACCCAGCACTGGCATAAACTCATATAACAAAAATTCTGATATATTTATAATCTAATGCCCGAAATGTCATGGCTTAAATGATAATAATTTCTTCTCTCTCATGTTTTCTGCAGTTCAAGAATTCAGGAGCATCTTGGCTAGGTAATTCTGTCTTGGAGTCTCCTCTGAGCTTGCTATCAGCTGTCAGGGCTGTAGTCATCCAAAGGCTTCACTGGGGCTGCAGGATCCACTTCCACAATGGCTGACCTCCCCCACTCCCTCCCTTCCTCCCTTCCTCCCTTCCTTCCTTCCTTTTTCTTTCTTTTTTCTTTCTGTCATCCAAAGGCCTGACTGTGGCTGGAGGATACACTTCCACAGTGTGGCTTCTTTCTCTTCCTTCCCTTCCTTCCCTTCCTCCCTTCCTCCCTTCCTTTTTCTTTTCTTTTCTTTGTTTTCTTTTCTCTTTTCTTTCTTCTTTCTTTTCTTTCTCTCTCTCTCTTTTTTTGAGACAGGGTCTCACTCTGTAGCCCAGGCTGGAGTGCAGTGGTGTGATCACGGTTCACTGTAACCTCCACCTCCCAGGCTCAGGTGATCTGCCCACCTCAGCCTCCTGAGTAGATGGGACTACAGGTACGTACCGGACAGTGGCTCACTTTCATGATTGGCAGGTTGCTGCTGATTGATGGCAGGATGCCTGTTTTTCTCCACATGGGCCTCTGTACAGAACTGCTTGACTGTCCTCACAGGATGGCTGCTAGCTTTCCTCAGAGTGAGCAAGCGAAGAGAGCACAGCAGAAGCTGCAATGCCTTTTATAATCCAGCATCAGAGGTCACACACCCTTGGCCAAGCATGGTAGCTCATGCCTGCAATCTCAGCACTTTGGAAGGCCGAGGCAGGAGGATTGCTTGAGCCCAGGAGTTCAAGACCTGGGCAACACAGGGAGACCCCATCTCTCCAAAATTCAAAAATTAGCCAGTTGTGATGGCACAAGCCTGTGGTCCTAGCTACTTGGGAGGCTAGGGTGGGAGGGTCACTTGAGCCTGAGAGCTCAAGGCTGCAGTGAGTTGAGATCATGCCACTGCACTCCAGCCTGCTCAACAGAGCAGCACCATGTCTCAAAAGAAAAAAAAAAAAAAAGGCACACTCCCTCATTCCTGTTCTGTTCTGTTGATCATACAGACCAGCCCTGATTTATTTTGGGAGGGGCTACTGAAAGGTGTGAAGGTGTGAATATCAGCAGTTGAGGGTCACAGGAGACCATCTTAGATGCTGGCCACCGTAGTAGGAAATCCACAGCTTGTAATGACTCAGGTATGCTATCATGGACCCAAGCTCTTTCTAATCTTGCTATTCTCCCATCCCTAGTTATAAGCCTTTGTCCTACCTATGGTTGCAATATGGCTGTGGCACCTTCAGGTTTTTTTTTTGTTTTGTTTTTTGTTTTTTTAGATACAGTCTTGCTCTGTCACCCAGACTGGAGTGTAATGGTGTGATCACAGCTCACTGCAGCCTCAACCTCCAGGGCTCAAGCAATTCTCCTGAGCAGCTGGGACTACAGTTGTGTGCCACCACGTCCTGCTCATTTTAAAATATTTTTGTAGAGACAAGGTCTTGCAATGTTGCCCAGGCTGGTCTAGAACTCTTGGACTCAACCGACCATCCTACCTTGGTCTCCCAAAGTAATGGAATTACAGGCATGAGCCACTGGGCCCACCAGGTGTCTTGCATTTAGGTGTCAGGCTGAAAGATGGGGGAAGTGAAATAAGGGGTACTAGTCAACTTCCACTTGTAGCCCATTGGCCAAGACTGTCAAGTGACCTCCCTAAGCCATACAGACATCTAGGAGATTGAGTTTCTAACTTTGATAACTTCTTCAGTAGAGTCAGTCAAGGGAGAAGGGTGTTAGAAACGTAGGCTGGTCAGCACGCAGTGTCTGCCACAACCACAGGTAGCTTTTGTTACCCTAGTGAGGTGCTGGTAATATAATACTTAATAATGAATGGGTACCCATTCAATATTATACTTTTTTTTTTTTGAAGCAAAGTCTCACCCTGTCGCCCAGGCTGGAGTGCAGTGGCGCCATCTCAGCTCACTGCAACCTCCGCTTCCCAGTTCAAGTGATTCTCCTGCCTCAGCTTCCCAAGTAGCTGGATTACAGGCTCCTACCACCACACCCAGCTAATTTTTGTATTTTTAGTAGAGACAGCGTTTCACCATGTTGGCCAGGCTGGTCTTAAACTCCTGACCTCAGGTGATCCACCCGCATCAGCCTCCCAAAGTGCTAGGATTACGGGTGTGAGCCACCACGCTGGCCTCAATATTATACATTCTTGTAGGTAATTATGGAAGAATTTTTAAAATAATAAAACAGACTTTCCCTCTTAGAATTTTTAAGAGAAAGCAGTGATTGAAGATCCAGTTTAAGAAGAACCAAAAAGAAAATTGGATATGCAAAATAATGCTTTATAGATGGTTTTATGTGTAGGTGTCTGCTATAACAGATTTAGGGTGTTCTACATGTATTTAAGTGGTATCCTAAGGCTAGTGTGGTGGCACACACCTGTAGTACCAGCTACTGGGAGGCTGAGAAGACTGCTTGAGCCAAGGAGTTTAAGGCAGCAATGAGCTTTGATCGAGCCACTGTACTCCAGCCTGGGTGACAGAGTGAGACACTGTTCTCTTAAAGAAAAAAAAAAGTGGTACCTTAGCATCATAAAAACATGAGTTCTATTTTTCTTTTTTCTTTTTTTTGAGACAGAGTCTTGCTCTGTCGCCCAGGCTGCAGTGCAGTGGCGCAATCTCGGCTCACTGCAAGCTCCGCCTCCCGGGTTCACGCCATTCTCCTGCCTCAGCCTCCTGAGTAGCTGGGACTACAGGCGCCCGCCACCATGCCTGGCTAATTTTTTGTATTTTGTAGTAGAGACAGGGTTTCACTGTGTTAGCCAGGATGGTCTTGATCTCCTGACCTCGTGATCCGCCCTCCTCGGCTTCCCAAAGTGCTGGGATTACAGGCGTGAGCCACCACACCCGGCCCTATTTTTCTATTTTAATGTGAATGTTATGCTACCCATGATAGTATCACAACGCTTATGTTTATGTCATATTTTCTTCTCTACCATCAATTTCTTAGTTAACATTTATTGTTGACTGAAATATATAAATTGTCATTGCCCTTGAGGAGTTTATAGTTAGGGAGGTAATATATACAGAAAGTTTTAGATCGCTTGTAAAAACATGTAACAAAGGAAATGTTATACAATTTGGGGGGATAAAGTAGAAGATAATGTTTCAATAAATATAAACAATTTGAATTTAATACAACTAAATTCTTCAAATTAAAGGGATCAACTCGGATAAGGCAGTGATTGAGGCAGAGAAAAAAACTAGAAAAGGTGATTTGTATGCTCTTAGCTCCATTATGAGAGGTGATGTTTGTATTTTCTGCTGTACTTCATCCCTTGGGGTTGTTCTGGAGTCATAAGCCCTTATATACCTTTGGATTGTATTGAGGGATGTTATATTTAAAAAGGTAATTTGATACTCAGGGTTGTATTTATCATGGTATTATGAGAGTTCGGGCTACAGTACTACTCAGTGTCTTCTATAGGAGAACCAACAGTCCCAGTGTCAGAGTCCTTAAGGTAAAAACTTATTAGCTGTTGTCCTGACACGGATTATTTGTTCTCCTACAGAAGACACTGAGTAATACTGTAGCTCAACAACAGCTGTACCTTAAGGACAGCATACATCCTGTAACTAGTCATGTTTCCCTCTTTGTTTAGGGCACTAAGAAGCTCAGAGTCTAATTAAGTGAAGCACCTTTAATAATCATGAACCCCTTATCTCATGCATTCATTTCTCTCTACTAATGCTTCCTGGCTTCATCATACTTATGGGCCCTTGTTCTTTCTTCACTTTGATTTTCATGGTCTTTTTGTTTTTTTCATCTTATGTGAATTTTTTTTTTTTTTTTTTTTTTGAGATGGAGTCTCACTCTGTCACCCAGGCTGGAATGCAATGGCGTGGTCTTGGTTCACTGCAACCTCCGCCTCCCGGGTTCAAGTGATTCTCCTGCCTCAGCCTCCTGAGTAGCTGGGACTACAGGCACCTGCCACCATGCCCGGCTAATTTTTGTATTTTTAGTAGAGACGGGCCTTGTGATCCACCTGCCTCGGCCTCCCAAAGTGCTGGGATTACAGGCGTGAGCCACCGCGCCTGGCCATCTTATGTGAATTTTTATAATCTGCAAACACTTTTTAGAATTAGGAAAAATTTTTTTTTCTTTTTTTGGCTGAGCATAGGGGACTTTATTGATGGTAGATGACAAGGTGGGGCTTCCAAGGCCCTTCCCTTTTCAGGGGGTCTGCATGGAAATTGCGGGGAGGGGAGATTCTCAGTGTGGCAGGGAACTGGACACGTCAGGGACTCACCAGCAGCTGAGGGCCTCTCTCTTCCTCTTGTGTTTTTGCTGGGGCTAGTGGTCTGGGGGTCTTATTCCTTAGAGGCCGTGTGGGCCATGAGGTCCACCATCCTGTTGCTGTAGCCAAGAATAAGGAAGAATATTTTAACTGAAAAATAAAACTGCTTATACGCCCACCAAAGTGGCTAAAACTAAAAAGACAACACCAAACATTGGCGGTGAGGTAGGGCAATTGGAACCCTCAAATATTGTGGTGGTAATGTAAAATGTATGACTTTTTTGGGAAAAGGTCTGGCAGTTTCTTATAAAATTAAATATACCTACTTGTGACCCAGAAAAATGACCACATGTTAATAAAAAGACTTGCACAAAATGTTCACAGCAGCTTTATTCATAATAGCCCCAAACTGGAAATAGTCAATGTGTCTATCAGTATGAGAATGGTATATTTATACATGTGGTATATTTATACAGCAGACCACAACTCAGCAGTAAAAAGTGACTACTGACACATAAAACAACATGAATCTCAAAAACACTACGCTGGGCAAAATAAACCATACACAAAAGAGTATGTATTCTATGATTCCATTTATATGACATTCTTGAACAAACAAAGCTAATCTGTGGTAGAAAAAAATCAGATGGTGACAGTGTGCATGTGAGGGCATGAAGTGTGGACTAACTGGGAAGAGGGATCGGGGAACTTTTGGGGTAATGATAATGTTCTATATTTTGCCAGTGGTTGGGTTATACATATGTATGCATTTATCCAAACTCAGCAAATACACATTTAGAGTGTACATTTCATTGTATATAAATCTTACATAAAACTATAAACAAATATTACATTCTGTTTAATAATATGCATCCCAAAGTACTTAGGGAAAAATGTAGTGATGTCTAATTTTCTTTGAAATGCATCAAAAAATAAGATGAATTAATGATGAATAGCGGGATGATAGAATGATATGGGAAGCAAAATAAAATGGTAATGCTTAAATCTAGGAAGTGGGTACATAGGTATTTACTATAAAGTTATTTCAGCTGCTCTTTAAGACTTTTCATAATAAAATATTGGGGGGAAATGCCCTTAACCTTCCTTTAGTGTGTTCTGGCTGGATATAACTTTTTCTTTTAATATCTTACATAAGTGTTAAAGCCTTTCTCCTCAGGGGGAATTTATGTCACACTTTTCAGAATTTACATAATATCTAATTTAAGCTGTTTTAAAGTAATCAGTTAATGACCTTTAATCTAGATATAACTTTATTTATTTATTTTTTTTGAGATGGAGTTTTGCTCTGTTGCCCAGGCTGGAGTACAGTGGCATGATCTCAGCTCACTGCAACCTCCACCTTGTGGGTTCAAGTGATTCTCCTGCCTCAGCCTTCCAAGTAGCTGGGACTACAGGCGTGTGCCACCACACCTGGCTAATTTTTGTACTTTTAGTAGAGTTTGGGTTTCACCATGTTGACCAGGCTGGTCTTGAACTCCTGGGTTCAAGTGATCCTACCACTTGGCCTCCCAAAGTGCTGGAATTATAGGCATGAGCCACTGCGCCCAGATCTTTTTAACTTTTAAAAGATTTAATTGACAAATAAATACTGTATATATTCAAAGTGTACAACACGATGATTTGGTTTGCATACACATTGTGTAATGATTTTATTTTTTCTTTTTCATTCACTTATTTCCTGAACTCCGGCAGCTTACGTTTTACCTCCTTTGGTCATCTCACCTTCTCTTCTTCAAGATATTACTTCTGTTTTATGATTGTTTTGTGGAAACAATTGCTTCATTACATTTTTTAAAAAATTTACAGCAAGAGACCGGGTGTGGTGGCTCACGCCTGTAATCCCAGCACTTTGGGAGGCTGAGGAGGGCGGATCACCTGAGGTCAGGAGTTCGAGACCAGCCTGACCAACATGATGAAACCCCGTTGCTACTAAAAATACAAAAATTAGCTGTGGCACATGCCTGTAATCCCAGCTACTTGGGAGGCTGAGGCAGGAGAATTGCTTGGACCTGAGAGGCAGAGGTTGCAGTGAGCTGAGATTGTGCCATTGCACTTCAGCCTGGGGAACATGAGCGAGACTCCATCTCAAAAAAAAAAAAAAAATTTGCAGCAAAATGTTCAAAATTTTAATCTGCTCTGAGGTAATGTTTTCTTTTCTTTTTTCTTTTTTTTTTTTTTGAGACGCAGTCTCATTCTGTCACCCAGGCTGGTGTGTTGTGGCATGATCTCGGGTTACTGCAACCTCTGCCTCCTGGGCTCAAGTGATTCTCGTGCCTTAGCCTCCCAAGTAGCTGGGTGTGCCACCACACCCGCTAATTTTTCTATTTTTAGTAGAGACAGGGTTTCATCATGTTGCTCAGGCTGGTCTCGAACTCCTAACCTCAGGTGATCCCCCTTCCTCACCCTCCCAAAGTGCTGGGATTACAGGCGTGAGCCACTGAGCCTGGCCTGAGGTAATGTTTTCATGGTGATTATTCATCAGCATTTGTTTTTCTGTTTCTTTTTCATTTCCTTTTTTTTTTTTTGAAGCAGAGTCTCGCTCTGTCACCCAGGCTGGAGTGCAGTGGCACCATCTCAGCTCACTGCAATCTCCACCTCCCAGGTTCAAGTGATTCTCCTGCCTCAGCCTCCCAAGCAGCTGGGATTACTGGCACGCACCACCGTGCCCAGCTACTTTTTGTATTTTTAGTAGAGACAGGGTTTCGCCATGTTGGTCAGGCTGGTCTTGAACTCCTGACCTCAGGTGATCTGCCCACCTTGGCCTCTCAATGTGCTGGGATTACAGGCGCGAGCCACTGCACCCGGCCTAATTTTTGTTTTTTTAGTAGAGACAAGGTTTCACCATGTTGACCAGACTGGTCAACCACTCAAACTCCTGACCTCAAGTGATCTGCCCGCCTTGGCCTCCCAAAGTGCTGGGATTACAGGCATGAGCCACAGCGCTCAGCCTCTTTTTCATTTTCTTCCTTAAATCTTTTTTGGTTCTTTTTTGACTGTTCATCTTTGAATGAAGTGAATTTTCTTAGCTCAACTATTTACAGGAGATTTGTGTTGTGAAGGGGTCAGGGACATCTTCTGTATCAGTGGGAATTTTTCTTTTGATCCAGGGTTTTGCATATGAGATACTTTAGCCTTTTCTTCTTCGCAGGCAATGAAGACAGGCAGCTGCACAGCTGTGCACAGTGGGATCTCTTCTCACTTCTCATGAACATGTGGCTTCCTGTGAATATGACTTGTGTGTGGAGTTCTAATTTAGTCCCAATTTCTCTGCTACTCAAAATCAAAATGGGTCCAGAGAAACTGGTGCTACCAGCCTACCCACCTGTGTTAGTCAGTTGGAACTGCCGTAACAAAATACAACAAACTCAGTGGCTTAAAACATCAGGAATTTATTTTCTCACAGTTCTGAAGGCTAGAAGTGTGAAATCAAGGGGTCTGAGGGTTGGTCCTTCTTGAGGCTCTGAAGGAGAGTGTGCTCCATGCCTCTCTCCTCGCTGCTGGTGGTAGCCCTGGCATTCCTTGGTTTGTAGACGCATCACTACAATCTCTGTCTCCGTCTTTGAATGCTGGTCTCCTTTCTATGTCCGTGTCTACATTTTCCTCTTTTTTTTTTTTTGGAGACAGGGTCTTACTCTGTCACCCAGGCTGGAGTGCAGTGGCACAATCTCGGCTCACTGCAACCTCCACCTCCTGGGTTCAAGTGATTCTCCAGCCTCCGCCTCCCAAGTAGCTGGGATTACAGGTGTGCACCACCATGCCAGGCTAATTTTTTTGTATTTTTAGTAGAGATGGGGTTTCACAATGTTGGCCAGGCTGGTCTTGAACTCCTGACCTCAAATGATCCGCCTGCCTTGGCCTCCCAAAGTGCTGGGATTGCAGGTGTGAGCCACTGAACCCTGCCATTTTCCTCTTCTTATAAGGACACCAGTCGTTGTATTAGGACCCATCCTAATCTAGTATAACCTCACCCTAAGGATTACATCTACAGAGACCCTATTTCCAAATATGGTCACATTCACAGGTACCAGGGGTTAGGACTTTCACATATCTTCTGGGTGGGGGGTCACAAATCCATAACACTGCCTTCTTCCCATTGTTGCACAAATGGGGCTATTACTTTTTTTTTTTTTAACTTCAGTATACACATCTCACTGGGTGAGCTATTAAGCTCTTACTGAGCTCTTCTGGGGCCCACTCTCGGCCTCCTGTTGTGCCTTTCCTCACAAGCCTTTGCTTTTGGTACCCCTTACACTTATTTTACAGTTATTTTGTTTTACCTGTCTTAATTTTTTTTTAAATTGAGATAGGATTTTCATTCTGGTCTCTTGTGTCCTTTGTTTTGGGAGATGATTTCTGAGGGATGATGGAATTACCAACTTTATGTGACATCTTCAAGCAGGAAATGCCTTGGGTCTTTCTCATTCTTTAGGGGTCACTAACACACTGAACTGAATAAGAAAGGAAGATACTACCAGGGCGTGATGGCTCACGCCTATAATCCCAGCACTTTGGGAGGCCAAGGCAGGCGGATCACGAGGTCGGGAGTTCAAGAACAGCCTGGCCAACATGGTGAAACCCTGTCTCTACTAAAAATACAAAAATTAGCTGGGCATGGTGGTAGGCACCTGTAATCCCAGCTACTCAGGAGGCTGAGGCAGGAGAATTGCTTGAACCAGGAGGCAGAGGTTGCGGTGAGCAGAGATTGTGCCATTGCTCTCCAGCAGTCGAGCAACAAAGGCAAAACTCCATCTCAAAAAAAAAAAAAAAGATTAAAAAAAGGAAGATACTATTTTTAGTGCTTATTTCAGTAAGATGGCCTTCTAGTTTCTTAGTCTCAGCCTACCATGCCAGTTCTACCAACACTGTGTCATAGGTAGGAATTAATAGAATTTGCTTATATGGAGACTTAAAAAAAATCTTGCATATCGATTATATTGAGCTAGAATGCAATTTGAATTATTTTAAACTTTTCTATTATGGTAACAAAAACATAAAATTTAGCTTCTTTTTTTTTTTTTTTTTTGAGACAGTTTTGCTCTGTTGCCCAGGCTGAAGTGCAGTGGTCTGATCTCGGCTCACTGCAACCTCCACCTCCCAGGTTCAAGTGATTCTCCTGCCTCAGCCTCCCAAGTAGCTGGGACTACAGGCATGCACCACCATGCCTGGCTCATTTTTTTGTATTTTTAGTAGAGACTGGGTTTCACCATGTTGGCCAGACTGGTCTCGAACTCCTGACCTCAAGTGATCCACCCACCTCAGCCTCCCAAAGTGCTGGGATTACAGGTGTGAGCCACTGTGCCTGGCCAAAATTTACCATCTTAACTATTTTTAGGTTTATAGTTTGTTAGTGTTAAGGATATTTACATTGTTGTAAAACAGATCCCAAGAACATTTTCACCTTGCAAATATGGAATTTTATACCCATTAAACAGCAACTCCCCTTTAATCCCCTCCCACAGTCCCTGGTAAACCAATATTCTATGTTTGTTTCTATGAATTTTATGACTTTAGACACCTCATGTAAGTGGAACCATACAGTGTTTGTCTTTTGTGACTGGCCGATTTCACTTAGGATAATGTCCTCAAGGTTTGTTCATGTTGTAGCATGTGACAGAATGTCCTTCCTTTTTAAGGCTGTATAATATTCCATTGTATACATATAACACGTTTAAAAAATTCATTCATCCATTGATGGAGATTTGGGTTGCTTTCACTTCTTGGCTGTTGTGAAAAGTATTGCTAAGAACGTGGGTGCATTAGTTACGGTTCTCCAGAGAAATGGAACCAATAAAATATATAGAAAGAGATATAAAAAGACATTTCTTATAAGGAATTGACTCATGCGTTTATGGAGGCTGAGAAATCCCATGATCTGCCGTCTGCAAGCTGAAGGCCCAGGAAAACTGGTGATATCATTCTAGGCCTGAGAACCAGGGGAGGCAATGGTATAAGTCCTAGTCCGAGTCTGAAGGCCTGAGAACCAGGAGCTCTGATTGAGGGCAGGAGAAGATGGATATCCCAGCTCAAACAGAGAGCAAATTCACCCTTTCTGTCTTTTTGTTTGCTTCAGGCCCTCAACAGATTGGATAATACTGTTTTACCAGCTATCTGGACATCCTTTAGCCCAGTCATTTTTTTTTTGAGACAGAGTCTCGCTGTTGCCCAGGCTAAAGTGCAGTGGTGCAATCTTGGCTCACTGCCTCCTCCACCTCCCAGACTCAAACGATCCTCCTGCCTCAGCTTCCCAAGTAGCTAGGACTATAGGCGCATGCCTGATTTTTGTATTTTTTTGTGTTGATGGGGTTTCACCATGTTACCCGCGCTGGTCTCAAACTCCTAGGCTCAAGTGATCCTCCTGCCTCAGCCTCCCAAAGTGCTGGCATTACAGGGGTGAGCCACTGCGTCCAGCCCTAGCCCAGTTATTTGACACATAAACTACTGGATCATATGGTAATTCTATTTTTAATTTTTTGAGGAATCTCCATACTGTTTTCCATAGCAGCTGTTCCATTTTACATTCCCATCAACAGTGCACAGGGGTTCCAGTTTCTCTACATCCTCGTCAACACTTGTGATTTTTCAGTTTTTGATAGTAGCCTTCCTAACGGGTATGAGGCATATTCTTTACTTTTATATAACAACCATTGTCATACTGCTTTAATGTATGACAATTATAAAGTTAATAGTTCTTTTTCTCAGTACATAGCAAGTCTGTTTGGGTTGTGTCTTTATCACTATCATGTGTTGAAAGAAGTTTCTAATAGTTTTAATTATTTTTGCTCAGATTACTTATCAGCCCTGGGTGTACATTTTTAAAAAATAGACATCGAAAAAACTTTAAACCCATTTTGTCAACTTAAGGGACTTATTTCCAGGCATAGCCATTACTTCTTATATAGAATACAGTATTTTAAAAATTCTCAGTCCTAAAATGTTCCTGGAATCTGCTGATTTATTGAGATTTATTCTTGCTATACTTACTACTATGGTCTACTAAATACTTGACTCCACTGAATGCTAGTAACAGGTCTGCCTTTTCAAGTCTCTCCAACCTTGTGAATTTTCAATTACTACCACTTCAACTTCAATGTGATTCTTCTGAACTGCAGAGTCAGCAGTTACATTCTGCTGAGTAATGAATGCAAACTGCTCAGAATTACAGAACACTTAAAGCAACTCATTTTAACTATGTTTTTTTTTTTTTGCTGAAGATTGTGAGAGGTAACTGTAGCTACATAAATGATTTTTGGCAGGGTTGGCATTTAGAGGGAACCATTTATTTGCTTTTTGAACAACATTCCTGGGCCACTATTAACCTAAACATGTGAGAGCCAATATAGCACAGTGTTTAAGAACATGAGTTTTAAGCCCAACTGCCTGGGTTCAATTCTTGACTGTAAAAGCAGTGCGAGGGACGGGCTGGCGTGGTGGCTCAGGCTTGTAATCCCAGCACTTTGGGAGGTCAAAGCGGGAGGATCACTTGAGGTCAGGAGTTCAAGACCAGTCTGGCCAACATGGTGAAACCCCATCTCTACTAAAACTACAAAAATTAGCTGGGCATGGTGGCAGGCATCTGTAGTCCCAGCTACTCAGGAGGCTGAAGCAGGAGAATCTCTTGAACCTGGGAGGCGGAGGTTGCTGTGAGCCAAGATTGCGCCACTGCACTCCAGCCTGGGTAACACAGCAAGACTCCATCTCACACACACACACACACACACACACACAAAGCAAAAGAAAAAAACAGTTTGAGGTTAGGCAAGTTTCTTAACCTCTCTGTGCCTCAGTTTCTCCATCTGTAAAATGAAGATGGCTGTTATATTTTTTTTTCTTATTTTTTTACATAGAGATGGAATCTCACTATGTTGCAGATTGGTCTCAAATTCATGGCCTCAAGTGATCCTCCCGCCTCAGCCTCCCAAAATGTTGGGATTACATGTGTGAGCCACCGTGCCTGGCTGGCCTGTTAGATTAAATGAGTCACTGTATGTAAAGCACTTTGAACTGTGTCTAGCCTACAGTAGGCACTCTGTGAGGTTAGCTATCATGACAAGCATTATTGATTATCTTCATTGATTTCCTGGACCTAGCCAAACCAGCAGAGTGGCTGTTGACCAACTATGCTGATAATTATTAGTCTAGTTGGTGTTCAAAACTACTGCTATAGGCCAGGTGCGGTGGCACACACCTGTAATCCCAGCATTTTGGGAGGTGAGGTGGGTGGATCACTTGAGGTCAGGAGTTCATGACCAGCCTGATTAACATGGTGAAACACCGTCTCTACTAAAAAAAAAAAAAAAAATCAGGGGTGGTGGTGCATGCCTATAATCTGAACTACTTGGGAGGCTGAGACAAGAGAATTGCTTGTACCTGGGAGGCAGAGGTTGCAGTGAGCCAAGATGGCGCCATTGTACTCCAGCCTGGGCAATGAGAGCAAAAACTCTGTCTCGAAAAACAAAACAAAACAAAACAAAACTAAACTAAAAACAACTACTCCTGGGGCCAGGTACAATGGCTCACGCCTATAATCCCAGCAGCACTTTGGGAGGCCTAGGTGGGCAGATCACTTGAGGTCAGGAGTTTGAGACCAGTCTGGCTAACATGGTGATATGGTTTGGCTGTGTCCCCACCCAAATCTCATCTCAAATTCCCACGTGTTGTGGGAGGGACCTGGTAGGAGGTAATTGAATCATAGGGGAAAGTCTTTCCTGTGCTGTTCTCATGATAATGAATAAGTCTCATGAGATCTGATGGTTTTTTAAAAAAGAGGAGTTCCCCTGCACAAGTTCTCTCTTTGCCTGCCACCATCCATGTAAGATGTGACTCCCTCTTCCTTGCCTTCCGCCATGATTGTGAGGCTTTCCCAGCCACATGGAACTGTGAGTCCAATTAAACCTCTTTCTTTTGTAAATTGTACAGTCTCAGGTATGTCTTTATCAGCAGCATGAAAATGGACTAATATAGTAAATTGGTAACAGTAGAGTGGGGCACTGCTGAAAAGTTACCTGAAAATGTGGAAGCAACTTTGGAACTGGGTAATAGGCAGAGGTTGGTACCGTTTGGAGAGCTCAGAAGCAGACAGGAAAATGTGGGAAAGTTTGGAACTTCCTAGAGAGATGTTGAATGGCTTTGACAAAAATGCTGATAGTGATATGAACAATAAGGTCCAGGCCGAGATGGTCTCAGATGGAGATGAAGAACTGGTTGGGAATTGGAGCAAAGGTGACTCTTGTTATGTTTTAGCAAAGAGACTGGCAGCATTTTGTCCCTGCCCTAGAGATTTGTGGAACTTTGAACTCGAGAGAGATGACTTAGCGTATCTGATGGAAGAAATTTCTAAACAGCAAAGGATTCAAAAGGTGACTTGGGTGCTGTTAAAGGCATTCAGTTTTAGAAGGGAAGCAGAGCATAAACGTTTGGAAAATTTGCAGCCTGACAATGCGATAGAAAAGAAAATCCCATTTTTCTGAGGAGAAATTCAATCCAGCTGTAGAAATTTGTATAAGTAACAAGAAGATTAACAATGTTAATCCCCAAGACAATGGGGAAAATGTCTCCAGGGCATGTCAGAGGACTTCACAGCAACCCTCCCATCACAGGCCTGGAGGCCTAAGAGGAAAAAGTGGTTTCGTGGGCCAGCCCCAGGGTCCCCATGCTGTGTGCAGCCTAGGGACCTGGTGCCCTGCATCCCAGCCACTCCAGCCAATGGCTGAAAGGGGCCAATGTAGAGCCCAGGCATGGCTTCAGAAGGTGTAAGCCTCAAATCTAGGCAGCTTCCACTTGGTGTTGAAAAGTCAAGAATTGAGGTTTGGGAACTGCTGCCTAGATTTCAGAAGATATATGGAAACACCTGGCTGTCCAGGCAGAAGTTTGCTGCAGGGGCGAGGCTCTCATGGAGAACCTCTGCTAGGGCAGTGCAGAAGGGAAATGTGGGGTCAGAGCCCCCACACAGAGTTCCTACTGGGGCATCATGTAGTGGAGCTGTGAAAAGAGGGCCACCATCCTCCAAACACCAGAATGGTAGATCCACTGACAGCTTGCACCGTACACCTGGAAAAACCATGTATGCTCAATGCCAGTCCATGAAAGCAGCCAGGAGGGAGGCTGTACCCTGCAAAGCCGCAGGGGCGGAGCCTTCCAAGACCATGGAACTCACCTCTTGCATCAGCATGACCTGGATGTGAGACATGAAGTCAAAGGAGATCATTTTGGAACTTTAAGATTTGACTGCCCTGGTGGATTTTGGACTTGCATAGGGCCTGTAGCCCCTTTGTTTTGGACAATTTCTCCCACTTGGAATGGCTGTATTTACCTAATGCCCATACCCCCATTGTACCTAGGAAGTAACTAACCTGGTTTTGATTTTACAGGCTCATAGGTGGAAGGGATTTGCCTTGTCTCAGATGAGACTTTGGATGTGGACTTTCTTTTTTTTTTTTTGAGACAATGTCTTGCTCTGTCACCCAGGCTGGAGTGCAATGGCCTATTCTCAGCTCACTGCAACCTCTGCCTCCTAGGTCCAAGTGGTTCTGCTGCCTCAGCCTCCTGAGTAGCTGGGATTACAGGCACGTGCCACCATGCTTAGCTAATTTTTGTATTTTTAGTAGAGATGGGGTTTTACCATGTTGGCCAGGATGGTCTCGGCCTCCTGACCTCAGGTGATCCACCTGCCTCAGCCTCCCAAAGTGCTGGGATTACACGTGTGAGCCACCATGCCTGGCCTGGACTGTGGACTTTTGAGTCAATGCTGAAGTAAGACTTTGGGGGACTGTTGAAAATGCATGATTGGTTTTGAAATGTAAGGACATAAGATCTGGGCGGGGCCAGGGGCAGAATGATATGGTTTGGCTATGTCCCCACCCAAATGTCATCTTGAATTCCCATGTGTTGGGGAAGGGACCTGGTGGGAGTTAATTGAATCATGGGGCAAATCTTTCCCGTGCTGTTCTGATGATAGTGAATAAGTCTCATGAGATCTGATAGGTTTTTTGTTTGTCTGTTTGTTTGTTTGACTGTTTTTTGAGACGGAGTCTCGCTCTGTCACCCAGGCTGAAGTGCAGTGGCACCATCTTGGCTCACTGCAAGCTCCGCCTCCTGGGTTCAAGCCATTCTCCTCCCTCAGCCTCCCAAGTAGCTGGGACTACAGGTGCCTGCCACCATGCCTGGCTAATTCTAGTAGAGATGGGGTTTCACCGTGTTAGCCAGGATGGTCTTGATCTCCTGACCTCGTGATCCGCCCACCTTGGCCTCCCAAAGTGCTGGGATTACAGGTGTGAGCCACCACACCTGGCCAAGATCTGATAGTTTTAAAAAGAGGAGTTCCATGGCTGGGCATGGTGGCTCAGGCCTGTAATCCCAGCAGTTTGGGAGGCCGAGGCAGGCAGATCACTTGAGGTCAGGAGTTTGAGACCAGCCTGGCCAACATGGCGAAACCCCGTATCTACTAAAAATACAAAAATTAGCCAGGCATGGTGGCAGGTGCCTGTAATCCCAGCTACTTGGGGGGCTGAGGCATGAGAATTACTTGAACCTGGGAGGTGGAGGTTGCAGTGAGCTGAGATCACACCACTGCACTGCAGCTTGGGAGACAAGAGTACAACTCTGTCTTGAAGGAAAAAAAAAAAAAAAAAAAAAGAGGAGCTCCCCCACACAAGTTTTCTCTCTTTGCCTGCTGCCATCCATGTAAGACATGACTTGCTCCTCCTTGCCTTCTGCCATGATTGTGAGGCTTCACCAGCCATGTGGAACTCTAAGTCCAATTAAACCTCTTTCTTTTGTAAATTGCCCAGTCTCGGGTATGTCTTTATCAGTAGTTTGAAAACACACTAATACATGTGATGATACCCCATCTCTACTAAAAATACAAAAATTAGCCAGACATGGTGGCGTGCTCCTGTAATCCCAGCTACTCAGGAGGCTGAAGCATGAGAATCGCTTGAACCTGGGAGGCGGAAGCTGCAGTGAGCCGAGATGGCACCATTAGACTCCAGCCTGGGCAATACAGTGAGATTCTATCTCAAAAAAAAAAAGAGAGAAAAGAAAAAACCGTTAAAATAAATCACTGACTGGATAACTTGTGTGTAAAGGAGGAACTCGAAGCTTGAACTTCAGTATCTACCAGACAGGAGCTTCCATTCAAGAGATAAGGTACCTGAAGTCTCCAAGCACTGTGTCTGATACGTGGGTGTTCTGTGACCACCAGTTGAATCTGAATAGCTAATGATAACCTTTCAGAGTAAGAATGTTTAAACCCCTCATTCCAACTATGGAGAAGGAAGGGTAACGTACTGAGCACCAAGAAGCAAAAAGGTTTTGTTAGGAATAAGTTGACTGGTGACTCTGTAAGTGAATAAAAATTGCTGGCTCAGGAAATAAGCCTTCAGAAGGAAACGAACAAGATTAAATAATAGGATAAAGTTACTCTATCTGGTGTGGTGTGTTCCATGAATATTTTAGCTCTTGTGAATGAGTAAAACTTTTCACTAGGAAGAAGATATGACTTCCAACAAAAGTTCTGGGCAAAGTGCTTGGTTTCCACCTCTGCCTGTAACACAGAGGCTGAGGTCCAGCAGCCTTGTCGGTCATTCCCTTCATATTCCCAACCCCTTCCCACACACCTCAGCCAGTCACCCGTGAAGAGATATTTCCATTTCCTTGTGAGAGAACAAAGTTATGTAAAGCTATTTTTGTGTGGGTAAGAGGAGGCCTGGGAAATCAAGTGGAAAGTAAGAGCGCTGTTTAATAAATAGGATGGTGCTGTGAAAAGAAAAAAGGCTTTGGAGTTATAGACTGAGCTTCCAATCCAGGTTCTAAGACTTAGGAGTTAGGTGATCGTAGAAAAGTGACTTAACCTCTCTGAACCTCATTTTCTCCATTTGTAAAATGGGGATAATATTTCCTTCAAGGCTGTTGTGAGGATTAAATCTATGTAAAATCTTAGATATAAAGTAGACCTTCAACTAATCTTAGTTTTTCTCATGATTAGCTGAAGACAGGGATCTGACCTAATTCTATTTTAGCTAGCTTGGTATTTCCTGCCTCCAGCAATGAGGTGAAAACTAGAAATACTGAGATTTTAAAAAATGAATACAGATTCTGTTCAGGGTCTCTAGGGATTATAGAATAAGGGAGGATTTAAATTTTTAGAAAATCATCAATTATATCAAATTATTTAAAAAATGGCCACTTACAATAAAACAAATGAGTTCTGATGTTAGCTGAGTAGCAGTATAAAATATGATTTACATTTTAAGGGTGGAAACTATCTTCTTTAGGATTCCCGGAAACAGCTGCTCTGGTGTGGTGTACACAGGAAGTACTGAAAAATGCTTGTTAAGTATTTTACAAAAGCTCAATTAATACATATTTATTATATGTACATGCATTTTTATAGCTGTTGTTTCTGTATCTTTGAGAATGAATCTTTAGAAAAAAAAATGTAGTCAAGGAACTTTTGCTAGGATTGCCAAGGCTAGGTTTGACCACTGATTCATTCTTCAACATTGTCAAGAACTCCTAGTACTTACAAAACAAGTCTGCCTGGGGAGGCAAAAAGATGAGAAGGAAGTAAATAACAATGTGAACTGAAGTTCTGTTAGGTTTTTGCTTTTTATTACATGCTTTTGAAAAAGGGTTTTATTTTATTTTTTTCTACTTGTGTTTTAATTTTCCTTAATAAACATATTAGCTTTATACTTTTAAACCCTAATCTCTTCCCTCCAATGCATGGACATACAAGCATGTATGTATACCATCAACACACATATAACCTTTACAAGATGCATTCTGGGCTAGGCTGAAGCAAACCTAAAACATCACATATAGGACTGACAGACTGAATGAGAAAGTCCTCATTTCATTGTCCTCTTTGGACTTAAGTAACTGTGTGTTAGAACAAGATCTAAAGAAGTTTGGTCCTTGCATCCTATGGTTATACAAACTGGCCTTATGACTCATCATCTTGTCCATAGTCTTGAATTTTGATATTGGTTAAAGATTCCAGAAACTATGTGAAAATATTAATATATATATATATTTTTTTGAGACAGGATCTCACTTTGTCACCCAGGCTGAAGTGCAGTGGCGCTATCTCAGCTCACTGCAAGCTCTACCTCCTGGGTTCAAGCGATTCTCCCACCTCAGCCTCCCAAGTAGCTGGTATTACATGTCTGGCACCATATCTGGCTTTTTTTTTTTTTCTTTTTTTTTTTTTTTTTTTGTATTTTTTGTAGAGAAAGGGTTTTACCACATTGGCCAGGCTGGTTTCGAACTCCTGGCCTCAAGTGATTCACCCACCTTGGCCTCCCAAAGTGCTGGGATTGCAGGTATAAGCCACCATGCCCAGCCAATGATGAATATTTGTTATCTCATAGTTTGTGGGTCAAGAATTTGGGGCAATCTTAGGTGGTTTGGGGCTCCCTCAGGGTCTTTCATGAAGTTGCAGTCAAGATGTTGTCCAGGGTTGCAGACATCTGAAGGCTTGACTGGAACTGAAGGATCCGGTTCCTAAGTGGTTCACTCTCACTGTTGGTAAGTTGCTGCTGGATGTTGGCAGGAGGCCTCAGTTCCTCACCACGTGGGCCTCTTCATGGGGTTGCTTGTATGTCTTCATGACATGCCAACTGGCTTCCCTCAGATCAAATGATCCAAGACAGATCCAAAGGCAGAAACTGCAATGTCTTTTATTAACTAGCCTTGGAAGTCACACTTCATCATTTCCACAATATCCTATCAGTTACACAGGTCAGGCCTATTTCTACTGGGAGGGGTCTACACAAGAGCATGAAGGCCACCAGACAAGAGTCATCTTAGGGGCCCTCCTAGAGGCTGGCTGCCATGCTTCTACAAAGTTTGATCCAAAAATGTCACCCTTTCACTCCTGTGGAATAGAAATGGAGGGGGGCAATATGGGGAGATTTCCTTCTCTTCTGAGAAATGTTTTCAACTTTCAGCTGTTTCTTTTGGTATGCCTACTTTTGATATAGATTTTTCTCTCTCCTTCACTTTTTCTCACCTCTTGCCCAAGTCAGTGTACCTGTTTCAAAAATGCTCTCCCTATTCTTATTCAAATTCTAACCTGCTTGGATTTGTGCATAAATAAAAGTATCAGATTCTGATGAAGAGACTGTGATACGCTTCTACAAATAAAACATTTTCATTTCAGGGAACAATTTCTCTGGCATAATGCCTAAAACAAAACATTTACAAACTAGACAGTGTTTAAAATAAGGATATACAATTGGTTCATCACAGAAAGAGCTAAAATGTATTACTTATGTAATAAAAACATTTGAGCATCAGCTGGTTATATGGTTTGGCTGTGTCCCCACCCAAATCTCATCTTGAATTCCCATGTGTTGTGGGGGGACCAAGTGGGAGATAATTGAATCATGGGGACAAGCCTTTCCTGTGCTGTTCTTGTGATAGTGAATAAGTCTCATGAGATCTGATAGTTTTATAAAGAGGAGCTCCCCTGCACAAGTTCTCTCTCTTTGCCTGCTGCCATCCATGTAAGATATGACTTGCTCCTCCTTGCCTTCCTCCATGATTATGAGGCCTCCCCAGCCAGGTGGAACTGTAAGTCCAATAAACCTCTTTCTTTTGTAAATTGCCCAGTCTCTGGTATGTCTTTATCAGCAGTGTGAAAATAGACTAATACAGCTGGGCGCAGTGGCTAGTGCCTGTAATCCCATCTACTTGGGAGGCTGAGGTGGGAGGATCACTTGAGCCCAGGCATTCAAGGGTACAGTGAGCTATGGTTGGCCCCCTGCATTCCAGCTTAGCCTGGGTGACAGAGTGAAGACACTGTCTCTTAAAAACAACAACAACAACAACAACAACAACAACAAAAAACCCAAAAAAACAGGACGTTTGCATTTGAGCATCAAGCGCTATGTAACACATTATGAAGTCCTATATATTAGACATGATTTACTAGTCAGATGTATTAGTTACCACCTAGGGAAGAGCCAAAATGAAGGTAGATATTTGTAAAGACAGTTTGATGACGGAATATTAATAAAAAGAATACCTACTCGATCTCCATGTCAATCTTCTAGTAGATTCACGTTTGCCAACTCTATCGGGCTGCATGCTGCTCCCAGTACTCTGAAGGACCCGCCTGGTGATGATGCCATCCAGCATCCACAGAAGCAGGGCTGCTTGCTCTGAGGGCTCTTTGTGAATCAGGCAGTGAAGGAAGGGTCATGAGATGGGTGAACTTGGGCATGTCTCGAGTTCCCACATCTTGCTTTAACAGATTTTCAGCTCCTTCTAACTCTACTAGTCATTTATTACTGTTTTCTAGGGACAGCCCCCATCTCACAGTCACTTCTAAGTTTTTATTACCTTAGAATTGCTGTGAACCAGGAAATAAAATAACCAAGCATATTTCATTTATGTCCAAAATGGATATTAGGCTGGGCACGGTGGCTCATGCCTGTAATTCCAGCACTTTGGGAGGTCGAGGCAAGTGGATCACCTGAGGTCCGGAGTTTAAGACCAGCCTGGCCAACATGGTGAAACCCTGTCTCTACTAAAAATACAAAAATTAGCCAGGTGTGGTGGCACCCGACTGAGGCACAGGAATCGTTTGAACCCGGGAGGCGGAGGTTGCCATGAGCCAAGATCGAGCCACTGCACTCTAGCCTGGGTGACAAAGTGAGACTCTATCTCAAAAAATAAATAAATAAATAAATAAAAAGGATATTAATACTATTAATAAAATGACTAATTTAATACTGAAATGGCGGTGTTCAATGAATACAGACACTGGGACCACCTGGGATCCATCCAGCTGCTGGGTAGAGGGAGTCCTATGCTGGGTGGGTCATGGTAGAAGAGTGATAGTTAACCCAGTTAAAATGCTGACCTACTAATATGACTTTCATATGCAGGGGTAACTCCAAGGAAAGCCTCACTGGGTGCTCCAAGAAGGCCACTGCCTGGTCTGTGGGTGGGAGTGGGGGATGGTAAGAGTGGCCTCTGGACTCAGTCCAGCTCCTGCATTTACCAGCTGTGTGACCTTGAGCAGATTCCATAAACTCTGAAAGCCTTAGTATGAGTTTTTGGTTTTTTGTTTTTTTTTTTTTAATTTAGAATAATGGTACCTAGCACAGAGGTTGGAAAGATTAATGAAAAAATGTGGCTGGGTGCAGTGGCTCACGCCTGTAATCCCAGCACTTTGGGAGGCTGAGGTGGGCAGATAACTTGAGGTCAGGAGTTCGAGGCCAGCCTGGCCAACATGGTGAAACCCCGTTTCTATTAAAATACAAAAATTAGCCGAGCGTTGTGGTGGGTGCCTGTAATCCCAGCTACTTGAGAAGCTGAAGCAGAAGAATCGCTGGAACCCAGAAGGCAGAAATTGCAGTGAGCCAAGATCGTGCCACTGCACTCCAGCCTGGGCAACAGAACAAGACTTGTCTCAAAAAAAAAAAATGTGCATAAGGTGCTTAGCACACTGCCTGGCACACAATAAGCATCCAAATGCATACTGCCATTTGTTAAAAAACACATACACACATCTTGGATCTTTGCTGTATCTCACATTGAGTGCCCCCCTTTTTCTTTTTTAAATCAGTAAGACACTTTAAAATGAGAATTCTCACTTCTTTCAGCAAGGATTTTTTTTTTTTTTTTTTTGCCTTTTGGTTACAGAACAGCAGGAATGAGACTAGACTAAGGAATAGCACTTAGCATATGATATGAGAATGTATTCATATGTACACACATTGAAGACTCTAGGACTTTGGAAGCTGTGGGTTAATATGAGAAATGTCCCTTTAAGAGTTAAACTTTGACCTGAGTTTAAAGGGCTGGAGGGGTCAGGAATGACTGGGAGGACATGGAGAATTTTAGGCAAAAACCACACAAGGAAGGAAGATAATCATCTAAATAACTTGGATAACAACTAGGGAGGGGATGAGGTTAAGTGTTTATTAGTGGGGGGAAACTTTCAGAGAAAGAACCACATCCTCTGTAGCTTAAGCAAAAATGGGACTTGCTTAGCTCACGTAAGTGAAATTCAGGCTAATCTTGGCTCCGGGTAGGGCTGGATTCAGGACTCAGATGGTGTGGTCAGGGAAGCCCTCCTTCCCCTGCCCCCTTTCTCCTGGTAGTTTCTCTCAAGTAGTGAGTTAAGACTCAGTGACCAGGGAGAAAGCTTTTTCTGAGAACCCCAGTAGCTTTCAGAGAGGTGTCTGGCCTAATCTGGGTCACGGTCCAACCTTCTCCCAGTCACTGTGGCCTTGGTGGGATTGGGGTGCACTGGGCAGGATCGGCTAGCTAAATCACATGGGATTGGCTCGCCACCACCCAGAGGAGTTCTGCTCCCAAAGACAGGGCAGAGGAGGCTGAGCAGGAGCAAGGACATATCCACAGTAGGTAATGCTCTGCCTAACTTCCCAACCATCTGCCAACACCCCATGGGCAAACATACCTTCTGCTTGGGCTTGACACCAGCCCCCCGAGCCAGTCAACAAGACCCCCTGAAGTGACTGCAGAGTCTCATGATCACATGAGTTCCTGGAAACTTCATCTTATAGTAGGTAGTTGTCGAGAGAACTAAACGTAGAGAGTTCCTTTGTACCAAGAGGTTTGGAGCTAGGGCAGAATTCACAGAATACAGGGTCAGCTGAGTGAAGAGTGGAGTGAGAGTATTGCTCAGGCTGTATTCAATGAATGTAGCCATTGGGACCACCTGGGATCTGGCTGCAGGTTGTTGAGAGCCTCGTGCTAGGTAGTTGGTGGTAGGACAGTTGGGAATTAACCTAGTTAACATGCTGATCTACTAGTACCGAGCTATGTATGGAGCTTTATTTCCAGCGTCCTTCCCCTGTTTCATATGTGGTCTTCAGTTCAGTGGAATATTATTCTTTTTCCCTAGTAGAAAAATCTCATGAATATTTTTAGAGACTTGCTTGTTTACAGTAGGAAAAAGCACACATCCTGTGCTTGACATGCGTCCTTCAAAGACTTCTGAGTGAGGAGGCCTGTGGGGCTGGGGCATGAACCAGTGGAGAGAAATAGCACAGATTACTAGAATGCTTTAGAAATCCTTTTCTGCTTCAGATAAGTGGCTAATTAAATTTGGGGTTGGTTATTGGAAAAGTGCCAATTATGGAAACGAGCATCTGTTGATCACACTTTGCTTCAGATGCTCGGCTCCTTGCTAGAGCCGTGTTGCAAAGAAAGCAGGGAACTGCTGCTAGCACCAAGACAAGCAGGCGTGGTGGGAAGAGTGATTCATTATGTTTACTTTCAGGTTTCCGTCTTGTAAAAAGATTAATTCAGTAGAACTCAAATTCCAGAGAAAAATGGACCATTTATTGTGTTCGATTCAGGCTTAGGCACAGCAGGTGGATTTTCCAAATTGCCTCATCTGACATTTCCTAGAAATGTAAGCTAACATTATTCCAATTTTTGGCAACTGGAAAGTTATATTTGAATATTCTACAAGTCAGTTGGCAGGACTGGAGATTTCAAACATTTAACCATCTCTCTTGAGCTTGATTTTGTCAAGTGATTTTTAACTGTGAGACAGTCCTTTTTTAGACCTGGAAATAGTCTCAGAAAACTTAAGTCATTTGCCAAAGATCAGTGAATAATACGTACATTAGAGCCAGGAAGTGCAGAATATTGATTAGAATTCAGTTATCTTCTATCTTGGAGTCATTTGTAGAAAATGACCATTATTTGTGATGTGTGTGATTTTGTTTGGCACATGAAATGAGTGAAGGTTCTTTTTAAAACAAAAATTCCTTTTTTTTTTGTAGAATAGAGATGACATCTTGCTATGTTGCCCAGGCTGATCTCAAACTCCTGGGCTCAAGCAATCCTCCTGCCTTGACCTCCCAAAGTGTTGGGATTACAGGTATGAGCCACCGTGACTGGCCACGTGAAGCTTCTTAACAAACATCTTGTCCTGGCTTTTTTTCTTGGTACCTCTAACGCTTGCTTACTGTGGTGTCTGCCTTTGGTAAGGCCCTTGCCATAAGTGAGCATGGAAAGCTGCAAATCACATGTTCTCTTCTGGATGTACACTTTCCTGCTGTGTTGGGCAGATCCAACAGGCAAATCCACTTTTCAACAATAATACCATATTCAAGGTAATGACATCCTTTGATCTTTTCAATTGGAAATGGTAAACCTAAGCAAATTAAATGCAAGCAAACACCATCAGTTAATTATTTCTTAATTGTTAGGCATGTCTGGTCTTCACCAGTTGTCTCTAAGATACCATTTTACTTCCCTATTATAACATGTTTTTCTCTACTTCTTTGGAGTTTCTCTAGTAAATAATCTTTAGGTTATTCTTGAGTGTTTTTGCTTGTTTGTTTTCATGGGTATCATAGATTTTCCCTGTATTACTCTATATCTTTGGGGTTATTTACTGTAACTGCAGTCTTTTTGTGATTATAGAATTTCTGATATTTGAAAATAACTTTTAGGTAGATAAAATGCAGACATTTTCTAGGGATGGGGAGTGAGGGGTTAGAGATGAGACAAGACAGTGGATGAGTTTGGATTTAGACTTCTTTATTTAGGGGCCCTCTGGGACACCCAGGTGGATATGGCCAAAATGCACTTGGAGATGGTCCGGGACTCAGAAGACAGTTCAGGGCTAGAGATAAATATTTGGAATTACTAGCTTATAAGTAATATGTGAAACTGTGAGAATAGATGTAACATCCAAAGGAGGAAGCATAAGTTGAAAAAGGTTGATATTAAGGGCTGGGTAGAGAAAGATGATGTGAGTGGTCATAGAAACAGGAGATTTGGGGAAGAGCGCTGTTTTGGAAGTCAAGGCCAAGGTTGAGATAAGAGTCTGGCCATCAAGCAGTCACTGGCCTCAAAAAGCAATTTTGTGAGGCTGGGTGTGGTGGCTCATGCCTGTAATTCCAGCACTTTGATAGTCTGAGGCGGGCAGATCATTTGAAGTCAGGAGTTCGAGACCAGCCTAGCCAACATGGTGAAACACCATCTTTATTAAAAATACAAAAATTAGTGGGGCATGGTGATGGGCGCTTGTAATCCTAGCTACTCGGGAGGCTGAGGCAGGAGAATCGCTTGAACCTGGGAGGTGGAGGTTTCAGTGAGCTGAGATCACGTCACTGCACTCCAGCTTGGGTGACACAGTGAGACTCCATCTCAAAAAAAAAAAAGAACAATTCTGTGGAGTGGAGCAACTGAAAGCCACACTCCAGTGGGTTGAGGCACAAATAGCTGCTCAGGGAGATTGTCAGTGAGAAGGTGAGTAGACTGAGCAGTTTTTCATGATGGAGTGTTGACCATGTTTCTTAGGGAGAAAAGGAAGAGGGAGATTTGTAACAAGGGAAAGAACAGAGAAAGAAGGGAGTGGGGCCTATCGATGGCTTGAGGTTTCAGGGATGTGGGGATAGCATCAGGAGAGCAGTGGTGAGTCTAGGAGGAGGGTACACATTCCTTCAGCTGGAACAAAGAATGCAAGTGAAAATATAAGCTGGGCTGGGCACGGTGGCTCACACCTGTAATCCCAGCACTTTGGGAGGCCTAGGCAGGTGGATCAACCTGAGGTCAGGAGTTCGAGACCAGCCTGACCAAGATGGTGAAACCCTGTCTCTACTAAAAATACAACAAATAGCTGTGCGGGGTGGCAGGTGCCTGTAATCCCAGTTACTTGGGAGGCTGAGGCAGGAGGCAGGAGAATTGCTTGAACTCGGGAGGCAGAGGTTGCAGTGAGCTGAGATCATGCCATTGCACTCCAGCCTGGGCGACAGAGCGAGACTCCATCTCAAAAAAAAAAAAAAAAAAAAATTAGCTGGGTGTGGTGGCACATGCCTGTAGTCCCAGCTATCTGGGAAGCTGATATGGGAGGGTCGCTTGAGCCCAGGAGGTTGAAGCTGCAGTGAGCCAAGATTGCGCCACTGAACTCAAGAGTGATGAGACTCTGTCTCATAAAATAAATAAATAAATAAATAAATAATGGAAAAAGAAAAAATGTAAGTTGGGAGATAGAAAAATGGTGAGAGAGTTATCCTGATGCCCTCTTCTTTCTCAATGAAGCAAAAGGCTGGGTCACCGCCTGAGTGTGAAAGGAGTTTGGGAGCATCTTTAGAAATTAAAATATATGATGCACCTAGCTTTTGTGGACCCCATATATTACATTTCTTTTTTTTTTTTTTAGACAGAGTCTTGCTCTGTTACCCAAGCTGGAGTGCAGTGGCACGATCTCGGCTCACTGCAAACTTGCCTCCTGGGTGCAAGCAATTTTCGTGCTTCAGCCTCCTGAGTAGCTGGGGTTACAGGCGCCCTCCACCATGCCCAGCTAATTTTTGTATTTTTTAGTAGAGACGGGGTTTCACCATGTTGGCCAGGCTGGTCTTGAATCTTGACCTCAGGTGATCCGCCGGCCTCGGCCTCCCAAAATGTTGGGATACATTTCCATTTTGGAATCTAAGTCATTTTTCACTTTCTTCTGAACCCAAGAAACATAACGTGTAAGAGCCAACAGCTTATACCAAAAGTCATGCAAATGCTAAGGTCTCAGTCCTGCTTGGAAAACTCACCCTGGGAATTTCTGACCAGCTAAGAGTTTGCCTTCAGATGTGTCTCTTGGTCTAATATAGTAAATCTATGCCAACCTATGCAGGTTTTATTGATGTGAAGATTGATGGCTGAGTAATTTATACCTTAACTAACCTGATAAGTTGACTCACTCTTTGAGAATGTTGTATCTTCTATGGAGAGAGAGTGAGAACTCCTTGGGGTAGGGAGGTCCCCTGAGAACTGTTAGTGTTCCTGATGTAATAATATGTCTGAAAGCCTTTTATTATGGAGTGAGTGTGACAGTTAAGGAACGGAAAGAAAGAAATGTGAGTCACACAAAATCCCCATTCCAAGTTCTGTAGCCATTGTCAATCATATTCAGGAAAATGTTGTAAGGAACTTAAATATTATATACTCTATTTATATTTTATATAATCTTTATAAATGCTATATACTTTAGCTTCACCTCTGATGGAAAAAGAGACATATGTGTAGTTTCACTTTCCTCTTCTATTTTATTATGCTTGCACTAAATGAGGCAGAAACACCTTAGCAGAGTGATTGGCCATGAGGGAGGGGACATGGGAGGGGATGTCGGCTTCTGCAGTGCAGAGGAGCCCTCAGAATTTAAAATTTTGCTCTATTTTCCTTTGAGATGTCTTACCTTTGCCCCAGGTTTCCCATTTCAGAGCATAATGTGGAGCAGGCTCACCCTACACGGGCACAGAATTCTGCAGGAGCTTGCCTGTTCTTGTCCTGGCTCCACACCGCTCCTCAGGGTTGGGTACAAAGTAGCTTTCCAAACCTCAGGTATGACCAGCCAGAACCTGTTTATTGCTGGCCACTGGCCAACTTTGAGGGCACTGGTACTGTGGCTCCCAAGATCCTGCTAATGGGCATGTTCAGTTACACACAGGCTGGGGATGGCCAACAGTAGTACAGCCTGGAGGATTTTGCACTTCCTTTGGCTGAACTAACAACATGAGACCCTTAAATACAGATCAAGCTAAGTGAAAAAGTTAAGGAAAATTAAAACAAGAAGCATTGGAAAGATTTTGCCTTTACTTAAAATTCCCCAACATTTTCCTTTTAAAAGAAAATTAGCTAACCAGCTTTTAGTGGTCATTTATGGCTTATAAATACTTTCTAAGACTTTGTGTCACTTCCTGTTGCACAAATGGCAGGTTGGAATGTGCCCTTAGATCTCACCTAGTATTTCCCTTTCCAGAGCATCTGTCTCCTCTATCATTCCTGGATCCTGAAAAACCTCCAGAAGAAAGGAGATGCTTTTGCGAGACACAGATCCCAAGGCTCCCCCTACTCCAGTGCTACCAGATGTAAGAGAAGACCCCTTTCCTGCCTGGACCTATGCCACAGGCTGTATCTGTTCACCACACTCATCACCCAAAGCTGGAGAAGCAGCAAGGAGCAATCACAGATGTGGGGTGATGTGTCCCCACCATTGTCATGATCCTTTGGACGTATCTTCCTCCTGTACACTTGAGCAGATTTGGAGACAGTCTATGAACATGTTTTTTTCCCCTGTTTTTATCAAGTGTTCTCTGTTTTCTACTGAATCTTCAAACACAGCTTGTGTCTTATTTTCTGTTGGATGTATCGAGAATAGTATTTTCCCACTTCTGAAGAGCTTAAAAAATAGGCCATACTTCTGTTTTTCTGAGAATGTAGTTCTGCCTATAAGTGGGGAGATGAAAATAGCCTTCTAAATCTGTGGTCCTTAAGTTTATCTTCCCTCTTAACTTCACCAGGGAGCCAACAGCACCCATGTGCCTCAGGGTGGAGGTAAGAGTGAGAGATGAAGTGCAAAAGGTTGTTCAAACTTAAGTGCCTGGCAAGTCTTTTGGTCCCTGAGCCTGGGGAATTGCTATAGAAATCTAATCAGAGAAAGCAATCCAGGGCCAATGGGCAGGGCCAAGTACTGGGCAGGAATCAGGGTCATGGGTTACAAATTCATTTGAGAGTGAAATTATGAGCTTGCATAAAACTTTTATAGGGCTTGATCCTGGGAAATAGGTGAGTACCTTTACAAGGTAGTTAACTGAAAGCTGGAGTTTTCAAGACTTTAACGCTTTTTTCTTCTCCTTAAGTGGTTGGGAATGTGGTGGACATTTGTTAAGTGTGTTTATTTTTTGTTCAGCTTCCCTTCTTCCAATCACAGTTTTGGTGTGACACAGTATTCTACATTGTGTTCACGGCCAACCCCCTCCCTCTATTCAGGGACCTCCAGGGAATGGTGCAGGACTCAAGCTCAGCCAGTCAGAGCCTCCTTTCTGGACCTTGAATATCAAGGGAAGAAGCAGAGGGTGAAAAATAGTTCAGAGGACGCTAGTGGTGGCAGTGTCATCTGTGGGCAGCAGTGAGGTGCTGGCAGGGGCAGACTGTCCTGTGGAATGACCTGGGCCATGCTCCTCCGTGCCCATTCTCTCTTGGTTTCCAGCCATTTTCCTGATCCTTGTTCTCTAGCCCTCCCATCCATCTTGTGAACTATTCAGTATCCTTCTAATACATTCCAGCTTAAATCAAATTAGTCAGGGCTGGTTTCTGTTGCTTGCAACCAAGAATTATATTGGGCCATCTGATGTTCCTATCCTCAAATCTAAAGAGATGTTTCCAGTGTTGCTAGTTGGAGTCTACTTAGAATGGTCTGGCAGCAAGCATGGTATGTCCCTCTATGTGAAAGGAGCTGTACTTAGAGATTTTAAGACCAATCTAGAGTCTAGGGTTTCCAGCATGTTTCCCAAGTGGACCCAACTAATTTGATGTAGAGAGAAATTCCACTGAGTATGGACTCCAAATAGTCAATGTTTGTAGGTATGAAGCCCAAGCCACAAACCTAGGTGGCAAGAGATGGTGAGTTTCTTCATGTATTTAAATCAACTTAATTTCAACTTTACCTTTTCCTACCTAGCAAGAAGGAAATATATTCCCAGGCACACTTGACTTCCCCCAGAACCTCCTCACCCCAAAAGTTGTTTGGAAACCCAGTGTCTCTAGTGCCAGCATGTGGGGAGGCCCTCTGGGCATCAGTCACCAGACTGGATTGGTGGCTGCTGAAACATCCATTGTCCTGGCCAGTGTGGTCCCTTCAAACCTAGTAGCTCTGTTTCTCCCCCTGCAGTGTTTGAAGCATGGGAATCTCTAGCAAGGCTGTTCCCTAGACCTCTGTCTCCCTAGGTGTGCCACAAAACAAAGCCTTTGAAGATTTGATCACCTCCCTAAGGCATGATTAGTCCACTTAGTGGGGAGGACTCTAGTCCCAGATACTTGAGGAATCTATAGATTTCTGTCCCTCCTTGTTTCCAGGAATCTGTTAGCCTGATGAACATCCCACTTTCTTCATAGTTCCCTTACAGGATTCCCTATAACTACCTAATAAGTTAATTAATAGCTTAAGCTTGTGAAAACAAAATTCAAGAAGGAAAATGTCCTGCAGGCAGCTTTTGCTTTCTGCCTTGCTACAAACCTCCTTTGAGGCAAAGATGCACAGAGCCTGTTCCTTGTTCAAATGGGAGAAGGGAGATGGGTCACTACATAGGATGGAAGGAAAATTTTTAAAAAATAAGCAATTTTTTAAAAGTCTTGTCAACAACAGCTAAAATTAATGAGGGGAAAAATAAAACAGAAGTTCTGAAAGGCTATCCACTGCCAAAGACAAGGATTAGTAGAATTTGTATTTGGTGTCACCATCATCTGTGATTCCTTAAAGTTTCTTTCTTTCTTTTTTTTTTTTTTTTTTTTTTGAGATGGAGTCTTGCTCTGTCATCCAGGCTGGAGTGCAGTGGCACAATCTTGGCTCACTGCAACCTCCACCTCCCAGGTTCAAGTGATTCTCTGCCTCAGTCTCCCAATTAGTTGGGATTACAAGTGCCCACCACCACACCCGGCTAATTTTTGTATTTTTAGTAGAGATGGTGTTTTGCCATGTTGGCCAGGCTGGTCTCCAACTCTTGGTCTCAAGTGATCCACCCGCCTTGGCCTGCTGGCATTACAGGCATGAGCCACCGTGCCCAGCCTCCTTAAAGTTTCATAAGAGATGTGATCTCATTTCTAAGCTACTCTGGTATGAATGTCACTCCCTCTTTTCTCACCCTAACTTTTTCAAGTCAGGAATGAGGAGTATTTCTTGTTTGCATTCTGGAAATCAAGTCAGCAGTTCCATCTCTAATTAATATGAAACTTCTACTCCACTGAAAACAAATATTTGTGTTACAAATGAAAGAGAATATCATCCACAATCTAGCTTCTTACTCAGTCCCATGTTGCAGCTGTTGCTTTAAATAGAATCCACTTGCTATAGACTTGGATAGCAAGATGCTTTGGTGAGGTATCTCTGTTGGCATGTGAGCCTAATACTTCACTGATATATTTAAAATAAGCATATGCTAAAAATTTTTTGTTCATTATAAATGCTGATTCCAAGCAGCAAAGAATTCACATTTTGGGAATTTACAAGCCTAATTCATTCCACACATATGAGGCCAGATCCTGGTAGAATTGATGTCTCCCTAGAAGAGGCAGTTGGAAGGGAGAGTTGGGTCTGCACAAACTCATAACCATTGTTGATTTTGAATCACAGAAACCCTGGCTCAAATGGGCTTAGATGAGAGAGGGCCTTATCATCCCATTTAACAAGGCCAGAGGTGGGTTGGCTCCAGGATTGGCCAATTCAGGGGCTTAGGGACATCATGGAGGACCTCCCAAGCCCACAGATATTGCCCATCTTTCCTCTCTGCAACCTTCTGTGTGGCTTCTCACGACCAAGGCATTTCCCAGCATCAAATCATGGCAAGATTTTGAGCCAGGGGAAAGGAGAGGTTTCCTCTTACCTGTCTCTTCTTGATAGCAACAGAATTTCTCCCAAACTATGCTCCCTGCCCCAGCAAATTTCTTTTCATGCCTCATTGGCCAGAATTGAATCAACACCATACACTCAAGGCTTGACTCAGGGAGGCCTTCCAGAGCACATGGCCTCATGGGGATGAAGCTGGGCTTTCCCAAGGAAGGGAAATTCAGGCAGGGAGTCAGCAATGTATATCATGCCACCTTATCCCTTAGGAGCTTATAAACAACATGTAAATATTCTTTATATATTTCCTGCTCCTGTTTTACTTGAGCCCCTCTTCATATTCCCTGGGCTCCATAGTTGCTTCAACAGCCCCTATCCCTCCCCTAACAGCCTTAGGTATCTTCTCTTTCCAATCCACACTCCTTCAAATACCCTGCCCCAACTGCATGCCCCTAGCAGCCTTCTTTTTTTGGGTGGGGGGACGGAGTCTTGCTCTATCGCCTAGGCTGTAGTGCAAATTTTTGTATTTTTGTATTCTTAGTTTTACCATGTTGGCCAGGCTGGTCTCAAACTCCTGACCTCAGGTGATCTGCCCGCCTCGGCCTCCCAAAGTGCTGGGATTACAGGTGTGAGCCACTGCGCTCTGTCTCCATTCATTCATTTATTCATTCACTTACTATATATTTATTGAGTATCTACCATATATCAGTTTGTCAGGTGCTGAGGATACAAAGGTAAATAAAGCACAGGTTTTTGTGTGTGTGTGTGTGTGTTTTGTTTTTGGTCTCTTTTTTTTTTTTTTTTTTTTGAGATGGAGTTTCGCTCTTGCTGCCCAGGCTGGAGTGCAATGGTGCAATCTTAGCTCACTGCAACCTCTGCCTCCTGGGTTCAAGTGATTCTCCTGCCTCAGCATCCCGAGTAGCTGGGATTACAGGCATGTACCACCACACCCAGCTAATTTTGTATTTTTAGTAGAGACAGGGTTTCTCCATGTTGGTCAGGCTGGTCGCAATCTCCCGACCTCAGGTGATCTGCCTGCCTCGGCCTCTCAAAGTGCTGGGATTACAGGCACGAGCCACCGCCCCCGGCCTCCATTCATTCATTTATTCATTCACTTAATATATATTTATTGAGTATCTACCATATGTCAGCTTGTCAGGTGCTGAGGATACAAAGGTAAATAAAGCACAGCTTTTGCCCCCCAGGAGCTCATAGAGGAAACAAGTAAACAGGCAAACCATCTAATGTGATGGTTGTTATAGAAACCAAGTTATAAGTAGAGGAATAAAGAAGTATTAATAATGGTGGTCATTGGCACTGTGGGAAAGCTAAGCATTTGCAAGGTAGATTGTGAACCAAGCCACATTTCTGATGTTTCCAAATTACTGGCTTAAAAAATTAATTGTTGGAGAATAATCAATGTATGAGTTACGAGTGATGTGAAGTATTCCATATTAAAAGGAAGGCATGGGTGGGAGGTTGGATTTGCTATCTTTTCAAAGCAGTTGGTGACTTTGTCATTTATTAATCTTATTAGAAACATTTCTTTTCTGGAGTTTAATTAGAAGAAAATACATGATGTTAAAACATACTCTACTAAATGCTGAGGGCCGGGCACGGTGGCTTACACCTATAATCCCAGCACTTTGGGAGACCGAGGCAGACGGATCACTTGAGGTCAGGAGTTTGAAGCCAGCCTGGCCAACATGGTGAAACCCTGTCTCTACTGAAAATAGAAAAAATTAGCTGGGCGTGGTGGCGTGCATCTGTAGTCCCAGCTGCTTGGGAGGCTGAGGCAGGAGAATCATTTGAACCTGGGAGGCAGGGGTTGCAATGAGACGAGATCATGCCACTGCACTCCAGCCTGGGCAACAGAATAAGACTCTCTCTCTCTCAAAAAAAAAAAAAAAAAAATATATATATATATATATATACACACACACACACATATATATACACACATATATACACATATATATACATATATATATATACACATATATATACTAACTGCTGAATGTTTCATTTGAACCTTCATCAAGTTTCAAAATAAAATATTTCAGGATGAACACGTGAATGCTTTGTGTCTCTTACTTGAGATTGTTTTTACTTATTCAGAGAATTGTTTTAGGAGTCAGGGAGATGTTGCATGATTTGGAGGCTCCGAATTCCTGAGGATCCTCCTGAATTCTCAGATGTCTTCCCTAGTTCCTCTCCAGACTCATCCAGCCTTGTCCTTTGTTCTTTCCAATTCTCTGAGCACACCCTCTGCCTGGGAGAGGGCATCTGTCTATGTGATGCTCCTATCACAAGCATGCGAATTATGCCCATGTTTACAATTTCATTCCATCTCTCTTCGAAGTGCTAGTCTCACATTTTCAAATGACCGATGAACATCTCCATTAGGTGTGTTGCTGGGAACTCAAATGCCCTCCCTCATCATACCTTTTCTGCCTTCCCAATTTTTTCCCTAATATTTATTAAAGGCCAACTCAAACGCCATCTTCTCCAGAAAGCACTTTCCAATTGTCTTTCACCTAATAGGTAAATATTTATTGAGTGCCAGTTAAGGGACTTGACCTATTACAGACCAGAGTATACAGTGGTGAGCACACGTCCCTGTGGGGTGAAATATCAGAGAGTAGGTGACAACAGCTAGGAAGGACCTCATCTTGGTTGGAAGTGATCTCTTGCATCTCTGATCTCCTAAAACTTCACTGTCTATGTAATAAAGACACAATAACAAATAACTTAACCTGAAGAGGATTTGCTGTGCACTGGGTGCTGTCCTAATACATAATAACTCAATCTTCACAACAATCGTGTGAGACAGCACTGTTCTTCCACCCCCACTACCTTTTTTACAGAAGGGGAAACCAAGGCACAGAGAGATTAAGAAACTCATCCAGGATTACAAAGCTAGTAAGTGATAAGTGTGCTTTCATTAAAGCCAAGAAAGTAAAATTAGTAACAAGTTCTGTTTGGGGTAAAAATATTTAAACTTAATGTCATGAGTTTTAATATACCCACTTTTCAGTTTCAGTATTTTCTCAATGACATTAATGTCCTGGAGAAATATTAATGATTAAAAAATATACTAAGACTTATTAATAGGGGTGCACACTTTTCCTGTTGCCTCAGGCTCCAGTATGGCTTGGCACAGCATTGTTGGAGCTTGTTTCTTTTTCTTTCTTTTTTTTTTTTTTGAGACAGGATCTTGCTTTGTCACCCAGGCTGCTGGAGTGCAGTGGCATGATCTCAGTTCTCTGCAACCTCTGTCCACTGAGCTCAAGCTATCCTCCCTCCTCAGCCTCCCAAGTAGCTGAGACCACAGATGCGCACCACCGTGCCTGGCTAAGTTTTTGTATTTTTAGTTGAAATGGGATTTCGCCATGTTGGCCAGGCTGGTCTCAAACTCCTGGCCTCAAGTGCTCCACCCACCTTGGCGTCCCAAAGTGCTGAGATTGCAGAGGTGTGAGCCACTGCACCCAGGTGAAGCTTGTTTCATTTAAACTTTTGCTATTTTGTATATCATAGATTTTATGCATGAACTTTTATTTTTTAAAAATTATGCAGGCCAGGGGCAGTGGCTCAAGCCTTTAAATCCTAGCACTTTGGGAGGCTGAGGCAGGAGGATCCCTTGAGGCCAGAAGTTTGAGAACAACCCGAACAACATAGCAAGACTCCTTCTCTACAAAAAATTAAAAATTAGTTGGGCATGACAGTACATGCTGGTAGTCCCAGTTGCTTGGGAGGCTGAGAATGGAGGATGACTTGAGCCCGGGAGGTGGAGGCTGCAGTGAGCCTTGATTGTGTCACTACACTCCTGCCTGGGCAACAGAGTGAGACTCTGTCTCAAATAATAATGATAATAACAGTACATCTTATTTAATAATATTAAAATACTATTTATCTTGATTGCTGAGTTTTTGGAACCCCCTTCAATTCTGACCTTGAGTGGTGGAGGCAATTTGGCTCCAGGTCTGTACTTCTGTACTCGTATTGTTGATTTTTTTTTTTTTTTGAGATGGAATTTTGCTCTTGTTGCCCAAGGTGGAGTGCAATGGCGCGATCTCAGCTCACCACAACCTCCGCCTCCCATCTCGGCTCACTGCAACCTCCGCCTCCCAGGTTCAAGCGATTCTCCTGCCTCAGCCTCTGGAGTAGCTGGGATTACAGGCATGCACCACCACACCCTGCTAATTTTGTTATTTTTAGTAGAGACAGGGTTTCTTCATGTTGGTGAGGCTGGTCTTAAACTCCAAACCTCAGGTGATCCGCCCACCTCAGCCTCCCAAAGTGCTGAGATTACAGGCGTGAGCCACCATACCCTGCCTGTTGATTTTTATATCTGCATCTATTTATCACTGTTATTTCCAATTAAACTATAAATGCTTTGAGGGCAAACATCATTCATCATACTGCCTTCTTAGATTCCCAAAGACATCTAGCATTTTGTTTGGCACATAAAGGTGCTTGGTAAAGGATGGCTGAAAGGGAATCAGAATAGCCTCTTTTAATGTATTGAACTTTACCATCCTCACCAGCTACTTTTACCACAATATGTAGTTTTGCTTTCTTGATTGCAGTTTCCCTCTTACATGCATGCTTCATTTTAATTTTATAAAAATTACAGTGGCACGATCTCAGCTCACTGCAACCTCCGCCTTGTGGGTTCAAGTGATTCTCCTGCCTCAGCCTACCAAGTAGCTGGGACTACAGGCATGTGCCACCACACCCGGCTAATTTTTGTATTTTGAGTAGAGATGGGGTTTCACCTTGTTGGCCAGGCTGGTCTTGAACTCCTGACCTCAACTGATCCACCTGCCTCGGCCTCCTAAAGTGCTGGGATTACAGGCATGAGCCACTGCACCCAGCCGCCCAGTGTTTTCTTTTTAGTGAAACTTCACATTTTTCAGAGATACAGAGCCTTTGGGAAGAAAACCTAGAAGTTTTAGTTCTGTAAGTGGACAGATCAGTGTAGTAAAAAGAAGGCAGAGGATGTTCACAGACATAATTATCAGGTCTTTGGTAACAACATGGGAGTTTTTGAAGCACAACGGTTCTGTGATTTATGCCTCCTTGCACCTGGAGCTCGGCTCCACTCCTCCCACACCCTGCTGCAAAAACCTCTTCACCTGTGGCTGTGCGGTCTCTGTGTAGTAACTTCACGCCTGGTTGGTTATATTTTCTCCAGCACTGCTTCCGGGAATGACAGGAGGGGATGAGTATTTTCTCTCCTGTCACTGAACTACTAGAAATGTGGCTGTTTAGGAGGGGAGGATTCATGACGAATGCAGCCATTTCTCCGGGATGCATTGAGTAAAACCCTTTGAGAGCCCTCCTCAGGGTGGGAGCCCCCCCTTTTTTTTTTTTTTTTTTTTTTTTTACTGGAGAGACAGCCTCCAGCGCAAAATGAAGACACATTCCCTGGGTGGGAGTTTTGAAGACAAAATAAAAGAAATGCATAGCACCAGGAAACATCCGTACCTGTTGCCTTCTGGAGGGCTCCTCCTGCGAGCATTGTCATTGGGTTAGGTCCTGCACCCTTCCTGCCAATCCACTCTTGGGCTGGATTGAGAAATACAGAAATCACTTTGGGTTGCTTGGCTGTATGTTGAAATCCTCTGAGCAGGTTTAGTTTCTTTTGAGTTTTATTTCTTCTTCTTTTTTTTTTTTTTGAGACAGAGTCTCGCTTTGTTGCCCAGGTTGGAGTGCAGTGGTGCGATCTCAGCTCACTGCAACCTCCACCTCCGCGGTTCAAGTGATTGTCCTGCCTCAGCCTCTTGAATAGCTGGGATTACAGGTGCACACCACCATGCCTGTCTAATTTTTGTAGAGATGGGGTTTCACCATGGACTATAGGCCAGACTCTTAAAAATGAGGTGGCAGAAAATCTGAAGTTTAACCAAGACTCAAGTCCATTTTAATTTCTATTTTAATAATCTGAGCACAGAAAATAGATTAGTACGCTATCTGAGATTAGAGTGAACTGGTGAGAGACTCAGTGTCCAAATATATGAAGAAGAGTAGCAAGAATTGGTACAAAGTGAGAAAAGAAGTTGAGAGTGGTAGACAGGGTCCAGGCCCAGTCCCCAGGTCCTGGTGCTGTATGTTCCCTTACTGTATTTTCAGAGAAGGCGGGGAGGTGTTCAGCAGCCAGAACTCCATTTGAGGTAAGCCAGACTCAGATGGGGGTAAAGCAGAAGTCAAAAATCATCCTTTCTATCCTTCTGTATCAAGACTAAGTATAACAGCAGGGAGCTTGAAATGTAGAGACATGAGAGTTAAAGTTGACACCTAGTCTCAGATTTAGATATCAAAAGGTTAAGACTGTAAAAATCGGGGTGATCTGGAAGGATGTGATTCGAAAGTCAAACTGAGGGCCCATTGTGGGGCCAGGTGCTGGCCCTGGGTCTGGAGATATAGACATGACCAGACATAGTGCTGCCCTCTGGGAACTGTGATCTGTCTGGAATCATATATCTTACACTCCAGCCCAGTACAGGTTTCCAGGATTAAGTGGTGTTAGATAAATTGCAAGTACACTTTCAGAACTACATGATAATACGTATGGAAATTTTAACTAGAAAGGTGTACAGTGACAGAACTCCCTCCCCCCTACTTTAGTGGGGTGGCCACACTTCAACATACCTCTGTATTACTCATCTTCCATGCAGTGTTTCCCCAGGACCTGCCTTGACTTTTCTCTTGCTGAGCTCTGTTCTACCACACACTTGCCTCCCCAGATAGCTAATTATAAGCTTCTATTTTAGTGCCTGCTTACAACAAAAGCTGTGTCAAAAGCAGCGCATACCCATATAGAAATTTAAAAGGGTACAATTCCTGAATGGTGATGAAGCAGTACTCTGCGATGTGCTTCATCATCCAAGCGATGGTTCGGGGAAATGGAAATAGATCTGGTCAGATCGGTGCAGGCCAAGCGGGTGCCTAACATGTGTTTACCGACAACGACCTAGTACACGTTTATTAGGAACATTTTCTATTTACATAAAGAGGCAGAGACAGCTCCAGTGTTCATCAGGATCAGCTTGGGCTACTGCAGCCTTGCACATCAGTTCACAGCTTTGCAGGCCCAGAAGCGTTTTCACTAGCCCTTCTCAATCTTGAGAAATAATGCTTCTGATGTCACAGTAGTGTAGGCTATTTGAGCCCTAGGTTTACGTATAGTAGTTTTAGGTTTTGGATTTTTAGTCACAGGCCTTCTTGCTAATGCGATCGTCTCTTTTAGGCCTTTGGCATCTGAGCCAGTTCTGATTTGCTGGGATGCTATTATTGCCTCTTCTTATCCATTTCAGGAGTAAGGGGTAGAAGGGAGGAAAAAAATAGAAATAGGAACAGCATGAATGTTGATCGACATCTTGCATTTTGAAGAGGAAACTCATCATCTCCTCCAAATGGTCATCTACTCAACGCCTGGAGCTCTAAAGAAATGCCCATCCTCTTAATATAAAACAAACACAAACTATGTGTTCAGAGCTTCCATGTGCATTTGTGTTTACAGACGGAAATACCTGTGAGACTAAAAATCTTCAAGCCTTATTGCAGATCCCTGGTTTCTGTGGGATTATGTAAAACCTGTATTTCTGAAACCCCGCCTCCCGTCTTCCTTCCATCTTAAAGCAGGGTTGAACCTTTTATTAAACTGACAGCCAGGAAATGTTTTACCTGCTTGACTTGTTCTTACTATTTTATACAGGTTTCAGTCAAATGTTTCTACACCCTGCTGGGCGTGGGAGGCCGTGACTCACCAAGAGAGAGGATATTCGGTTTGCATATCCAGGGTGTTGCAGGATGATAGAGGACTTCACAATTCAGGCTTGGTGCCATTTTGTCCCTTCCCTCGTTCTCTCTTGGATATTTACTTGGCTACTTGCTCCCATGGAGAACCAGTCAGCTGAGTATTCAAATATTAAATTAATTCCTCTTTCTACACAAGTGGCCAAGCAAGTTTTTACTAGAAACGTAGACTGGTGCCTGAGGAAGACTGGGGGTAGGGAGAAGAGAGGATGAGTTTATTTATTTAGTTATTTTTAATTTTTTTTTTTTAATAGAAATGGGGTCTTGCTGTGTTGCTCAGGCTGCTTTCAAACTCCTGGCTTCGAGGAATCCTTCTGCCTTGGTCTCCCAAAGTGTTGGGATTACAGGGATGAGCCACCATGCCCAGCTAGAGACTGAGTTTAAAGGGCAAAGGAAACTGTGGAAAGTAGTTTCTCTAAATATAAGTTTTGTGATGCTTTTCCATTGTCCAAGATCTTTGTGCCTTTGTGTATGAATAGGCCAAGAAAATGTTTTAGAATAACTTTGAATTAATCAATTTGTGTCAAGAAACCTCCTTTTTCCTGCTGCAGCAGGGTCTGCTTGGCCTATGAAAGCTCAAGGAGGGGTCTTTTATGACTCAGAGATATTTCCTTAATTTAAAAAAAAAGTTGGGAGGCCGAGGCAGGCAGATCATGAGGTCAAGAGATCGACTGATACCATCCTGGCCAATATGGTGAAACCCCGTCTCTACGAAAAAGACAAGAATTAGCTGGGTGTGGTGGTGGGCGCCTGTAGTCCCAGCTACTTGGGAGGCTGAGGCAGAAGAATCACTTGAACCTGGGAGGCAGAGGTTGCAGTGAGCTGAGATTGCGCCACTGCACTCCAGCCTGGCGACAGAGCGAGACTCCATCTCAAAAAAAAAAAAAAAAAAAAAAAAAAAGAGGGACAGAGGCCTTTGACTCCTGGCCACTCTTGTGAATCACATTTTGCACACAACACCTCCTCTCTTCATCCTTTTTCAGACTAAGGACTTGCCCAGAACTCTGGTGGTTACAGACCAAGCACTATGGTTGGAGGAGCTAGCCCAACAGAGGCAGCTGCGATCAGGGGAAGGGTGGAAGCCGCACACCAGAGCACCCTTGCTGCTCCAGGGCTGTCAACGATCTTCTCATACTCAGAGACTCGCTCGCCCCTGTGTCCTTTCATTCCTTCCTGCAGGCACTTCTGGAGCGGGTAGCGTGGTGAGATTTCTCACACAAAATTTGCTACAAAGCTACAGTAGACCACGTAGTGTGGTAGTAACATAAGAACAGACGTATAGATCAATGGAATAAAATAGAGAGCCGGGAAACAAACCCTTGTCTTCAATAGTGCTGGGAAAACTGGATATCCACTTACAAAAGAATGAAGCTGGACCCTTACCTTATACCATGTGCAAAAATTAACTCAAGATAGATCAAGGACCTAAACTAAATCTTCATAATCTTTGATTTGGCAAGATTTCTTGGATGTGACACTAAAAGCACAGGTAGCCAAAGAAAAAAATAGACAAATTTGGCTTCATCAAAATAAAAAACTTCAGTGTATCAAAGGTCACTGTGAAGGGAATGAAAAGATGGCCTACAGAATGGGAGAAAATACCTGCAAATCACACATCTGATAAGGGACTACTATCCAGAATATGTTAAAAGCCCCTACAACTCAACAACAACAAACCAAACAACCTAATGTTAAAATAGGCAAAGTAATTCAATAGACAGTTCTCCAAAGAAGATACACAGATGGCCAATAGGCACAGGAAAAGATGTTTAAAATCATTAATCATTAGGGAAATACAAATCAAAATCACAATGAGATACCACTTCACATCTATGAGGATGGCTGGTAATAAAAACAAAAACAGAAAACAACAAATGTCGGTGAGGATGTGGCTAACTTGGGACACTCGCATATTGCTGGAGGGAGTGTAAAATGGTGCGGCCACTGTGGAAAACAGCCTGATTGTTCCTTGGTGGTAATACAGAATTTCCATATGATCCAGCATATTCCACTCCTAGGTATATACTCAAAGTAATAGAAAATAGGAACTCAAACAGATGCGTGTACAACAACCTTCATAGCAGCACCGTTCATAATAGCCAAAAGGTAGAAACAACAGAACCGTCCACCAGCAGATGAACAGATAAACAAAATGTGGCAAATGCATGCAATGGAGAAGGATTCAGCCACAAAAAGGAGTGGGATTCTGATACCTGCTATGACACGGATGAGCACCAAAGACATTATGCTAAGTGAAATAACCCAGACACAAAAGGAAAAATATTGTGTGATTCTACTTCTTTGAGTGACCTAGAATAGGCAAATTCACAGAGACAGAAAGTAGAATAGAGGTTTGGCAGGAGCTGGGGGAAGGGGAAATGCGGAGTGATTGCTCAACAGGTACAGAGTTTCTGTTTGGGATGATGAAAAGTTACATACAGCATTGTAAATGTCCTTATTGCCACTGAATTGTACACTTAAAATGGTTAAAGTGGTAAATTTTATATTATGTATATTTCACCATAGTAAAAAAAAGTTTTAAATACACATTCCAGGGCCCCACCCTTAGAAAGCCTCAGAGGCGGCCGGGCGAGGTGGCTCACGCCTGTAATCCCGGCACTTTGGGAGGCCGAGGCAGGTGGATCACCTGAGGTCAGGAGTTCAAGACCAGCCTGGCCAACATGGTGAAACCCCTTCTCTACAGAGATACAAAAATTAGCCTGGCATGATGGTGGGTGCCTGTAATCCCAGCTACTCTGGAGGCTGAGGCAGAAGAATCACCTGAACCTGGGTGGCAGAGGTTGCAGTGAGCCGAGATAGTGCCATTGCGCTCCAGCCCGAGTGACAGAGCAAAACTCCGTCTCAAGAAATCCTCAGAAGGTGATACAGTAAATATGGATGGGGTGGGAATCTGGAATCTGTATTATTATTATTATTATTTTTAATGCCTTCCTATCTTTCTCAGGCATAGTCAGGTTTGGAAACTTATGATTTAGTCTCTGCCAGTTCTTTCCAAGGGGCTGGTGCGTCTGTAAGGAAGTGTTCACCAGTCTACGTGAAATACATGTGTATTTCTCATGCATCTGAGTGTATTAAATTTGAAGTCCTGTTTTAAAATCTGAGATTGTCATGATTACATTGTTTTGGGGTTAAAGTGTCCAATCATCTCCCACCATAAAATGATGGTGACAATAATTCAGGTTGTTTTTTAAGTGTCTGTGCTTGGCAAAATAGAAGTGAGCAGTCCTATGTTAGTCTCTCAAAAGGTTTTCAAAATTTTAATGGTTTGTTAAATTCCAAAGATTGGGAACCATTCCTCCAGACACCATCCCTTTGAAAATACTGAAATAGAAACTGCTTCTGCTGTTTATTTTATTTGTGCCAGAAAGAAAAAAAAAATGGAAAGGACCTATACATTTTTCTGTGGTTCATAGGACCTGGAGCAACAAAGGGCAGCATTGAAACTGACAGCATTGACATGTAATTTGTCCTGCTGCCTGTTGGAACGTTCTTTTTCAGATGCTGGAGGAGCATGACAGAGGAGAGGTGGAGGTAGGCGAGAGTAATATAATTTCTCCAGGAGAACATCTGAGAGGGGAAGTTGCTTTCCTGCCCTGGCCCTTTCACCCTCCTGAGTTTGGGGGCTGTGGTGGGGCAGGGATTGACCAACAGCCATTCCTAGGGGATGGATGCCTTTGCATTCCAGAGGGCAGCTGGCTGAAGGGAGTGCTGAGTCTGTGGGAGCCATAGCCCGCCCCACCCTTTAGGCAGATTAGTTAATTATTGAAAAGTGCCTCAGAAGCACAAAGGTCTGGAGAGACTCCATGAGCTATTGCTCAGGCCCGTGTGGGAGCTGGCATTTCTGAGGAGACACTGAGACTCTTCTAGGAGGCTGTGGAACAAGAAATAGTTCCTTCCCATTGTGGTGCAGTCCTTTCAGGTTTGGTGTAGAGAGACAGTTCCAGAGAATTCTTATACAGTGCATATAACTTCTCAAGAGAGAAGTTAAATTTATTTGTCTTAGGATTTGTGAAGTATTTAGATAAATGAACCACATCAGATATTTTCCGTTGTTTTAATTTTTTGTGTGTGTGGTTTTAATGTTTTAAGGACATTCAGGTCTTTTTTTTTTTTTTTTTTTAAACGGAGTCTTCCTCTGTCACCCAGGCTGGAGTGCAGTGGCACAATCTCAGCTCACTGCAACCTCTGCCTTCTGGATTCAAGCAATTCTCCTGCTTCAGCTTTCAGCTTCCCGAGTAGCTGGGACTACAGGTGCGCGCCACCACGCTGAGCTAATTTTTGTGTTTTTAGTAGAGACGCGGTTTCACCATGTTGGCCAGGATGGACTTGATCTCGTTATCTGCTCACCTCGGCCTCCCAAAGTGCTGGGATTACAGGTGTAAGCCACCACACCCGGCCCATTCAGGTCATTTATGCATAAACGATCACATGACATGTTCTGTTCTCTGACTTACTTTTTTCTTTTACTTAACAACATTCCCTGTAGCTCTTTCTGTGTTAGTGCATATAGGCATCCCCCATTTTAACTGTTGCATTCCTTCTAGATGTATCATAGTTTCTTTACCCACTATTTTAGCAAAGGATCACATAGGTGGTTTTCCATTTTTCACCATTACAAACAATGCTGCAACAAATGTTCTTATACACAAATGGGTGTGTGTATGTATGAGTGTTTCTGAAGGATATTATTTCTAGAAGTGGAATTTCTGGATCAAAGGGCATGCACATTTAAAATTTTTGTAAATAATATTGAGTTTCTCCCCCAAAATTCTGTTCTGATTTTTATAGCCACCATTATACTCATCAGCGTTGGACATAATCATTTTGTTAAAACTGCCAGCGTCATGTGCAGAAAAAACAGTGTCATTTTAAATTGCATTTCCTGGATTTACCAGTTAGATTGTTCATTTTATCATATGCCTATTGACCATTTCAATTTTTGGAACTTTTAGAAATAAAAATACAGAAAAGGTGTATAGGCTGGTTGCAGTGGCCTACTGACCATTTCAATTTTTGGAACTTTTAAAAATAAAAATAGAGAAAAGGTGTATAGGCTGGTTGCAGTGGCCTACTGACCATTTCAATTTTGGGAACTTTTAAAAATAAAAATACAGAAAAGGTGTATAGGCCGGGTGCAGTGGCTCACGCCTGTAGTCCCAGCACTTTGGGAGGCCAAGGCGGGTGGATTGCCTGAGGTCAGGAGTTTGAGAACAGTCTGGCCAACAGGGCGAAACCCTGTCTCTACTGAAAATACAAAAATTAGCTGGGCATGGTGGCAGGTGCCTGTAATCCCGACTGCTCGGGAAGCAGAGGCAGGAGAAACGCTGGAACCCGGGAGGCGGAGGTTGCAGTGAGCTGAGATCTCGCCACTGCACTCCAGTCTCGGCGACAGAGCGAGACTCCATCTCAAAAAAAAAAAAAAAAAAAGAAAAGAAAAAGGAAAGGTGTATACATTAAAGGTGTACTGATCAATGCATTAAGACAAAGTGAACTCTTCCTTGTAATCATGTCCCAAGTCAATAAATAAAATATTATAAGACCTTCTCCCCAAAAGAAGACTCTCCCCTGAAAAAGATCGACCTCCTCCAAAGTAATTCCTACCCCAACATCTAAGTGCTGTAGATTAGTCGTTCCTGTTTCCTACTGTCATATGAACAGACTCATACAAACATGCACTCTTCTGCGTCTAGCTTCCTTCATTCGCATTACGTTTATGAGTCTTTCACGTACTCGTGTGTAGCTGTAGTATGCTCATTTACATTGCTTATTGTATTGCATTATGTGAATATATCACAATTTATTGATTGATGGACATCTGGGTTACATCTGTTGCCAACTTTCAGTTATTAATGAATAATGTTGCTAAGAGCATTATCGTGCATGCTCTTTAGTATAGCTGTGCATCATCTCTGTTGGGTATATATCTAGGAACAAGATTCTGGGGTCATCAGCATTGTTCTGTTCAACTCCACCAATTGCATTTGTGAATTTCTTATGAATATTCTTTGCACACTTATTATCGGGTGGTTTGTGTTTTATTATTGACTTGTATCTGTCCTATTTACTCTGGATGTTAGTTCTGTTGTAAATATTCTCTCTTAGTCTGTATATAGGCCCTTTTATTTTACAAAGTTTAAAGTTTTTATGCAGTCAAATCTGTAATTCTTTTTCTTTATGGTTTCTGGTTTTATATCTTGCTTAGAAAGTCCTTCTCTATCTCAAGATTGTAAAATACTCTCTTATGTCTTGTCTCCTTTTTTTTTTTTTTTTTTTTTAGACAGGATCTCACTCTGTTTCCAGGCTGGAGTACAGGATATGATCATGGCTAACTGTAGCCTCAACCTCCTAAGCCCAAGCGATCCTCCCCTCTCAGCCTCTTTAGTAGGTGGGACTACAGGCATGCACCGCCATACCTGGCTAATTTTTTAATTTTTTGTAGGGACAGGGTCTTGCTATGATGCCCAGATGGTCTCGAACTCCTGTGCGCAAGCGATCCTCCCGCCTCAGCCTCCCAAAGTGCTGGGATTACAGGTGTGAGCCACTGCATGGGGCCACATTTCCATTTCCTTCTAATACTCATTTTGATTTTTTACTTTAGGCTTTTTAGTCAGTATGGAATTTATTTGTGAGGGTGAGAAATAGAGGCTAATTTATTATCTAAATTAGGGGATGAGTAAAATGATACCATTTGCTGCCTAAGTTTTAAAAATATTTATTTTATTTTATTTTTATTTTTGAGATGGACTCTGGCTCTGTCACCCAGGCTAGAGTGCAGTGGCGCGATCACGGCTCACTGCAACCTCCACCTCCCGGGTTCAAGCGATTCTCCTGCCTTAGCCTCCCAGATATCTGGGATTACAGGTGTGCACGACCGCGCCTGGCTAATTTTCATATTTTTAGTAGAGACAGGGTTTCCCCATGTTGGCCAGGCTGGTCTGGAACTCCTGACCTCAGGTAATCCACCCGCCTCGGCCTCCCAAAGTGCTGGGATTACAGATGTGAGCCACCACACCCGGCCTCAAATATTTATTTTTAACATCTCAAAATAAGTTCTAACATCAAAGAACTAAAAAACTATCAACAAAAAAATTTTTTTACCTCAGAATAGTCTCCTCTAAGTTAAGCCTGAGTTAGATTCTAAATAGGGCAAATGTTCTAAGTCAGCGGTTGCCACCCAAAATGCTATCTATGCATATAAATGGTCAGTGACTTATTTATTCACTTACTATGTATTTATGGAATTTAAAGTGCAGTTCCCTTGGACTTACGTGTCTAACGAGGAAGAAAGGCTTCATTCTGGGACCTTCAGGGTAGCCTGGCTTGCACACTGGATCTAGGTTCACGGGTCATGAAAACTACAGTGGCTTTCTTCCCTCCCAAGCCTCCAGCTACTCCCAATCTGAGCAAATGGCCCCCAGATGGATTCTATGTTCTGAGTCCGTCCCCAGGACAGAGGGAGGTCCAGTTTGAGCTTTATTACAAATCCTGTAGGTCGGCTTTAGATTATAGACATGGCTTCCTCAGGCAAGGCTGCCCACTTGAGGGAAACAATTTTGTTGGCTGGCTGGGTGGTTGGTGTAGGGCTCACATTTGGGAGTTCACTCCTTTCTCTCCCTTTGTCTGAAACGATCAGCACCTTGTTGTGCCTGTTCACTAGCAGTACTCGGCACACAATCGTTTGTTGTGCTGACTCTCCAGTTGCTCGCAATGTGAGGTGGATTTGTTCTACTTCTTCCTTGTGTATTCTTGGTGAAGGCCGATAATTTGCTACTTAGTTAACAGACATGTTATAGGGCTGGAGCCTGAGATAAGGTCAGGAGGAGAAACATCCCGCTTAGCTTGACAAAGAGCTTGGTTTAAGGCTGGAGAGCTGACTGTGCAATTGTCTGAGCTGCTTTTCTTGGAAATGGCTCTCTTGGCTGAGCTCCAGAAATATAATCAAAAGTGGCCTGAAATCACAAGTTTTGCTGCTTGCATTCTTAGTTTCACAATTTAAGGATTTGGCTGGTGCCTGTCCTGAAAGTGTGGAATTGTCTACTGTTTGCTACACATGACGTTGAGTGAGTGTGTGTCTATGTGTGTACACACACATGCATGTGCAGGACACAGGGATTGTCTGCGTGGGCATGTTTTACAGTCCAGCTGTTTGTACCTTCAGGGAGGCAGTGATTAAAGAGCAGTGTATGGCAGGTTTTCTTTGATTTCAAGAATCACATATTTGGTTTTGTAGTTAGTGTCTTTGGAGAAGAGTGATGGAGACTCTTGCATAGAAGTGCAACTGATTGCTTAGGTGCAGTGGTTTTGCCTTTCTTAAGAACTCCGCCTCAAAAATATGGAGATAATTTACTTAGAAGAAGGCAATGTGCCGCTTTTTGGAGAAGCAGGTGTACCTGACCTTGCCCTGGGGGAAGTGAAGACCTGAGTTTGAGGAAGTCAAGCTTGAGGCTGTCAGAAGCAGTTATTTATATCTGAGTGATGTGTATGAAAGCCAAAGCCTTTCATTCCACCACCGTCACGGAACTAGTTTAGAGAAGAGGAAGGGCGTGCATTTTGCCTTGTTAAATATCTACTGCACTAAGAACTTCTGGTGTGGTTCAGATTTCTGGTAATCTGTACCCAGGCTCTATTGTCTAAAAAGGAGTGCTTAGACACTCTTCTTTCAACCTACTTTGTGGATAAAACAGCTCACTTCCAGTTGATTGATAGACTGTCAACTGATTGTTGCTTCCTTTCACCAGATGCCCCTCGTGTGGGCAGCCTCGTGTGTGTGTGGTGGTGGGGGTTGTGGTAGGGACCTTGCAATATCTCTAAGCTCAAAATAAGGACATTGGACTCTAAAAACTACCAAAAACCATACATCGGAAACTCTTGGGTTCATCATGATAATAAATGAAGTCTCACATAACTAGCTTTCATTTTTATGCCTCTTGAGTTCTCAGGTTTCCCCACCCCCCCCCACCAGGCTCTTTTGATTATGGGAAATGAGTGTGTTTTGGGACAAACATGTCAGGATTATGAGGGAGAAACTTGGCAGGGGAGCAAACTGTGCAATATGCTTGACAAGACTTGAGAAACAATACATCTCAGATTTTTTCAGATAGTTCTCAATTTCTGGTTCAGAAATATGGCCCAGAAGCTACAGAAAGGGAAGCACCACTGCAGCTCCACGGAGGGTCACTGCCTCTTAGACTTCACTAAGGAGCCAACAGGGGCCATTTATGCCCAGAAAGCTGAGGTGTCTGCAGGAGGGGAACTTACTCCTGCTTCCACCAGGAGTACATGGAAATTGAAAAGAGAGAATTTATGTTTTTTTGCCTTAAATGAGAAAAACAGAAGGTAGATCTCCCAAGGCAGAACATCTGTAATGATAGAGCAGTAAGGAATATGAGGAGGGAAACATGAGCATGTTTGCATAAACATTTAGATTTTTCTGGGCTTGCCCAATCCCAGTCTTTTGGAGTCTGTCTTTTATGAGGGCAACCGTGGTTTAAGAGTGAGCAAATGTTAGTTCATGTAATTAAAACCCGTTGAATTGAACAGGAAACATTCACGGGAAATCTGCAGGTGTCTGCAAGCAAGAGTGACGCTAGAAGGATCTTAGTATGCCAGCTCCCTCTTCCTCAAGGGTAGTGTCCCTGGAATGAAGCCACCAGCAACAGGAGAGGAAACAGATGGGGTTGTAGAAAGTAGGAGCAGCAAAAGCTTCTGAACTTAGTAATAAGCTGCTTGCCCCGGGGTGAGTATAAAAGGCATCTGGGGTATTTGCTTTTTTGTTTATTGGAGGAAGAAAGGTGTCTCGCAACATTTCTCTCTCTCCCCTTCCTCTCTCTCTCAAATTTATTCAGGATATGAAATTTCTAAGGCTACTGCCATCTTAGGGTTTGAATCTCTTTTCAGCTTCATTCACACATATTAAAGAGAGACAGTTCCAGTATGACTTAAGAAAGAAAAGCCAGGCTGATTTCCAAGATGCAGTGTTGTGCCACGGATGAGTTTTCTTCCTGGAGTGAGCTATTTGAGTTTCATTTTTCTTACCACCTTTTAGCCTCTTCATTCCAAGGCCTGGACACTTCAGGCAGAGAAGCCCTCATCCTGGGTGTCGGGGTGGGAGGTGTTCTCATCATGAATGGGAGGCGTACCCAGATCCAGCTCTGCCTTTTTTTAACCAAACCAGAGTGTAAACAAATGGCTGTGTGACTCACCATAATCGACATAGCAAGATATGATACATGCCAGGAGAGAAAAAGAAAGTGCTGATGGAAAAATAATCTCATTAGGGAGATTTGTTTGTGGTGATTTATTTTATTTTATGTTATTTTATTTTTTTGAGATGGAGTATCCCTCTGTCATCCAGGCTGGAGTGCAGTGGCGCGATTTCCACCTCCAAGATTCAAGTGATTCTCCAGCCTCTGCCTCCCAAGTAGCTGGGATTCTTGGAGCCCACCAACACACCTGGCCAAGTTTTGTATTTTCAGTAGAGATGAGGGTCTCATGATGTTGGCCAGGCTGGTCTCAAACTCCTGACCTCAAGTGATCTGCCTGCCTTGACCTCCCTAAGTGCTGGGATTACAGGAGTGAGCCACCACGCCTGGTCTGTGGTGACATTTGAAATGAATCTGAAAAATGAGTAGAACATTAACAGATGGAAAAGACCGTCACTGTATTATTACAGTATTAATGCTCAGTAATATCTGTATCTAACAATACCATGGAGCTTTTGTGGGGCCTGGTCTTAGAATATGCTTTTGCTGGCAGGTGCACCTCGATTATCCTTTGGAGACCACCTTACTCTTTGTTTTTGTTTTTGTTTTTGAGATGAAGCCTCACTCTTGTTGCCCAGGCTGGAGTGCAATGGCGTGATCTCGACTCACGGCAACCTCCGCCTCTCGGGTTCAAGTGATTCTCCTGCCTCGGCTTCCCGAGTAGCTGGGATTACAGGCGCCCGCCACCATGCCCAGCTAATATTTTGTATTTTTAGTAGAGATGGGGTTTCACTACGTTGGCCAGGCTGGAACCTTACTCCTACTCTCCACCTAGGAAGTGTGAGTGAGGCTGGCTCTGCCCCAGGCTCCTGGTGAGGCATGCAACCCAGACTGGCCAATAAAAGAACCACATGTCCTTAGCATAGTGAATTGGCTCAGGGTGGGAGAGTGACCCAAGTTGGGCTAGTCCTGGAGCTTTTGCTGGAACAATTAGGGAAAAGGATTCCTCTTTTTTTTTTTTATTTTGAGACAGTGCCTTGTTTTGTCGTCCAGGCTGGAGTGCAGTGGCACAATCTCAGCTCACTGCAAGCTCCGCTTCCCGGGTTCACGCCATTCTCCTGCCTCAGCCTCCTCAGTAGCTGGGACTACAGGCGCCCGCCACCACGCCCGGCTAATTTTTTGTATTTTTAGTAGAAATGGGGTTTCACTGTGTTAGCTAGGATGGTCTCGATCTCCTGACCTCATGATCCGCCCGCCTCGGCCTCCAAAGAAAAAAGGATTCCTCTTTCTGCTGGGGTTCCTAAGCTGGTGGGTTCCTGTTTGGGAGCTTTAAGGGGCCACTTTTGTTACCATGGAGGGAGAAACTGAGACATGAAAGGAAGATTCCTGAATCCTTCGTTTGAGCACCTGGAGCCAGTTATGCCTGAAACTCTATGCCTGGACATTTTAGTCACTCAAACCAATAAGTTTACTTTTTCTTTTCTTTTCTTTTCTTTTCTTTTTTTTTTTTTTTTAAAGAGATAGTATCTTACTGTGTTGCCCAGGCTGGAATGCAGTGGTGCAATCATAGCCCACTGTAACCTTGAACTTCTGGGCTCAAGCAATCCTCTCGCCTGGCTAATTTTTTTTCCTTTTTCTTTTTTTCGAGATGGTGTCTCCCTCTGTCACCCAGGCTGGAGCGCAGTGGAGCGATCTTGGTTCACTGCAATCTCCGCCTCCCTGGTTCAAGCGATTCTCCTGCCTCAGCCTCCTGAGTAGCTGGGATTACAGGTGTGCGCCACCACACCCACCTACTTTTTGTATTTTTAGTAGAGACTGGGTTTCACCATGTTGGCCAGGCTGGTCTTGAACTCCTGACCTCAGGTGATCTGCCTGCCTCAGCCTCCCAAAGTGCTGGGATTACAGGTGTGAGCCACAGCGCCTGGCCTCACCTGGCTAATTTTTTAAGTTTTTGGTAGAGATTGGTTCTCCCTATGTTGCCCAGGCTGTTCTTGAACTCCTGGCCTCAAGAGCTCCTGCTGCTTTGGCCCCTCAAGGCACTGGGATTATATAAATTTACTTTTTAAATATGTCATCTTGTGCTGTATTTGTGCTTTTCCCCTTGCAAACAAATAAACAAAAAAGTTCTAGTCAATACATAAATCTTTAGTGATCTGCTTAAACAAAGCTGTGGGAGCAAGAGGGTAGCAGATTCAGAGAGCAGTTTCCTAGCAAAAGTCTTTCTGCTGCTAACATCTTCCAGGTCAGCTTCCTAGGCCCCAGTGACTAAGACATTGGGACTTTATTCTTAACCTCCCTGGTCCAAGGCCTTTCACAGAGCTAGCTGACTTCTGTGTGCTGGATATTTTTCCATGAATCAGAAATGAAATATGCAACATTGTAGCCACAAAGCAATGAAAACAGCTCATTTGTCGTTTGTGTCCCTCCAAGCTTTGTTTTTTTCTGGGTCACACGTTATTAGTGAAGAGTCATAATGCTAATCCAGTTTGGATTTATTAACAGTTGAATAGACTATTGAGAAAAAACTTGTTAATCATCAGAAGCAAATTCATTGCAGAAGAATTACAGACAGAGTGGGACAAATGCCTTAAGCCAACTAATTTTCTGCCCCTTCAGGGAAAACTCTTGGATATTGGAATTAAGTGTCACAACTGGAAATGTAAGAATGTAATTGCTTTTATTGAATACTTACTATGTCCTTGATACTAAGGACAGTATTTGCCTACATTCTCTCTTAATTTCATCAACTCTGTGAAGTAGGTCCTAAACCCCGTTTTATAGGTGGTGAATGACGCAGACATTACCAGTTGCTACCCAATGTCCATTCTTTCCTTGTTCCTTACAGAGAGGCAACCCCAAGCAGTGACTGCTTCTAGCTCAAAGTTCAGGCTCTCTGGTGATTTCTGCGGCTGCTACTGCAGCTGTGGACAGCCATGTGATCTGATTCTGGCCAGTGAGACCTGAGTGGAAGTCTTCTGCAGATTTCTGGAAAAGTATTTCTTCTGGGATATGGGCACTGCCCCTTCTTCCTTGTTCCTTCCTTCTCCCTTTCTGGAATGTGGGTGTGAGGCTTGTGGCAGAGTAGCCATGCTGTGACCTTGAGGAAGCTATGAGGAGGAAATCCACATTCTGAGGGTGGAGGAGCAGGAAGGTGGAAGGAACCTGGGATATTGCTGACATTGTAAAGCCACTATTCCTCCCTGGAAGGCCTACCTTCAAGACTTGTTATGTGAAAGAAATAAGCCATTGTTTGGTTAACCTGGTGAGGCTGGGTTTCTGTTGCAGACAACTGAATGCAATCCCTAAGTGATACAGGGAAACTGAGCTGAAAGAGTTTAAGGGACTTGCTTGCATTTCCATATAAAGCGATGTCTCAAAGCTGGGTAAGACATGATTCCTACGCTTAAGGTGTTTACAGCCTAGTTTGGGAGTCCACTGCATAAAGAAACAATTATAATATAACATATTTAGTATAATGGTGGTGATTTGCATAGGGTATCATGGGTGCCTAGTAGAAAAAAAAAAGGAAACAAGACAAGAGCAGAATAAAAGTTAGCCAGGCAAAGAAGAGAGGTCAAAAAAAGAGATTATAGCTTGAAATAAAGGATGGAAGTGAGAAACAGCATGGCATACACAGAGGGCCACAAGCTGGTCTGAGTTGCTGGAGCATAAATTATAAAGTAGGCATTGGTGAGAAACACAGCTGGAGAGTTGTTTCATTTAATTATTGCTGAATAATAAGCCACTTCCAAAACTTAGTGGCTTAGAACTATATTTTACCATTTCTCATAGTTCTGTAATCTGAGCTGAACTCAGCTGAGTGGTTCTTCTGTTCATGGAGTATCTGTTGGGGTTGGAATACCCAAGAAAACTTCTTCATTCCCATGTTTGATGCCTCCAGCTGGGATAACTGAAATAGCTGGCTGGCTGGCATCTCTCTCTCTCTGTCTCTTTTCATATAGCCTCTACATATGAATAGCTTGGGCTTCTTCATAGCATGGTGATCTCAGGGTAGTTGGACTTCTTACATGGTAGATGGCTCCAATTAAAAGGAAGAGGAAGTTACCAGTGCATTTAAGGTCTGGGCTCAGAGCTATCAGAACAGCACTTCCACTGCACTCTGTTGATCAAAGCAAGTCACAAAGCCTGCCCTGAGTCAAGGGAGAGGAAATGGCTTCTATTTCTCTAAAGGAGGAACAATATGCACACATAGGGAGAGATGAATCAACAGTGGCCATCTTTGGAGACTATCTACTGCAGATTTTATAAGGGCGCAGATGAAGGACGCTCTTTTCTGCTTCAGGTAGGTTGACATGAACACCAGACCTAGGGCATTTACCTTGCTTCATATGTCGAATCTGAAAGGAGAAGTCCTCTCAGGCTGCCCTGACTCATCAGAGTAAAACAGAGTAGTGTGATTAGGCAGAGGTAGGGCTGCGGTGTGGCTTCTCTGCTGAACCCCCTCCAGTTTTCATATGGCATGGACTGGACTCAGAGGCTCCCATATGTCATGAGAGATGGTTGAGATAAGAGTTAGAGAGGCTACCTGGGGCCCTCAGTGGTGAAGGGAAGGCAAGCCCATAGTAAAGAATGGGCGGACCTCTCAGGCCAGATGCTGGATGGGAGATTGGCAGAAACCCTTCAGAGCCAGGGCCAAGGGAAGCTGAGCTATGGCTGAGTCTACCTGGGGAGATCACTGAACCCTGGCAAAGCTGAGAGATCAGACAAGAAGTTCCCAGCCACCCTGCAGCAGAGATTAGTGAGGATCTAGAGAACATAGTAAGGACTCCAGTGCCTCATGGCGGACTCCAGTGCACTGGCGGACTCCGGTGCTGCCTTTTGTCTCCCATAAGGTGACAAAAGACAATACCCATCCTAATGAAGGAATTACCCTGCCAACATCTTGGAGCACAGCAAGAGGAAGATGCAATGCCTTGAGAGACTGGGAATGCACCTGAAGTGATGGCTGCTTTTACTCTCTTCATAGCATTTCGTGGACTGCAGGAAAATTTATGCAGCAAGAGAGGCTCATAAGGAAGAATAGATACATTATAATGAAATAAAGAAGCCATGTTACATACAATTACAAAGAAAGAATAGGAGTAATGACAAATTCAGGACTGCAGTTACCTCTATGGGAGAGGAGGGGGTGGGGGAGTCCACAGGGAGCTTCAACTGTCTTGCTAAGGCTTTATTTATAAAGTTAGGGAATGGGTACATGTGTGTTGTTATATTCTGTATGCCTTTTTGTGAGTTTTAAGTAGTTCATAATGTAACTTTTTAAAAGGCTACACTTCTGAATAGATCTGTGAGCCCCAATGCCAAGTTTAGGTCTTGAACAGATTGTATGGGAGTGGGGATATAGAAAGAAGCTTGAAACAGGACTCAGACCTACTTGTTAGAAAAATCAACCTGGCTGGACTTGAGGAGGACAAGATAGAGTCAAGGGAGGCAGTGAGGGGGCTGCCACACCAATGCAGTGAGAGGGGACAGTGGCCTGATCTCCCCAGAGGTGGTTGGGGTGGCTTAGAAAGTCAAATTGGTGGACTTAGTGATGAATAAAATGTGGGGTGGTGTGGGCAAGGTTTGTGGTTGACTGGACGGATGAGTCCCCTACCTCCAATTGACTAAGGTAAGAGAATACACCCAAGTGGAGGGTGTATTTTGGTGCAGACATGAAGAGGTCATTTAGGACAGGTTGGTTTGGAGGTATCTGTGGGACATGCTGGTAGAGATGCCTGGACGGAGGGTGGATGCATGGGTCTGAACTCCAGGGAAGAGATCTTGGAGACCCCAGCACTGATGCAAATTGAATTTCTAGAAGTGGGTGAGGTGCTCCAAGAGAGAGCAAGTAGGGGGCCAGAAATGAAGATTCAGGGAAGTCTGGGGCACAGCACCCCCTTGGCCTGAGCAAGGGGAGCCTACAGCCATTCCAGCTCTTCAGACACCCCTTTGCCATCCTCTCTGGAGCTCCAACTTTGGTAAGCAGAAGAACTACCACCCACCATCACTCCCTCTGGCCTGCCTCTGTGGGGAGCAATGCATTCCCTGGGCTCCTCCCTCCCTGCCCTTGTGCATTCTCTTCTCTATTTGCTGTCAAGGTTTGCCTGCCTGTGGGCTTGCTTTCCTTTCTCTCCAGAAACACTAAAAGGGGCAGAGAGACCGCCCACCATCCCCCACCACCCACCATAGGAGCATGAAACGATAGGAGCTGCTGAGGTGCAGCCTGGAGACCCCTTGGGTGCCTTGGCATCTGTCCGCTTCCTCAGCCGCTGGGTGCTCAGCCCCCTGCTAGCCCCAGGCCTTTCAGAGCTGATGGCCTTGTTCCGCTTGTTCTCCAGACACGGTTTAGGTAATGCACATTCTTGTGACCCTGCCACAGTGTCTTAGACTTGAACTTCTGAACACTGGGCTCTGTGGAAACCTCTCAGCCCTGAGTAGCTGGCACTTTATTGGTGTTTCTCTCCCCTCTTTTGAAGAAGGGATATAATGCTTTCCTTTTTGCAGGATGGGTTTTTTGCCAATAACAGGAACATGCAGAGGCTGCTCAGAGCAGTTTTGGTTGGTAGTGAAGTTGGAGGATGTGGAGGTGAGGGGGATTGCAGCCTGGCCAGCCCATTTGCATGGGTCCTCACCTCCTTTTTGGTGTTATTGTTGTTGTAATAAATGCAAGACAGCGTTAGTCTTTGTTGACAACTTGGGTATCCTCTATCCTCTCTTCCACCCAGACCCTGTCTCCTTGAACTGGAAATCTCTCTTTTTCTTAAAATTTGGATTCTCATGTGAAGTTTAGAATCTGAATTAGAGAGAGGCTGCTCTGAGCTCTAGGACAAAAAAAGGGGGAGGTTTCCTGCCCTAATTTGGAATTAAGGGAATTTGGGAAAAGCCAAAGCAACAATGTTGTTTCAGAAATATCAATCTCTCAAAGCATTTCTCCAGAATTGAAATATATTTCAATTATGGAATGAAAATGTATCCATGGGAATGATAGAGGGTTTGGTTTGCCTAAAAATAACTCTGTAGTCAAGGTTAATACAGCTATGTAATAAGTTAATCAAGAAAGGAAAGTTTTCATATAGAAAGCACTTTAAGGAATTACTCCAAACTGTCATAGCATCTACTCTGAGATTTTCCAGTTGCTTTCAGGGTGATTTACTTACCAGCACTTTGGAACTTACTAGTATAAACTGTAGCCTTCTGGTATAAAATTTATACCAAAAAGAACAGCTGTGTACAAAGAGGCAATCTGCATTCTCATGATGTACCATTCCACCTGATAACTGGGCTTTCATTGGTTCATTCCTCTGCCTCCAGCCCTTGAACATGAGCCAACTCAGATAGCAGGGCAGCCATTCCCTTCCCAGGACTCCTCTGGAAACCTGCTCACTGCTTTGTTTTGGTTGCCTTATCTTGAGCATCTGATGTTTCTTGATGTACCTTCTAGCTCTGATAACCACCCCTATGATGTCCCCATGGCCACCATGCTTACTCTGGGATTGCCCTTCTGGGATGGTAACCCTGCCCAAGGCCCTCCTTCTGTCCTTATTCTGAGCCAGGTGTTAATAGCCAGCCAATGGGATCAATAAGCTGGGGAAGGAGGGTGTTATGGGAGTCTGGGAGTTGCATTTTCTAGCTAACATATTTGCATTTTAGTAGGGGTCTCCTGGGGCAGGGAATGTTAATTTCAAGAGAATTCCAGGCACTGAAACAAGCTGGGGTGTGTGTGTGTGTGCGTGCACGCGTGTGTGTGTGGTGTGCGTGATGGAAGAGGAATAGAATAAGAAGGAGGCCAAGGAAGAGGAAGAGGAGGAGAAGGAAGAAGAGAAGGAGGATGACGAAGGGGAAAGGGAAGAGGAAGAAGATAGTGGCCACCATCTATCAATTCAGCAAAAAGAACATAGAGAACACCCATTGTTCCTTCCATTCAGAGATGACCACTGCTAATACCTTGTATATATCCTCCCAAGCACCTAGTGTCATAGATATAAATGAACTTCCTTATCTCTAGCAGTCAAATTGAGACAATTTTATAAACTTAAAAGAAAACTGCACACAATTTCTGTATGTACCATTTAGTAACACTTACATTCCTTGTTCCAGTAGCCCCACTTCTAGGAATCTATCCTAAGGAGAAATATAGATTAATAAAAACAACCTTAGCCATCATGTACTGAAGGTTGATTGTGTACCAAGGGTCTTACACACATTGGCTCATTTAATTCTTACACCAACTCTACCAAGCAGATAACATCATCTCTCACCTGAGACTGGAGAAGTTAAGGACCTTCTCCAGGGACCTTAGCAGGGACCTCTGCTAGCAGGTTAGTCTGGAACTGGAACTCTGTGCAGCAGGTACCCCAGGATAAGGTATCATCCATCTGGACCGTCTCAGAAGTGAGTGTACCCCCTTGTCCCAAGTTTCCTGTCCTCTACATATGCTCTAAAGGCCCTGGGGTATGGGGAGGAATGTGACTCAAAGTCTTGCCCTCACATCCAGTGCTGAGCAGCAGCAGGTACAGTGCCTGCTGGGCCTCCCATCTGCTTAATTTCCCCTTCCATGAAGCCTTCCATCATCTGTTAGACCAATCTTGTCTTTCTTTTATTTGTATTTATTTATTTAGAGATGGAGTCTCACTCTATCACCCAGGCTGGAGGGCAGTGGTCCAATCTCAGCTCACTGCAACCTCCACCTCCCGGGTTCAAGCGATTCTTTTGCCTCAGCCTCCAGAGTAGCTGGGATTACAGGTGTGCACCACCACTCCCTGCTAATTTTTGTATTTTTAGTAGGGACAAGGTTTCACCATGTTGGCCAAGCTGGTCTCAAACCCCTGTCCTCAAGTGATCCGTGGCCTCCCAAAGATTCCAGGCATGAGCCACCGTGCCCGGCCCAATCTCGTTTCTCTTTTCCATGTGCTTGCGCAGTGCTTCAGGGCTGCCTCAGTCTAGCACAGAAAATACTCTACTGCCTCCCCACTAGTCACAGCCTTGACGGTCTCAATCAGAATTATCTGGCAAAGTGGAGAAAGTGCAGACCTACTGAATCAGATTCTCGGGTTCAGATTTTCTTGTAGCACACTCACGTGGGAGAGAAACTTCGCTGGCACACGTCTCCTCAGAGCAGGGACCTGGTCTCATTGCTCTTCATGTTTCCCACAGCTCTTAGCACCGTGACAACCAGCAGCCAGTGTCTGGTGAGTGTACAGAGGTATTTCCTAGGAAGAAAATGAGAGTAAGGAGAGTGTAAAGGTGGGGTTAAGAGTGTGGAACAACTGAAGAGGATATAATTTGAGAGAAGAGCGGTGAGATGGGAAACCTCAGGGTTGATCCACAGTGCCCACCCTTGGGGTTCCTTTGAGTGCTAGAATAGATATTCAGTCAATATCTCTTCCCCTCCTTTTCTCCGTAGACACATACTTTAGTCCCAGAATTTTTTTTTTTTGAAATCTAAACTTTCAATGACGAAATGAGTAATTGTGCATAAAGTGGGTCACAAGGAAGTGATAACGAATGCACAGACTATTTTAACTGCTGAATCAGAAATCGCTCTGCTACGTTATGAAATATGCAGGAAGGAAAATAAGCAGATGACAGAAGTGGAAGGAATCCTAAAATAATATTTTCACAAACAAATTCTGACCCAACATAGGCTTGGGGGGCAGTGGGGGGAAGCTTCCATGCTACACATTCCTGAGAGTTGAAGAATTGGAACAAAATTGCCAAAGTAGAAATCTTTCTAAATGACGTAGGATCTCCTGAGGCACAAAGCCACCCAAACCCGCAGCCCGAAAGCCTTCTGTAATTTCATGGGGGGGTCTTAGTCACCCCGCTACACGGCATGGGCAGGTTGGGATTAAAGAAAGCAAAGACAAAACAAAACCCACAAACAAAATTTACAAACTGTTCTATTTTTTCTTCCTAACACAAACAAACAAAACCCACTTTTTTGGTTTCATTTGTTTCATAGATTTTTAAAAATTGTTGTAAAACATATGTAATATAAGTTACCATTTTAGCTTTTTTTTTTTTTTTTTTTTTTTTTTGAGACAGAGTCTTACTCTGTTGCCCAGGCTGGAGTGCAGTGGCATGATCTCGGCTCACTGCAACCTCTGTCTCCCGGGGTTCAAGAGATTCTCGTGCCTCAGGCTTCCAAGTAGCTGGGATTATAGGCATGGCCACCACGCCCAGCTAATTTTTGTATTTTTAGTAGAGATGGGGTTTCGCCATGTTGGCCAGGCTGGTCTTGAACTCCCAACCTCAGGTGATCTGCCCGCCTCAGCCTCCCAAAGTGCTGGGTTTATAGGTGTGGCCACTGCCACTGCATCCGGCCCATTTTAACTTTTTTTTTTTTTTTTTTTTGGAGACGAAGTCTTGCTCTGTTGCCCAGGCTGGAGTGCAGTGGCACGACCTTGGCTCACTGCAACCCCTGCTTCCTGGGTTCAAGATATTCTACTGCCTCAGCCTCCTGAGCAGCTGGGACTACAGGCACCTGCCACCACATCCAGCTAATTTTTGTATTTTTAATAGAGACAGGGTTTCACCATATTGGCTAGGCTGGTCTCGAATTCCTGTCCCCGTGGTCTGCCCACCTCGGCCTCCCAAAGTGCTGGGATTACAGGCATGAGCCACCGTGCCTGACCAGCCATTTTTAAGTGTACAATTCAGTGGCCTTAAGTACATTCACAATTCACTTAATATTGCCCAACTGTCACCATTATCTATTTCCAGGATTTTTGCATCATCCCAAACAGAAACTCTGTACCCAATAAGCAATAATTCCCTATTCTCTCATGCCTTATCTCCTGGTAACCACCATTCTACTTTCTGCCTCTATGAATTTGCCTGCTCTAGATACCTCACATAAATTGAATCACACAATATTTGTCCTTTTGTACCTGGCTCGCTCCTTCCCTTCCTCCCTCCCTCCCTCCCTTCCTTCCTTCTTTCCTCTCTTTCTCTCTTTCTTTCCTTCTTTTGATGGAGTCTCACTCAGTCGCCCAGGCTGGAGTGCAATGGTGCAATCTCGGCTCACTGCAACCTCCGCCTCCCAGGTTCAAGCAATTCTCCTACCTCAGCCTCCTGCGTAGCTGGGATTACAGGCACATGCCACCACACTTGGCTAATTTTTTGCATTTTTAGTAGATACGGGGTTTCACTGTGTTAGCCAGGATGGTCTTGATTCCTGGACCTCGTGATCCGCCTGCCTCGGCCTCCCAAAGTGTTGGGATTACAGGTGTGAGCCATCACGCCCGGGCTTTTTTTTTTTTTTCAGACCTATTTAGTATCCAAGTACCACACTTATTTCACTCAGCTGAAGTTTTTCAAGGTTTATTTATGTTGTAGCATGTATCAGAATTTTATTCCTTTTTATGGTTGAATCATATCCCATTGTATGTACATGCTGCATTTTGTGTGTCCACTCATCTGTTGGTGGATAGATTGTTTCCATCTTTGGCTATTGTGAATAATTCTGCTATGAACACCAATGTACAAGTATCTGTTTGAGTCCCTATTTTCAATTCTTTTGAGTATACACTTAGGAGTGGAATTGCTGAATCATATGGTAACTTTATGTTTATGTTCTGAGAAGCCACAGACTGTTTTCCATAGCGTCTGCACCATTTCACATTCCCACCATCAATGCACAAGTATTCCGATACTTCTACATCCTCACTCACACTTGTTATTTTTCTTAAAAAAAAAAATAACAGACAACCTATTGGATGTGAAATGATATCTCATTGTGGTTTTGATAGACTTGTAGGCAGAAATCATACTGAGGACACATATTACAGCTAATTCACATAGTTTAGGTTTTTCAACAAAAACTAGGAATCAGCATGTACTGAAGATATACTAAGGATGTTTATAATTTATCTTATTTTGCACACTATCTTCTTTTCTATCTTATTTTTGATGTGAAGATCTAAACTGACCTCTTATATTCTCATTTTATGTATTAGTTAATTTTTCTTCTAGATACACATTTCAGTTTATCCAATGTTCTAAAAATGGTGTATAAGGCATTCAAAAATTTTTAATCTGTGATGACAATTGTCATTACTTCTGGTATCCTATTGAAACAGCCTCCGAAGATGAGTCAGTTCTTTTAATTTCTTTTCTTTCTTTTTTATTTTTAGACAGAATCTCACTCTGTCACCCAGGCTGGAGTGCAGTGGCATGATCTTGGCTCACTGCAACCTCCACCTCCTGGGTTCAAGCGATTCTCCTGCCTCAGCCTCCCGGGTAGCTGGGATTACAGGTGTGTGCCATTATGCCCGGCTAATATTTTGTATATTTAGTAGAGACAGGGTTTCACCATGTTGGCCGGCTCGTCTCGAACTCCTGACCTCAAATGATCCACCTGCCTCAGCCTCCCAAAGTGCTGGGGTTACAGGCGTGAGCCACCGTGCCCGGCCCCTTTTAATTTCATTGTTAAGTTATGTAGTGTTTTGTAGTCAATAGAACAAAAATGAGAAGAGAAGTTATTTCCTTGAGGTTGAGCTGTGGTCTTTTCTTAAGACAATTATTATAGTCAAGTGACAGACCTGGTGTATTGAAATATTTTCTGTTAAATGTTACCTTTCTTTGAGTGCAACCAACACATTTGAAAAGAGAGACCTTTCATGAACACTTGGTCAGCAAATATATATATATATATAAATTAATTACACATATATATATTTCTATATATATATAGAAATGTGTGAGCATGGAGAAATGTCTCCCAACAATATCCTTCTCAGGGATTTTTGTCTATGTATTACTGGCTGGGACTATAGCATATGGCCACCTCTCACTGCAAGGGAGGTTATGAAATGGAGTATTTTTGCTCGGGCACATTGCTGCTCTAAATAAAACTGTGGTTCTGTTAGTAAGGAGGGACAAGCAAAGGATGGAGTTTCAGGAGAGCAAGGCAAAAACCCTGCCCAAGGGTTTTTATCTAATGTGTGGCCAACATCTTTTTCTCATGGTACAATGAATATTATGGCACCTTATTTACTGAGCCTTATAGAAATAATCTGTACAACTTAGACATAAGAAAATGTGAGCTTTTAGTCCGAATCAAGTATTGTTTTACCAATTTCAAATGAGCGATTGGTAGTTTCGTGCAGAATTTTAACGTCATGGCTGCATAATGTCTAAGTGTACAAGCCCATAATTCCTTAGAACTATTTTCACTTTTAAAAAATTCATATCAGTTATTTTTACAGACCATATTTTGGGGGTGAAAATTATTAAAAATTCTCTTAATTCAAGAAAAACTCTGTGTCATGAATTTCCCCCAGTCTTTGAGTATCTATAGCTTAAAGAACATGTTCTACTTTGTGAACAGATAGGTGTTTGGTAAGAGGTATATAAATATACTTTTTCTGGTTTCATTTATTTTAAGATAATTTTTTTTCACCTCATGACAGTCATTTGGGGCTGACAATGTTACCATGGTAACCATGTTCCAAAATTCTGGTTGCTAGTGAATATTGATCCTTAGCACTTCAACACCCTTCATTCACTACAATGTTCACTTCTCTACGTGAAGGAGGCTCTGCTCAGAGAGCACATTTAGGTCAAGGAGTCCTGGCTTGGTAGCGGCTAGGTACTCCAGAATAAATCTACAGGATTTTCCTCCCAGGAACCCCATCTAAAGATCCCATTGAGAATCTGACTCAACCCACAACATTCTGGCTTACATTTTCACTGAAACAGATAGGAGCAAAACTTCTTTGTTTCCTTTTCAGCTGCATCGCGAGAGCTCAGAAGCTCAGTCAATGCAAAACAGAAGGCACTGAGGGAAAATTTCAGATGAGAATGGACGTACCCTCTCCAGAGGCAAAGAAGTTTGCAAATTACTTTTTGAAGCCCTCTCTATATAATTTTGAGGTTAAAAATGCTTTCCTCCTGCGAAGGAGAGATTTTAATCTGGATTGTATGCTGGAGCTCAATGATTGATCCAAATCAGAGTCCAGAGGCCTCATGGGAATGATGATCGTCAGGGCTACAGTGGGGCAACTGCAGATGGAGCTTGCCCCTCTCCTCCATAAATGGGGAAGAGCCTCTCACCTCCAGTGAGGTTTTGTGCATAAGAAAGGGGAGGCTTGTTAGAGACAGCAGCTTTGAAAACTTAATTCTCCTTGCCAAGAACTAATGGACTATCTTCAATGTGCATGAAAATGTGTCTGCACAGTGACCAGAGAAGCCAAAATGAGGCCTCTGCAGACCTAATTTGGCATCAATTTATCTCCATATGAGAAAGTCTGGTTGTACTTATTTTACTCTCTGCTCTAACCAAGAAAAAAACAAAAACCCGGCAAAGGTTCATTGAGACAACAGTCGGTCACTAAAAAGGAATTTGAACCAGTCGGTCACAGAAAAGGAATTTGAACGAAGATAACGTAGTTACATTTTACCCACATGTTCCTGAGGCCAGTGTGCTAATAGTTAACAAATGCTATTTAGCCCATCACCATTAGATTAACATTTAACCAAATCAGCATAGACTTTGTGTGACTAAAAGAATCTACAAACACACACACACACACACACACACACACACACACATCTTTTTTTTTTTTTTTTGAGACGGAATCTCGCTCTGTTGCCCAGGCTGCAGTGCAGTGGCACAATCTCGGCTCACTGCAACCTCCATCTCCCAGGTTCAAGTAATTCTACTGCCTCAGCCTTCTGAGTAGCTGGCATTATAGATGTACGCCACCATGCCTGGTTAATTTTTGTATCTTTAGTAGAGATGGGGTTTCACCAAGTTGGCCAGGCTGGTCTCAGAACTCCTGACCTCAAGTGATCTGCCCGCCTAGGCCTCCCAAAGTGCTGGGATTACAGGCGTGAGCCACCACACCCAGTCACAGATATCTTTTGATATCTCAAGAACTATGGACGGAATTAAAGAATTCCAAGACCAATTAAAGAATTTCAAGTGAGACAATTCATTTTCTTATGATCTTGGTCCTGTGTTTGGAGAGGCAAATGTGTGTTTTAGTGAAATGTAAATCCAGGGAGAAGGTGCAGTAGAAGAAACTGCTCACCTGTCCTTGTAGCTATAGCTAACCTTTATGGAGCTCTATCAGCTAGGCAGTATTTACTCATCAGTTCTGGGAGGTGAATGCTGTTATAATCTCCATTTTCCAAATGTGACAACAGAGACACAGAGAAGTTAAGTGACTTGCCCAACATCAAACAGCTAGTTTTACAGGACCATGCTCCTTGTATAAGTTGTTACACATGGTCCCCCTAGCTTTGTGGCTCACGATCCTGTGTGCAGAATGCTATTGTGGAAAGCAGGGAGAAAATCAAGCTGCGGTATACTGGGAGAGAAAGAACAAAGGAAAGCTCTTAAGGCGACAACAAGGACAATGTCTCCAAGGACAGTGCAATTTCCCATCAGTGAGGTACTGGTCAGGCTCCCCAGCCTCAGAGGCCCATCCAGGGTTTCTTCGCTGCCAGAGTCATGCTGTTCAACTGCTCGTAGGGGTGCTTCAGCCCTGGAAAGGAGTCCAGGCGGTAGGGCTGCCAGAGACCTGGCTGGTCTATCCAAAGACAAAGGAGGATGCCATTCCTCTGTAAGTTCTCTTTCAAATGACCTTTCTGAGATAGATCCTGTTTGCTTTAGTGTCTGCCCTCCTCAGTACATCCTCCCCGGCTCCAAAAAGACACATCCCTTGATATTCATCCAGTTCTCCCAATGGCCTTGGATGCTTGTGACTGTGCTTCTCAGGGGAATGGAGTCATTCCTAGTGCTGGGTTTCTGGAAGGATCTTATCAGAGTGAATGTAGTGTGACGTTTGGATACAGATTGGCTTATTAGCAAAAGCACCTTTTAACACTGATGCTGCCCGTTTTCCCTGGAAAATGAGCCTCTGTTTAATCCAAATAATATATGGAGAATGTTCAGAACTGTGATGTTACCATCTGTTGCTGGAAATTGAAAAGCAGAGAGGAAATATGCTAATACCTCTCTTTGGAATTTCTTCACCTGCCCTCTCAGTATAGTAACAGTCTGTTAGGTCTCAAACCTTTGCACCATTTATCATTAGGCCATAAGATAATGAATGCCTCTGGCCCTAAAATGTGCATCATTACAATCATTTGGTTTAAAAATATATGAGTATCTCTAATAAAAGGGATGATTATATCAATTTTAAAAACTTAAAAATCCAACGGCAAGTCCTCTTGGTTAAACCCGTAATATCAGGTCTCATAGTTTTATGTTTTATTTATTTATTTTTTTGAGATGGAGTCTCACTCTGTCACCCAGGCTGGAGTGCAGTGGTGTGATCTCGGCTCACTGCCACCTCCGCCTCCTGGGTTCAAGTGATTCTCCTGACTCAGCCTCCCGATTAGCTGGGATTACAGGTGTGTGCCACCACACCAGGCTAATTTTTTGTATTTTTAGTAGAGATGGAGTTTTGCCATGTTGGCCAGGCTGGCCTTGAATTCCTGACCTCAAGTGATCTGCCTTCCTTGGCCTCCCAAAGTGCTGTGATTACAGGCATGAGCCATGTGCCTGGCCAGGTTTAGTTTTAAGCTAATGATTTAAAGTATAATTTAGTTGTTCCTCTGAAGATTATAACTTTAAAAAAAGTCACATTTGGAGATAATTGTTCACATTTGCCTGAGGATGTTTCTATTTGAAAATGCATAATAGAATGTAAAATTATGATTTATAATAGCTTTCAGTTTATAATTAAAATCAAAATGGGAACATTCAAGTAAATGAAACAACTAGATATTTCTAAAAGGTATTCTTTATATGAAGATTCAAGGTAACATGTTTTGTTAGCATTCTTCCACATTGATTTAAATTGGTTTTTTTGCTTTTATGCAGGTGAGGTGGGGAGGAGCAGATGTTTTGCCTCTAGTGAGACAATAATTTACTTCCCTATTATTGTTTGACTTTGCCTTGTTTCTGCCTATGAATTACTAACAGAGGCTTGCAGCACTATCTATGGGGCCTGAAACATACAATAAGGGGCCAGAAGGCCTTGAGAGAGCTGAAAAAGAAATCATCACCCTAGCCTCACCCAGTCACCTGTCTCCAGGCAAAATAATTCCCTGTCCTTCATGATGATTCGGAGAAGACCAGCCCCACTCAGCTGCTGTTGCCAACCAACCATAGTTCTTGTTACCCTGGGCCACAAGTGCCTTATCCACTAGATTGAGAAAGTTAATGCCAGAGGGAAGTGAGAAACTAACTATGGAAGAGTGGACCCATGTTGCAAAAACAAAGTTCTAGGGAAAGACGTGAACAAAGATGGGTGAGTATGAATGGGGTCTGACTGGAACATGGCAGAGAAGAAATTCAACTATGCAATGAGATAAAGCAAAGATTCTAATGAAAGACTGATGTGGTCATAAACAAACAAACAAACAAACAAAAAACAGGTGCCCAATGAATACTTCTAACTGAAAAAAAATCTGAAGATGCTGGTCAGAGGATCCTCAGGAGGGAAAAAACCTGACTTTCCTTGGTAAGGGCCTGTGGAGCAAGTAATTGCAGCTTGAACCATGGGGTCTCCTTGGAGCTGCGGGCACCAAGCATCAGATCTGAACACAGAAGCTGGGCCAGTTTGTTAAGTAGGGTGCGGCAGAGACTGTTAGTTGCCTATCCAATATCCAGTCTCCTCTTTTTCCTTGGTCACATAACCCAGATTTTAATCTGGGTGGCAGTGTGCTCAGCTGAAAGACTACACTTGGAAGCCACATTTGCAGCCTGAGGGCCAGTGAGACATAAGCAGAAGTTGTTGGGTAGTCTTCTGTGGACTCCTTAAGAGGGAATAGACTACTCACAGACTCCTTTTTCTCCTTCTCCCTTCCTTCCATGCCTTTCTGGAACAGGAAGTTTAACATGATGATTGGCGCTCTAGCTGTCACATTGGACCATGAAGTTATGTTGTTTTTTTTTTTAATTAATTTTTAGTTTTATTTCAGTGGTTTTGGGGGTATAGGTGGTTTTTGATTCCACGGATAGGTTCTTTGGTGGTGATTTCTGAGATTTTAGAGCAGTGTACACTGTACCCAATATGTAGTCTCTTATCCCTCACCCCTCCCAACTTCTCCCCACACCGAGTCCCCAAAGTCCGCTATGTCATTCTTATACCTTTGCATCCTCATAGCTTAGGAAGTGATCTTGAAGATGAAAGCCATATTCTAAGGATGGCAGGACGAAAAGATAAAACTTTGATGATGCTGTATCTCCCATACCAGCCAGACTCCAGCCTTCTTTTATATGAGAGAGAAATAAGCTTCTATGTTGTTGAAAACACTGTTACTTCTTCATTCACCCAGGACATCACAAGCTTAGTGATCTTGGAAAGGCTTTGACAGAGGAGTGAAAAACTGGCGTGTTTTGGTTTGTTTATTTGTTTCAGTTAAATAAACTGTAAGACAAAGGTGATTTAAAATGACAAAATATAGTCTCTGAGCTCAGTCATAAAAAGGAATCAAGGGATTATGTAATTGTATTATGTATTTATTTGGTCTAAACAAAAAAGAGCTTTATTCTCTCATGTAAGTGAGTAGTCCGGAGGTCACGTGGGCTTCAGATAAGGCCTCATGAACAGCTGGACGAGACAATGAAGACCCAGTGTCTTTCTGTCTCTTCTTAGTCTCCATGGTGACGGCTTTATTCTTGGGCTGTCTTGCCAGATGATCACAAGATGGCTGCCAGACACAACCTGAGTTATGGATGTCCTCATTCACATTTCCTCAGAGAAAGGAAACTTCTTTCCCAGAAGCCCCTGGCAAAGTCACCTTGCATTGGCCTGCATTGGGTGACTATCCCTAAGCCAATCTCTGGAGCTAGGATGATAGGGGTCACTGGTTGGTTTAAACCTCCCAAGGTCTACCCAGAGAATTGCAATGATGTTAATCCCTGCCAACAGCATGGCTAGGAAGTATGGGACCCTGTTAGGAAAGAGAAAAGAAGAAAAATGCCTGTGGGGAGGCCACCCTATGCCCTATATTTTTCCTCGTCATCCTCACCAGGTAGTGTTATTTAAAGGACTTTAATATTTTAAAAGGCAAATTGCTCCCAAAAGGTCTATTGCCCTCAAATTTCATTTTCAGTAGCCTGAAACCCAGTATTAGACTTATTGATTTGGGGTAAGGCGCGGGATTTCCTGAAAAACCTTTGCTTCATTCATTCAACTTACCTCATTCATTAATTCCTCGGTAGACATTTCTTGGGTGCTGGTTATGTGTCATACACTCTGCAGGTCTTGCCTGAGAGGATAAACACATCATAAGCCATTAGGATCGGTGGCACTAGCACATGGGGCACTTGTACTCTTTATGAAGGTCGGGAAGCAAGTAGGAGGGCACGGGAGACAGGACAGGTAAGTTTTGATCGTGAGGAGGGAAGAGGCCTAGGAGTTGGGCATAGGGTGATGCCCAGAGAGACTGCACCTGCATGAGTCCCTCAGTGAGGACCCGGGGTGGGCTCTTAGTTCTTTGAAACTCAGAAAGGGAGACTGCTGTGAGGGCTGCATTTGGGGACTTGAAGCAGTGCCTGTTTTGCCGTCTTATGAGGGCAGGCTTTGTAATTGGGGTTTCCAGTCCCCCAGTTAGGAAGTCTCTGGGGGAAAGATGACTAGAGTCTGTGGTTCTTGATTTGGGCTTGGAGAGGATTTGGGGGTAAGATGCTAGGAAATGAGAGTGAAATCTCTGAAACTTACAGGAAGAATCTTCCCCAGTCCAGCTTGTCTGCTGCTCTCCTGACGCTGGAACAGCTTCTCAGGAGTTTTCCATTTTTCATGGCACAATTCTTTCTCCTGCAAGGATAAGAGAATAAGAGCTTCATAACCCAAATAGTTCACAGCGTGGTATTCGCCTCTATTTAAAATCATCTCCCATTGGGTTCAATTAACAATGTACATGTCAAATTATGTCACACCCATTACTTGCTCTAATTTGGTCAGGCTGGGTCAGGCAGTCCCTGAACTGATGGAGCTGTTAACCTCCCAGCAGAGAGTCACGGTGGCTGTGCCTGCACTGCCCTTGGCCTTGGCTGTGTCAGGGCAGAACACTGTACTGGGAAAGTACCAGGCAGTGCTGCAGGAAAGGTCAAGTTCGTGACGACAGTGACCAGTCATCAAGCCCTTTACCAGAGCTTTGCCTCTAGAGATGACTATGTGAATTGAATCGTGGCTCTGTCATTTAGCAGCTGTGTGATCTTGGGCACGTGAACTTTTCTGAGCCTCATTTTCCACATCTGTAAAATGAGACTATTATAACACTTCATTTATATTTATACTTTTAATTATATTGATATTTATTTCACTAGGGTTGTAGTGAGGATTAAATGCCATAATGCATGTAAAGTGTTTTGCATAATGCCTGGCACTTAGGATTAACTCAATACCAGCTATTTAGTAGTAGTATTTAATTTTTAAAAAATCTTGTTTGGTCCCTCAAAACTGGGATTCCTTCTGAGATCACATTCAGGAAATATTTCATCAGCCCTCAAGAAACTCGGAGAAGACAGGCAGTCTTTCCTGGAACGGGTAGAGGGGAACCAAAGGATCTGCAATGGTACCTAGACATCAGGATTATTAATATGTGTGCCAAGAGCAACCCTGACTTTAAGAACACCTCTGTGTGGGCACAGAAAGCTTCTTTTTCTGCCTTGGGGTTTCACAGGTCAATCAATCTGTGTGGTCAATCTTTGTGCGGTCAATCTGCAGAGCCCCAAGGGAGAAGGTAGAAGGGTGCTGGGCACTCTCTCCATTTTAAGTAGAGGTAAACTGGCTGGGCGTGGTGGCTCACGCCTGTAATCCCAGTACTTTGGGAGGCCAAGATGGGCGGATCATGAGGTCAGGAGATCGAGACCATCCTGGCTAATACGGTGAAACCCCGTCTCTACTAAAAATACAAAAAAATTAGGTGGGCGTACTGGTGGGTGCCTGTAGTCCCAGCTACTCAGGAGGCTGAGGCAGGAGAATGGTGTGAACCCGGGAGGCGGAGCTTGCAGTGAGCCGAGATCGCGCCACTGCACTCCAGCCTGGGTGACAGAGCGAGACTCCGTCTCAAAATAAATAAATAAATAAATAGAGGTAAACTGAGGCACAGAGAAGTCTCCACACACATGTACAGTACTTTTCATCCCCTCTCAAAAAACAAGGGAAACTGTACTAATTGTAGAGCTAGAGGCAGAATCTCTTGCCCAGAGAGACTTGAGACTGAGGCCAATATTGGGGAAAATTACCTTGGTTTACTTTACAAGCACAAAGGCTATGCTTCTTACCCTCTCTCCACATCCAAAAATCTCTGGGGTACATCGGCAGCCTCCTTTATGGTACATCCAGGAGATAGATAGTGTGTTGTGGAAAAAGCCCTGGGTTGTAGTCAAGAAACTTGTCCTGTAATCCCAGTCCTGCGAAACCAGCGATGTGGCCTTGGAAATGTCACTGAACATAGTACTGTACTTGAGAAACTGAATGGAAGGGTTTGGGCTACACCAATGGTTCCCAAACCTGGCTGCTCATGAGAATCTATGTGTGTGCATATGTGCATGTGTGCGTGTGTGTGTGCTGGGGCAGGGGTAGCTGGAGCCTAGGAATCTGTATGTTGTTTTTTGTTTGTTTTTTGAGACAGAGTCTCACTCTGTCACCCAGGCTGGAGTGCAGTGGCACAATCTTGACTCACTGCAACCTCCGCCTCCTAGGTTCAATTGATTCTCCCACCTCAGCGTCCCAAGTAGCTGGGATTACAGGTGTGAGCCACCACGCCTGGCTGGAATCTGTACTTTGGAAATGTTTACATGATTATCAAGAGCAGTCACTGTTGGGGACCCTGGGAGCAGATGCTTTCTAGAGTGTCTTGCTAGGCTCTAACATTTTCTGACTCCAAAGCCTCTTTCAGCACATTCCACACAATTCAGTCCAAAGGCGATGTCAGCCCTCACAGTCAGCTCCCATGAGCAAATCAGTGTGTGATTCCGCATGTACCAGGCTGTCTGTGTGCTCGGGCCCTGGGTCCTGTCTGTTTCTTGGTTAATTTGGCATTGAAGCCTGCATCTTGGGCTCACCTGGGGCCAGTAGCGCCTGGACCCTGACTTGCTCCAGAGGGGCCTTCTTGCCATTGTGCTGTGGTCTAGAACACCAGCTGCACCTGCCCTGAGTCCAAGAGCAGATTAGGAAACCTGACCAGCCTCCCCTGCACCCTTGAGGCCAGCGTCCTTCACAGGAGTTTTGAATTCACAGAAATGTGTCTCCAGCTGTCTCAGAGTTATGAAAAGTCTCTGTGTTAATAAGGAGCTATGGAACGCCAGGGCTAAAGCTGTCTTTAACTCTTCTTTCAAAACATTCAATCCTGACATTCTTTGGCTTAGTAAATGGGGAGGAGGCTTTTGCATTTGTGTGGGGGCGAAGGAAGGCATAAACTGCGGCTCCCAGGGCTGACTTCTGTCCAGGAAACACAGGTCTAGACGTCCTCTGAGTGGCAGAGAGAACAGGAGAGTGGGACTCTGTGGTGGGAGTGACACTGTGGCCCCTCGCCTGCAGGACACTCCAAGCAAGTGGGGTGGGGCTGCATGGGTGAGTGTTGGGGTGCAGTGAGCAGAGGAGGGGGTGCTGTGTGCTCACCCACCATGTGCTCTTGCCCACTACTGTTGGGTAGGACCACAATCTAGTGTTGCCAAACACGGTGAAACTTGTGATTCTTGGAAGAAATCAGGAATCTCAATTTTACATGAATTTTCCCAGTTTCAAAATGATGACACATTTAATTTTTACAATTCCTTAGGCCGGGCATGGTGGCTCATGCCTGTAATCCCAACACTGGGAGGCTGAGATGAGAGGATCACTTAAAACCAGGAGTTCAAGACCAGCCTGGGCAACATAGCAAAACCCCATCTCTATTTAAAAAAACCCAAATCATTAAAAAAAATTCCTCAGACCAAGCAAATTGCACCTTCAGGCTATAGTCTGGGTAGAGTCCTGGCTGCAGGACTGGTCTGGGTGTGCTCTAATATTCTGCCCCCAAATAGGCAGAACCCCAAAGGAGGTCCTTACATCTTAAGAGACCAAATCCATCTTACACTTGGTGACATCCTTTGTTGGAGGGAGAAGGAAGGCTCTGGCTCTCTAAAGCCTTAGGAATCTACTTTCTCTGCCACTGTATAACAGCCTACTACTGCGCTGTGGATCAGCAGTCCTCACCTTCCTTCTCCCTCTGTCTGTCCCTTGCTCCCAATAAGCCCTGATGACAGAGAGCTCAGATAGGGCCCTCTCCCTGGCTCTACTCAGGTGTGTAGCCAGGCTATAAGCTCTCACACTGTCTCCTTTCCCATTCTAGAAACAAATTTAAACCCAAGTAACAGAGAGGTACCCTGTAACATGAATCACTTTGAGCTATAATTTAGTTTTTAAAGGTAAATAATTTTTTTGAGACATGGTCTCACTCTGTTGCCCAGGCTGGAGTACAGTGGTGCAATCATGGCTCACCACAGCCTCTACCTCCCGAGGTCAAGGGATCCTCCCACCTCAGCCTCCAGAGCAGGTGGGACTATTAGCATGCGCCACCAACTCCAGTTAATTTTTGTATTTTTTGTAGAGACAGGGTTTTGCTATGTTGCCCAGGCTGCTCTTGAACTCCTGGGCTCAAACGATCTACCATCCTCAGCCTCCCAAAGTGTTGAGATTACAGGCATGAGCCACTGTGCCTACCAGGCCAAAGGTAAATAATGTGTGTAGTTTGATACTGTATCAGAAACTATTTGTGACACATGTCATAGCAAATGTGTGGTGACAACGGAATTTCTATATAGGAAACTCTTGGGAGTGGCATTTTGTTTGGGAGCAAGGAATGGTTAAAATACTTTATGTAAAGCTACATTGTATATTTGTTGTATATTAAACTCTCTTTTTATTTATATTGCACTTTTTTTTTTGAGACCGAGTCTCACTGTATCACCCAGGCTGGAGTGCAGTGGCCCGATCTCGGCTCACTGCAACCTCTGTCTCCTGGGTTCAAGCAATTCTCCTGCCTCAGCCTCCTGAGTAGCTGGGACTATAGGCCTGCACCACTACACCTGGCTAATTTTTGTATTTTTAGTAGAGACAGGTTTTCACCACGTTGGCCAGGGTGGTCTCGAACTCCTGAGCTCAGGTGACCTGCCCACCTCAGCCTCCCAAAGTGCTGGGATTATAGGTGTGAACACTGTGCCCAGCCTAAATTGCACTTCTATTTTAAAAACAAAGTTGTGATGGCTAATTTTATGTGTCAACCTGACTGGCCACAGGGCGCCCAGGTGACACCTTGTTTCTGGGTATGTCTGGGAGGATGTCTCCAGATGGAATCAGCGTTTGTACAGGTGGACACAGTAAAGTCGCTTGCCTTCCCCAATGTGAGTGGGCATCATCCAGTCCGTTGGGGGCCTGAATAAAACAAAAGGCAGAGGAAGGAGGAATTTGCCCCTTTTTTCCAGCCTCACTGCTTGACCTGGGACATTTTATGTGGTGAGCCATGATTGCAGCACTGAACTCCAGCCCTCCACTGAGATCTCATCCATCAGCTCCCCTGGTTCCCAGGCTTTCCAACTTGGGTCGTATTATATCACTAACTTTCCTGGGTCTCCAGCTTGTAGATGGCAGATCATAGGACTTCTCCACCTCTATGACCCCATGAGCCAATTCCTCATAATAAATTTCCTTTTATTTACATACACACACACACACCACACACACACACCTCCTACTAGTTCTGCTTGTCCGAAGAACCCTAATACACAAAGAAAACCTCCAGGAGCCACGCCTTGATGCTGCCTCTGTGACTGGTCAGGACACATGCAAGGATAAGGAGGTATGTAGAGACCACTTTGCTCCAGATGGGGAGGAAAATGGTCGAAAGAAGTCCCAGAACAACCCAGGGAAAGTGTAGACCCTACTGCTCAGGCAAAAATTCAATTTTGAGGGTGAGAATTTTCAGCCTGGTTCCTGAAAGTGTCCTAGACAAGGAAGATGCATTCTCACCACCACGCTGGGCCATTCTGGATAAAACCAAACCTGCTTCTTGGCAAAGGTCAGTGGTAATGTCAGTAGCGTCTCAGACACCTGCCCATGGATGCCTTCTGCCAGGCAGCCAGATGGCTCATTACGACCCACATGTAGCTCTCTAGGCCCAGTGCCCTGGCTTGGTGGCAGCAGATGGCCTGGGGGACAGGGGCTTGGTCTCATTGCTCAGAGTGTTCTCAGAGACCGTCTTGGGATTAGCAAACTCAGGGGATACCAAGGAAGATTTCCTTAGACCTGGGTGGACCCAACTTAGAGTTTACTTCTAAGTAACTAGTTCTAAACTCTAGAAAAGTAGAATAAAATGAAATATACTTATTACTTGCCAGGAAGTGGTTGAATTCTTGCTGTTACTATAATGCTACTATTTGGTATTATTTCAAGTAAGTAATCAGAGGGTTTCAATATTTAAAAATAAATAATGGCTGGGCGTGGTGGCTCACCCCTGTAATCCTAGCATTTTGGGAGGCTGAGGCGGGCAGATCATGAGGTCAGGAGATCGAGATTATCCTGGCTAACACAGTGAAGACCCCGTCTCTACTAAAAATACAAAAAACTAGCTGGGCGTGGTGGCGGGTGCCTGTAATCACAGCTACTCGGGAGGCTGAGGCAGAAGAATCGCTTGAACCCAGGAGGCAGAGGTTGCAGTGAGCTGAGATCACACCACTGCACTCCAGCCTGGGCAACAGAGTGAGACTTCGTCTCAAAAATAAAATAAAATAAAATAATAAAACAAAATAAAAATAAATAAATATACAAGAAAACCACTGACCCTTCACTAAATTGGTAGTTGTCATCACACTTAATCACTGCCTTGCCGGCAATATCATTCCCTTCTGGAAAACCTGTCATCAGCAGCTGGCAGGAACTCACACCGTTCTTAAATTTATCTGTTAATAGATGGTTTGACTGCAACTTTTTTTTTTCTTAACTTTTAAGCAGTAGCAATTCAACACTGAAAAGGAATGTGATGTTTATTGCTGTTTTCCCCCAGGAACAAAGAAATCTGGCAGGACACACACAGGTACAGCATGGACCTGCTTTCGGAGTTATGCATAATGATTTTTTAAGTTGGAGTGTGTTTGGATGAGGAGGGACAAGAAAACTGCTTCTGCAGGGGAGGTGGTCCCCACTGCAGCTTCATCTGTCCCTAGGCCACCTCCCTGCAGCCACCCCAGGCAGTCGTGCAGGACGTCATGTCCTGGCTGCTTTCCTCTGAGTCACAGAGCTCGCCACAGCACTTCTTCCTCCGCCTCTTACAGGCCTGGCCAGCCAGGAAGTCACAACCACAGCTAAGAGGTTCTGTGCTGAGCATCTACAGTAGCCCCCAAGTGAGGCCAGAGGTAGATGGTAATGGGTCTGAGGCTTGGGGCCATTTCACAGGACAATCATCTCTATACTTTTCATTTTGGTTTTAGAACTCTGTGGGATTTCTTTATCTCAAATGCCCTTATCAGTCTGCAGATCTCCTGAAGGCTCATCTGGTTTGCTAGGTCTTAGTCTGCTCAATACAGATGATAAGATAGTGGGTGAAACAAGAGGTTTGGTAACATAAGTTCCTGATGACATGAGTTGTACACAGTATATGTGCAATTTCTCAACACATGTTTGGCCTAAACACTTGCAAATACACCATCCTGAGCTAAGAGAGTGACTTTCTTTGATTTTTTTTTTCTTTAAGCAATGACACTAATCCAACAACAATCATTGGAGAATGCCTACTATTTTCCAGGCATTCTCACAAGACCACCAGATTCAATGTGAGAGATCCCCTGCCCTCTAGAGTTTTACAGGTTAATGGAAAGGGGTTTTTACCAAGAAGCGCAAATCCAAATTACTCGTTTCTTATGTTAGCAACTTCACCCTCAGGAGTAAGCAGCAGCAGCAGCCAAGGGGCACACAGAGCCACAGGCTAAACACGGTCCACAGCTTCCTGAAATCAAAGGGCTTCAAAGATTTGGAAGACACATTTCTTTTGATTTTTAAAGCAACCACACACCTATTCTGGAATAGTGTACAAAAATCACATAGGCCATCCCGACTCCTAACTGAATCCCCTCTTCCACCGTCAGAGGACGAGGGCACTTTTTGGCATGATGGAGAGAAGCGAGGGGGCAGGGGTGGCCAGAGAGACGGCTGGAGTGGAGGCGGGGGCACCAGCGTGGGGTGAAGGCAGAGGCACCACGGGAATGTAAATTGCAGGACGCATCCTGAGGCAGTGAGTGTTCGGGGCATTCTTGTGGGTGGTCACTTGGGCCCTAGATTAAAGGCAGAAACACAGAAATGCCTTGGGGGACGTTGTAAACTTCAACAGCTCTATCTGTTGTTTCAGGAATGAGGGAGAAACATTCACCAGAAGCTTCAGACTGGGAGGAGACAGAGTCTTTGAGGCAACCCAGGGGCTTCTTAGCTGCAGCTGTGTCTGCTTTGAAGTTCAGTCCACTCTCCCCAGGAAGCCAAGAGGCTCTCAAGTGCTTGCAGCAGAGAAGTTTCATAGAACAGAAAGAGCAGACAGAGGCACGCTGCGCCCTCCAGCACGGCTGCCTGGCAGGAAGCTTTGCTGAGTAACTTTGGTTTTAGTTGGAAACCTTCTGTCATGTTCCTGTCGGGGCAGTGTGGGGAGTGTGGGCTGCACTGTGGCGGGTGGGTTAGATTTCCTCCTTCCATGCAGTGGACAGGGATGTGGGATGGGGGCACGAAGCCATGGACAAGTGGATAACTGACCTTGAGAAGATGTAGAGGTCACCACAGAGGGTTTCCAACTCACGAAAGCATTTCTGCTATGGGAAGGACAAGGGACGCTGGCCTATGGAACAGGCCACCGGAGATTCCAGAGCAGAGCCCTGCCCAGGCCTCCAGACTTGTGGCTTTAATTATCCAGTTAGTCATAGGTTTACTGTCATCCAAGTTTAAGAAGCTTGACTGTGACCCATGTGCAAAAAAAGGTTGTTCAGGCTTTTTTTTTTTTTTTAAAGCCACTCTGGGCTGTTCAGCAGGCTGAGACAGGATCCCCAGAGCCCACCAGCCCTGCAGAAGTGGGGACTGCCTACCTGCACTTTTCTTTCTTAGGCACTTTTATCTTGAACACAGAGCCTCAGGCATTGGCCAGTCCGGTTAGTCTGGAAAAACTTGAGAGCCAACAGTTTATTTCTGCTCTGAGGGCAGTTTCACTAGCACAGAGCACATGGCGAGCAGAGCCCAGATTACAAGGCTGGGCGGGGCGGGGCGGGGGCGGGGGCGGGGGCGGGGGTGCAGGTGAGGTGCTTCGGCTCTGACGGGCGCTGGGCTGCTCACCCAGTTTTACATGGGAAGTGGTAGGGCCCTGTCTCCCCTGGCCCCTGCCCATGCCCCGGGAGAAATGGGTATGTTTGGGTGGTACCTTCCTGCATGGGCAGAGGCAGGTGATTGTATCGCCAGCCCTGGAGCTCAGCGTGCACAGCTTGGGCTTCCATTTGGAGGAACCTGATCCTTGGACTTGAACACTCTGCTCTTTGTGTTTTGCACAACAGGAGAGTCCTGCTCCTCGCTTAGCTCAGCACAGCGAGTCCCCTGGCTTCAGCTTCCCTCCTGAGCACCTGACGGTTGTCGGTTTACTGTGACTCACTGCCATTCTATCTGCCTGGGCTTATGTTTCCAGCATCTCACCAGAGCTGTTGTGACCCATCTCCTGGGCAAAGCCTTCCACGGAGAGGCTGCCGGGCCAGCAGGAGAGGAGACCCAATCCATCCATCAGCATTTGAATAATTCCATCCACACATACTTCTCTTCCAAACACCCGGGCTATTTTCCTTTCCCTGAGCCATGCAAGCCCAAGGAGCCAGCAGGGTTGCGTGCTCTCAGGAGTAGGACACGTCACATCAACTTGAGTGCTCCAGGAGCCCTGCCACAATGGTTTCTTTGTGAGATCATCTTTGCAGCGGTTTCCTGAAGCTCTGGCCTCCTTCCTGGTATCTTCACACATTCTAGGTGTTTCAATTCAGTAAAAACATAAGGGCCTTTTGACTGCTCACTCCTGCACTTCACACTGGGAAGGACACAGAAGTCCCCAGAGAGTGCCCTGGACGACAAAATGTAGTTCAGAGGTATCTAAGGTGGGTTCCACCCAAAAGGGTCCCACAAAGAAAGAATTCCAGGGCCAATTAAATTTGGGGATCTGCATAGTCCATCTCTCTCTTGGTGATTCAAAACATATATTTATATATATTAAAGGTTCTGAGAAGTCCTGTAAGTAAATCCTGTTCCACTTTTTAACCCACCATCTCCCAAACCCAGCATGATACTGATATCAGCATGCTACTCTTTTCATATAACACCTACTTATATATGAAGGAACTAATTGAGGTCTTTTGAGATATATTTTAGGAAATGATCTAACAGTGGTTTTTAACCTAAGGAAACACCTCACTAGAGAGTGCTTGGGCACAGGAGGTGGCATTTTGGGTTGTCACAAAGATGGGGAGGTGCTACTTGCATTTCATACATAGGGGTTGTGGGGGCAGGGGCAGCTAGTGCTGTTACAGTGATGATGCAATGCGGCCCCGTCCCAAGTGGGGTGGGGGGCACTGTCCTGCCCTAAATGCCCACAACTCTCCCCACGCCGCTCTCCCACCCCATTGAGAAGCAGTGGTTGGACCTACGCTCAGCATTGTGCTCCCAGGCCCTCTCTGCGGGTTCAAACGCCTCTTGATGTCCTCTTGGTCTCTGCCTCCTTGCTTCCTCTAGTTGGGATGCCTGCACGCTGGAGAGAGTTGGGTCTTTTGTGGCTTTTGTGGCTCTGGTCCCAGTAGGAGATGACAGACACAACCAGAGGGCAGGATTCCCTCGTTCCACGGTTCCATCTACTCTGGAGGCGAAAAAGGGGTGTGTGAAGTGGTCCCTGGGAATAAAGAGAAAGCTGCTCACCTTTCTGAAAAACTTTTCACCTCTCAGGGAAAGGGGACCTGAGAGAAGCCTAAGAGAAAACTCCTGATGCTTAGCCAACTCCTTGAGAAGGAAAGTGAGAATGGAGGCTGAAGCCCCTTCCATCCTTCCTGGTAAAGCAGCGGAGACGCCAACACCCACGATCTGCAACTCAAAGTCAAGGGATTCCGTGTCCCTGCTTGTGTCAACATAGAAAACGCCCATGGCAACGGGCAAGTGCGGCCTGAAATGGCAGAGTGTGTGTTTCACAAAACAGGGGTGGCTCACGGCTGCAGCCGCCCGGGGAGGTCCTGGCCTTGCCTTCGAGGGGCTGGTCCTCGGGGGGTGGATGCAGCTTTGCGGGGCTGGCTCCACGTCGCGCCGCGGCGGTTTGGGCTGGGGAGCAGCCCTGCAGGGAGGCGCCGCCGGGTGGGCCGCGGAGATAGCTGCAGGGCGGGGCCCCCGGGGGCGCGGGGACGCCCAGCGGCCGGATATCAGCTGCCACGCCCGCGTGGGCGGAGAAAAGAGCAATTTGACTTTGGACGGAGAGCTGAGATGCGGGGAGGAAATCCACCACCGGCCTCTGGCGACTCCTGTCCTGCGCGCAGGGGAGGCAGCGCAGCCCGTGAACACCCCCGAGCCCGGTGCGGGCCGAGCAGTTCTCCGCACCTCCGGTAAAGGTGCAGGACCGGGTGATGGTCTCTGCAGCAGTCAGAAGGCTCCTCTCCCAGCCCAGGAACGTCTGCAATAAATTGCTTCCATGTGCGGGCTTCCCGCTTCCTCTTTCTCTCTCAGGGTTAATGTGGGAAAAGGGAAGTGGCTTTTTTTTTTTTATTTTGAAAATTAGCTTTAGGGCAAAGTCCTGCCAAGTGTGTAGTTCAATACCCCATATTATAGGTGAGGACACTGAGCTCCAGAGAGATCAGATTCCAGGTCACACTGCTGGTGCGCCGCCAAACCAGGTGGAGAACGCTGGTGCCTCCGCTCCTTGGGCATTTTGACTCCGGCATTCATGATTGTTTTCCCTTCTTTAATACCCACTACAGCAAAAATTTTGTTGCTGTTTCCCTCTGTTAAGAATTATTAAAACTTGGAGGAGGGGAAGCAAAAAGTTCTTTCAATATTAAATTAAAGCACTGTCTAACGAGCCCATCTGAGAGTCATTTGGCTATCTAGGGGAAGGTAGCTTTGACTTATTTTTTACTATAAAATAGAGTCCAAACGTTCTTAACTCTGAAATTAGTTAGGCCAGGAGCCCCGGCTCATGCCTGTAACCCTAGTACTTTGGAGGCCAAGATGGAAGGATTGCTTGAGGCCAGGAGTTCAAGACTAGTGTGAGCAACATAGCAAGAGTCCCATTATCGATTTTAAAAAATAAAATAACATGAGATAGTACTGTGTAGAAACTATTAAAATGTAAGTGCTGTCTGGGTACGGGAGCTCACGCCTATAATCCCAGCACTTTGAGAGGCTGAGGTGGGCTTGAGCTCAAGAGTTTGAGACCAGCCTGTGCAACATGGCGGCAAAACCCCTTCTCTACAAAAAATACAAAAATTAGCTGGGCATGGTGGTGTGTGCCTGTAGTCCCAGCTACTCTGGAGGCTGAGGTGGGAGGATGGCTTGAGCCTAGGAGGTGGAGGTTGCAGTAAACCAAGATCATGCTACTGCACGCCAGCCTGGGGGACAGAGCCAGATACTGTCTCAAAAAAAAAAAAAAAAAAAAAAAAGTAAGTGTTTTTCTGTTCTACAGAGATGCAAATGATTCCTATCTGGTCAGATAAATTACCTCAAAGGTTATAGTTTTGCTGCCCTGTAGCACATTAGCCAGTTTAGTATCTAACTTTGTGATCTTACGTCAGCATTCCTTTTCGTTCTCTGAGTACACAAAATCTTTATTCTCGTAATATCTTTGAACCAGTGTTGCCACCTTGCAAAGTCCCTTATGAATGAGTTACCTACCTCACCGATACATACTCACCATATCTTGTCAAGGCTTCATATTCCTTTCCCTGTATAGTCCCCACAAATATACACTGTCAGCTTTCAATGCACACCAAGCGCCCATTATTGATTCTTTGTCCCGAGTGGCTCCTCTGGAGCATATGCGTAACATCAGGGGGACATAGGGCTTTTAATTGTCAAAAGTATACAAACTCAGCACGTTATTCCAAATAATCTCTGCCCCTGCTCCCTCACATTTTGATCATGCCGTATCTGTGATCTGGGGCTGGGGACTCTGGCCCTCAAGATGCCTCCAATGCTCTCGGCCCCTGCTAAGAGCCTCTGCCCACACACGGGGTCATGCGCATAACCTTAGAACTCTGGGCACGGCTAGATGAACTGTGGCACGCACCTGATCTAGGCAGCAGCCCACTTCCCAGTTGGTCAGCCAGTGAAGGAAGGCTCAGCCCCACCAGGCCAGTGAGATTCTCCGTCTTGGCAAATTGCTTAAAGACTTGATAGTAAAGGAGAAAGAGATAAAGCAGGCACCTGAGGCCCCGAAGCAGCAGACACTTAAATAAGCAGCAGGAAGAAGGTCCTGGCAGAGACAGAACACCTGAGTTTTCCACATGGCACACGGACCTTGGAGGCACAGAGGGATGGGCCCCGCTACTGAGTGGCAAGAAGACGAAATGTCTGTGTCGTAGAACTGTGTGTGATCTTGAAAGACCTCTCGGTTCGTGAATGGCATCTTGGGTTCTGTCAGGCTCCACACAGGTTCTACTGCTCCTCTTCCTCCAACAGGCTGAGCTGTGTGACTTTTCCAGGGTTGCCATCCGACCTGTCATTTGGTCTGTGGCCCTTAGTTTCTTATCCACATGTGGCTGTAAAAGAAACTCCACAATCCTGGAGGGAACTCAGTGGGTCCCTACTTCCAATCCAAAAACCTCGACTCACTCTTTTACTTTTTCTAATAACTTAATAAGTTAAATAATAATAAAAGAATTGTTACCGTTGTTCAGCCAACTCTTTCCGGGCTCATCAACGATTTTCTAGGAAAGAAGGTTTCCTTGGTTAGACCTGCACTTCCTCTCTGTCTCTCTCCATTCATGTTTGAGCATTCATTCATTCTCCCCACAAGCACATCATGGATTCTAAAATGAAGAAGGCAATATTCGTACTTTGAAGATGCTCACATCTTGCATGTGCAGTGTTACAAGAGTGGGGTTGGTGCAGGAGTGAAATGGGAGGCCGTGTCCCGAGATGGGGTCACCAGAACCTGGAGTGACAAGGTGGAGGTGGGGAGAGGAGCTTTTCCTCCTGGCTTTCCCACAAACACTGACTTCCATGCCTCTGGCCTGGAACCACATGTAACCAAAGCCATATGTTCAACTTGCGTTAATTAAATGGTGGCCTCAGCAACATTTCTGGTGCTGCTTCTGTTGCTTTGGCATTATGATGTCTTCAATATTTGTTACTGTGTGTCGTTTGTCATGTTTAACCCAGTGGCTCAGATTCTATTTGTTTGTAAAACTTAAATGTTGAGAGACTTCTGTTCTTGATTTTTTAGAAAATAAAAATTATTTTTGGTTTATTCCATGAGAACATATCTTCTATAGGTTGAACCTCCAAGGTTCTTCCTTCTTGATTTTTCTGGGAGATGACTGTAATTTTTTTTTTTTTTTGAGACGGAGTTTCGTTGCTGTTGCCCAGGCTGCTGGAGTGCAATGGTGCAATCTCAGCTCACCGCAACCTCCGCCTCCCGGGTTCAAGGAATTCTCCTGCCTCAGCCTCCCAAGTAGCCGGGACTACAAATGCGTGCCACCACGCCCAGCTAATTTTTGTATTTTTAGTAGAGATGGGGTTTCACCATGTTGGTTAAGCTGGTCTTGATCCACCTGCCTCAGCCTCCCAAAGTGCTGAGATTATAGGCGTAAGCCACTGTGCCTGGTGTAATCTTAACTGCTTTTTAGGAAATGGTGTAAGAAAAGGCTGTGCCATAAACTCAAAATCCTACTAATCCCCAGTTCTCAGCCCCAAACCGAAGAAAGATTACATTTCCAGTCCAGTTTCTAATCCCAAGTATCCATGCACCCAGGATGGCGGGAAAAGGGAAAAGGCGGTACCTTAAATGAGGGAAGGACATCTCAGTCTTGGCCAGTTCTTACTCTTCCCAGGGGCCACCCTCAAGCCCCACCCTGAGCAGGTAAGTGAGGCAGGCAGGCAGCCTGGGAGCATGTGTGGGAGGGAATCCAACGGTGTTCTCCAGGCTGCAAGAGCTGGGCAGACACAATCGTGCTGCAGCCCTGGCCTGTGTTTTTCTTTCCCACAAAGACCAACACCGGTGCTGCTGACATCATGACAGGTTTGATCATTTTTATTTTGCGGTGAGCGTGGTGTCATGGTGATGAAGAGTCCTGTGAGCTTGTGCAGGTCCCCTCAACTGCAGGCTGTCCAGGCTTCCTCCTCTACAGTAAAGACAAGGAGAATGGCTGCTTCCTAAGGTGATGGCGAGGTAGGATGAGGAGTGTAAACGGCCCACCCTGCTCCCAGTGGTAACTATGGGTATGATTTCCTTTTGGGAGAAGACAGAGATTGCCCTTCTGATCCTCCCAGCTGTAAATTTGGGCTGGGGCAACTTTTAGACACAAACAGGGCACTCCTGGCTACAGGGCCTCAATGTTTTCCTTGAGGTGGAGTATCTAGGCATTTCCCTGAGGTTTCTGATGCCTGGGCAGGGTGGGGTGGGGTGTGGCTGGTTCTGACAGCTGTTCCCCACCCAGCTTTGTGCCCTGGGGAGGGAGATCTACCTGCACATCCCGCTGCACTGGATCTGCAGGGAGCTGGGGCTGCCCTTGGACGCCTCAGGCACAGGCCCTCATCCTCTGCCTAACTGCTTTTTACACCCATCCCTTGAGTCCAGGGAGATTTTGCCACAATTTCAAAAAAGAAATGATTATTCAGAAGGCATTCTTCTATATATTTCCTTTTTTTTTTTTTTTGAGATGGAGTTTCGCTCTGTCACCAGGCTGGAGTGCAGTGGCATGATCGGCTCACTGCAACCTCCGCCTCATGGGTTCAAGCGATTCTCCTGCCTCAGCCTCCCGAGTAGCTGGGACTACAGGTGCATGCCACCACGCCCAGCTAATATTTTAATTTTTAGTAGAGATGGGGTTTCACCATGTTGGCCAGGATGGTCTTAATCTCTTGACCTCGTGATCTGCCCGCCTCAGCCTCCCAAAGTGCTGGGATTACAGGCATGAGCCACCGTGCCTGGCCACATTTCTGTATATCTTGCAAGCAGACACACTGTCTGTCTTTTATTTGATCATCTTTCCAAGGATGCTGGTATAGCATGTATGCTTGGAAAATAGAGATGCTGTTTCTCCAGAGAAAGGGGGAGCTTGCTTGCATTCTTCTATGTAGTTCTAAGGCCCCTGCTCCACTGTACAGCAAGTGGCCACACCCTTAGTGTCTTCCTTGCCTAACCCAGACCCTTACAGCACTCAGCTTGGAAAAGACCCTTGCAGCGCTCAGTTGGGTGCCATGATTATGCCTGTAATCCCAGCACTTAGGGAGGCCAAGGTGGGTGGGTCACTTGAGCCTGGGAGTTTGAGACCAGCCTGGGCACCATGGCAAAACGCCATCTCTAAAAAAAAAAAAAAAAAAAACCACAAAAATTAGCCAGGCATGAGGATGCACCTGTAGTCCCAGCTACTGGGGAGGTTGCTGCAGTGGGAGGATTGCCTGAACCCAGGGAGGTTGAGGCTGCAGTGGGCTGTGATTGTGCCACTGCACTCTATCTTGGGTGACAGAGTGAGACCCTGTCTCAAACGAAAACAAAATTTCAAAAAAAAAAAAAAGAATGCATTCTTGCCCTTAGAGGCTCCATCCTCACCTCCCTCTTCTGGTTTCTCTTCCTCTGTCTCTGCTGTGTGTGTCTTTAATAAAGAACACTGAAATTAGTGAGCCAGGTTTGCCTCCTGGGCAGGAATTATGAAATCCAGGTGGCCTTGGTTGTAATAGGGGGAAAAAAAAACCTTTATTTTGTCTGCTTAGTGTTGTCCTGGCTTTTCTTTGCATATTCCGTCCCCCTACCCCCAAACTCACTGTGCTGTTCTGGTGAGGCTGACCCCACCCAGATTCAGGACTGACCCAGGCCTGGCCAATCAACAAGGCCTTCAGGGACTGGTACGTGTCAGTTAAATGAGTCAGTCCCAGGACGCTTTGTATATATATGTATGTAATATTTGTAACTATTGGGAAAGTGTCTAGCTTTCCACAGGAACTTCTAACCTGTTCCAGTGTGACCCTAAGGATGCCGGTAGCCATCTTGCCACTCTCGGGAGAGGAAGAGCCACAGAGACAAGGCAACTCTGAGAGCTGAGTCCTGATGACCGGTCGAAGCACCCGAATTCAGCAGTATGTGAAGCCCCTGAACTTCCAGTTATATGTGCTGATGAATTATCTTTTTTGCTGAAGTCCATTTGAATTGGAGTTTATATCATTTGCAATTTAAAGAGAACTGATCACCAGCTGGCTCAAGTCTGAAGTATAAACTGGTTTCTAGCAATCAAAAGCAATGTGTGACCAGCACAGTGGCTCCAGCCTGTAATCCCAGCACTTTGAGAGGCTGAGGAGGGAGGATCACTTGAGGCCAGGAGTTTGAGACCAGCCTGGGCAACATAGCTGGACCCCATCTCTAAAAATACGTAAATTAAAAATAATTTTTTTTTTTTTGAGACGGAGTTTCACCTTTGTCACCCAAGCTGGAGTGCAATAGCACGCTCTCGGCTCACTGCAAATCTCCGCCTCTCGAGTTCAAGCAATTCTCCTGCCTCAGCCTCCGGAGTAGCTGGGATTACAGGCATGCACCACCACGCCCGGCTAATTTTTTTGTATTTTTAGTAGAGACAGGGTTTCACTACGTTGGCCAGGCTGTTCTCGAACTCCTGACCTCAGGTGATCCGCCTGCCTCAGCCTCCCAAAGTGCTGGGATTACAAGCATGAGCCGCCACACCCAGCCTAAAAATAAAATTTTTAAATAAAATAAAATTTTTAAAAAGCAAAGTATTTCCGCCGGGCATGGTAGCTCATGCCTGTAATCCCAGCATTTTGGGAGGCCGAGGCAGGCGAATCATGAGGTCAGGAGATCGAGACCATCCTGGCTAACACGGTGAAACTCCGTCTCTACTAAAAATACAAAAAATTAGCCGGGTGTGGTGGCGGCCACCTATAGTCCCAGCTACTCGGGAGGCTGAGGCAGGAGAATGGCTGGAACCTGGGAGGTGGAGCTTGCAGTAAGCTGAGATCATGCCACTGCACTCCAGTGTGGGCAACAGAGCGAGACTCTGTCTCAGAAAAAAAAAGTAAAAAAGAAAAGAAAAAAGAAAAAACACTGCCTTCCACTTTTTCCCTCTTTATTAAAACCATTCCCCTTCCTTCATCATAGCTAGGTGATCTGTCTCCACTGTGCTTTTAGCAACACGGCCTTGAAAAAGAGACTCTGAGAGACTCACTCCAGTCATGCAGAATTTTGGGACAATAGTGAGGTTTTCTCCCCAGGGATCCCTTCCATGTTTGAATTTCCCCACTCCAAGAGTTGTTCAGCAGAGGCCATGGGGACTGGCATCTGGATCCCGACCCACACTTACTCCAAGTTTTCCACTTTCGGAAGTCTCCCAATCTTCAGGCTGAAGTTGACTTCAGTGGGGCAGGCAACTGCATGCCCTACCTAGGTGCCAGTGAGAATTGGATTCAGCTTTTAAAGACCCTACTTTCTGCCTCCAAATGGTCTAAACAAAGATAGAAGTGTATTTCCTTCTCAGGTGAATGAAGTCTGGACTTAGTCTTCCTGAGGTTGTCATGAACCAGGATCTCTTTATCCTGCTTTCTCCCCATCCTCGGCGTTTGGCATAAACCTTCCATGACTCCTTTCCCTCCCCTCTTCTCTCCCCACACTGCACATGCCATGTCACTTACTTCATTGGCTGGAACACGGAGACTCCACCAGCGAGGGAGGCTGGAAAAGGCATTCTTCATTCTGAGTGCCAGTTTCATGTCGGGGGCCCATCACTAAGGAAGAAGAACAGAATGGATATTTGGGGGATACTAGGAGTTCTCTGACCTCTCATGCCACTCCGTGATGTGCCGCAGCAAAAATCCTCACTGGAATAGCTCCAGTGCTGGTGATGCCAATGAAGGCCACTGTGGAAAAGAAAAGAATAATTAATTCCAGACACATCAGTAAAGACACCCTCCTGTTATAAATGCTGAGAGAATGGCTTGGGACCACCTGGGGTCGTTCTCCATCCTGACCATTTAGAGATCACTACCCTCAGGGAGTAAGGTCTCAAATCCCATCTCAATGCCTCATAGACAGCTGGACTTACAAGGATTTAGGCCCACAGAAACATTTTAGGAAACTTCCAGGGAGTCAGAGATCAGGCAAGGGAGCTGCGTCCCTGCGTGACCCCATCTCAGCTGAGATGAGACAATAGCGGCTTTCTTCGTGAAAAACTAAAGTGGGAAATGTTTCTTGATATGTTTCACTACCAGTCTATATAGAGGGTCCGTTTATGAATAAGAGAATTGTGGAATTCCACACAAGGTTGTTGGGTCTCAGAGCTCCTTCTGCAGCTCAGGAGCACTGTAACTGGATTCTCCAAAGCAAAAACACTGCTTTTGCAGGTCATTAACAACCATGTGACAAAACTATCTTCAGGGAAGGAACCCAACCTCAACACCTCAACATTCACTAGTTAACACTTGCAGAGTGCTTAAAGTGCTGGTTGGAGCATGGTAGGGGCTCAGCAAATATTAGTGAAACAAGTGCCTGGACATTCTGGGTAAGAGAAGCCATTATTATTAGATATTTATGATGCATTTACTATGTATAAGGGATATAAGCACTCTGAAGGATCACAGAGATAAGACATTGTCCTTGCCCTCAAGGAGTTTACAATCTAATAAAGAAAATAAGAGGCTGGGCACAGTGGCTCACGCCTGTAATCCCAGCACTTTGGGAGGCTGAGATGGGCGGATCACAAGGTCAGGAGATTGAGACCATCCTGGCTAACATGGTGAAACCCTGTCTCTAATAAAAATACAAACAATTAGCTGGGTGTGTGGCAGGCGCCTATAGTCCCAGCTGCTCAGGAGGCTAAGGCAGGAGAATGGCGTGAACCCGGGAGGCGGAGCTTGCAGTGAGCCGAGATCATGCCACTGCACTCCAGCCTGGGCGACAGAGCGAGACTCCGTCTAAAAAAAAAAAAAAAAAACCAAAGCAAAAAATAATCAAGGTAAGAATCTGGGTTCCTGCCTCCCACAATTTATAATTGTAAATGTGTTTTGTTTTTTTTTTTTTAGCAAGTTTATTAAGAAAGTAAAGGCATAAAGAATGGCTACTCCATAGGCAGAGTGCCTATAATTGTGTCTTTGAAGAGGCTGGTTTTAATTTTTATTTTCTTTTATTTGTTTAGTTTTAGAGATGGGTGTCTTGCTATGTTGCTCAGGCTGGTCTCAAACTCCTAGCCTCAACCAGTCCTCCTGCCCTCCCTTCTAAAGTGCTGGGATTACAGGCATGAGCCACTGTACTCAGCTAAGGCTGGTTTTAAAATCCTCTCATTTCTCCTAGAAGATGGTGAGGATGTGATGTGGGTCACGTGGGCCAGGCTCGGGGGGTCATGGGCAGCACACTGTCCTTGGAAACAGCAGCAGTGGTGCCTCCTGTTTGTTCCTGTCACCTCTTGCTTCCTAGCTGAGCCTCTGCCTCAGTGTCCCCTCTCCAAGATGAGGCAACTGCATGTGTGTCCTGCAGCTCCCTCCCTCCCTTGCACTCCTAGCTGCTAGAAGCAGTCATATCTGTGAATCACATAGAGCTCCCTGACATCTGGTCTTACATCAAATCTTTCTTGGCAATATAAGAGTGAAACATCCAGTTTTTCAAACTGGCTGTTTTGTTTTGAATTCATCTTCAGATGAGCTTTTCTCAGGAGAAATGAGGAGTGGGGGACAGAGAGCAGAATAAAATGCCCACAGGAGAGTAAAACAAGATGCCAAAAGACCAGGAGGAAGACCACAGATTTCCAGAGCCTGATCCTCTGCCACCAGACCCTGAGGGCAGCTCTTTGATTTCTGGTCACTCGTGTCCTCCATTCCATGCCTTCGGCAGCCACCACCACAACCCCGGGGTCGGGCACCTCCACAGTGTACAGCAAGTTTACTACCTAGCAAAGTATGGCCCAGATCAACGGGGGCTTCAAAACCATCCACACTTACGTTTCATTCATTCATTTGCTAATTTATTCATTCTATATTCATTCAACACTCATTGAGCACCAGTAGGTGTCATCTAGAAGTCTTGTCTCCATTTGCTATCAGCAAGGGTATCACCTTTTCTATACAATGAGTCTCATTTCCCAAGAGTGGTTTTGGATTTGAAAGCAGATGTTACTCAGAACCTTTTCTGAGGGCAGTGTCTCAGCTCCCCAGGGAGGCCTCCAGTTCTCCAAAGGAGCCTTATACATCTTTGGCCCAGGTTAGCATCCATCTCCCTGCACATCCTCACAGATATTAAAAAGGATCAAAGCATCTTTGGACAGTCCCGGGTTGTCTCCAAGGAAATCGGAGGCACCTGGATGTAACTAACAAAGACTCTTTGTGTCAGTGGGGCTGAGTCACCTGACAGGTCTGAAATGTAACTTCCTCCTCTGGGGCCAGGAGAATGGAATCCGAAAGGCTAGAAGGATAGATCAAAATGAAGATAAAATTTTAAAGGAATGAAAGTAGAGTTTTGTACTTAGTGATTAAAAGAAGAAAAGAAATGACGAAGGAAAAAGGAATCCCATTTGACGGTGTTGTATGTGAAACTGACTTAGAGATTTTGGTTGACTGCAAACTCAAGGTGGACTAAGGCCTGATGTGGCAGCTGGAAACCTGAATGGACTTTGATTGTGTCACAGAGTCAGGAGTGTCTAGTGAGGAGACAGTAGCCCCCTGGGTTTGTCACAGGTCAGGCCATTTGTAAAATATTAGGCTTAGTTGTGGGTCCATGTTTTAAGATACATTTTAACAAACTGGAAGGACCCCCAGAGAAAGGTGGTATAAGTGTGGGAACCACACCGCACAAGAAGCCACTCATGTTCATCTATAAAAATGATTTACGGACATGACAACCTTCTTAAAATATCTGATTGTCAAGATGTAAAAGGGAGCCTGGAGAACTGAAGGCTGAGAAGGACTTCATTCTCAGATTGTGGGAGAGACCTTCTGACATGGATTTCTACAACCTCTGGCCACTTCATCTCACAATTTAATCTGCATCTTCCTCTTTCCCTTCATGTCCTCCTGTCTTAGAGGAAGAATCATTCCTCCTCCTTCCAGAGGCTGACCTCCTCCTCTCCCATCTCCTGCAGAACATGCCCTGCTAATTACCATCCCCTCCAGAATCCTTTATTTTTCTTTCTTTCCATAAGCCCACAAATACGAGGGAGATGATTAGTTAGGTACTTATTACATGCCAGGTGCATAGTAATTAATCTGCCTTATCTTGATTAATCCTCAAACCAATCCAATGAAGTAGGTGACATCCTCTCCATTTACAGATGAAGAAACAGAGGTTAGCTGGGTGTGGTGGCTCATGCCTGTAATCCCAGCACTTTGAGAGGCCAAGGTGGGCAGATCACTTGAGGCCGGGAGTTTAAGACCAGCCTGGCCAACATGGTGAAACCCCCTCTCTACAAAAAATACAAAAATCAGCCAGGTGTGGTGGTGCACACCTGTGACTCCAGCTACTCAGTAGGCTGAGGCATGAGAATTGCTTGAACCTGGGAGGTGGAGGCTGCAGTGAACCGAGACCCACCACTGTATTCCAGCCTAGGCAACACAGCAAGACTCTGAAAAAAAGAGAAAGAAAGAAAGGAAGGAAGGAAGGGGAAAGGAAAGGAAGACAGAAAGGGAGGAAAGAAGGGAGGAGAAAGAAAGAGAAGAAGGAAAGAAAGAAAGAAGAAAGAGGAAGGAAGGGAAAGAAAAGAAAGGAAGACAGGGAGGAAGGGAGGGAGGAAGGAAGGAGAAAGAAAGAGAAGAAGGAAAGAAGAAAGAAAGAAAAGAAAGAAAAAGAAAGAAAAAGAAAAAGAAAGAAAGGAAGAAAAAAGGAAGAAAGAAAAGAGAAAGAAGCTGCAAGGAGTTCAGTGACATTTCCAAGCTCACCCAAGTGAGCTTGGCCAAGTTTGAAACTTGAAGAGTGCTTAAAGTTCTGGATGGACTCAATTCCAGGTCCATCTGCCATTAAAACCCCCAAGCTCACTTGCTTCCAGGCTTTAAACGTGCTCCTCCATTCCCAGCCAAGTGCCTTTAAAGAAGGCTTTCTCTGTGGATCTACTTTCTCACCTCTCATCCACTCAGCCTGCTGCAGCCTGCTTTCTGCCCTCACCCTCTGCAGAAACGGCCTGCAGAAGGTCATCAGTGACCTAGGTTAATCCCATCAGCCTCTCCTCAGTTCTCACCCCACGTGGCCTTTTGTGGCATTGACATTGCTGGCCATACTCATCTTCCCCTACCCTCCACCCTCTGCCACATCTGGCTGAGCCCCTTTCTCTCACCACTTCACCTCTCATCCTATAATCCCCACCTCAGGTCCCTCCTTCCAGGTGTCATTGGCCCTTTTAAAGGACCTGAGGACTCAGCTAAAGTTGGAAATCAGGAATGTGTGTGTGGGACTTCCTGGTAGGTGTAGGGGTGCTATGGGTCTAAATGTGTCCCCCTGAAATTCACATGTTGAAGCTTAAATGCCAATGGAATAGTATTAAGAGGGGGGCCTTTTGAAGGTGATTAAGTCATGATTCCTTATGAATGGGACTAATGACCTCATAAAAGAAGTCCTGCGAAGCCTCTTTTGCCCTTCCCTCTCTTCTGCCATGTGAGGACACAGCAGTCATCTCTGTCTTCCTCCTCTGCCATGTGATGACACAGGAAGAAGTTGCCATATGAGGGACAGGCCCTCACAGACACTGAATCTGCTAGTGCCTTGATCGTGGACTTCCCAGCCTCTAGAGCTATGAGAAAATAAACCTCTGTTCTTTATAAATTACCTAGTCTGTGGTATTTTGTCGTAACAGCCCAACAGACTAAGACAAGGGGTAAGATATGGGGTGCAGTTCCAATGACCCAACTGTCCTCACACCTATATTGGATGGAGTCATAAAGGGTGGGGAAGAGTTATAGGTCAGAAACAAAGGGTCCAGAGATGGGGATTGGTATTGTCTCAAAAAGCAGAGACAGCTACCTGGGCAGAAGGCAGTGGATAGACAGTGAGATGGTGAAGTCCAAGGAGAAAGCAGACTGAGGCCCTGGGAGAGGGTGGCCATGATACAGAAAAGGAATTACAGATGTCACTGGAATTACAGATGTCAAGGAATTAAGACTCTAGATTGTTGGTCGGCTCATTGACCTAGACTCTGAAATCCCCTAAAATCATGACAGCAGGTGGATTTCACTTCCCTGACTTGTGTCCACATCTCATGTGAAGCTGTGTCCTCAGCAGCGATAAGATTTTGCATTCCCTAGGGATTATCTTCCATTTTTCCAGTTTGCCCAGAGCTCCCCATCCCTACTCCAGTTAAGCAGGACCACGGATGCAATGCTGTACTGAGTAGGGTAGCTCCAGGGGTGCCCTTCCCACAGAATACCCATTGAGGGTCCTGAGGCCACTCAGATAAGCACTTATTGAAAGAAGAGATGAATTCATTTCCTGTGTGTCTTTTTTTTTTTTTTTTTTTTTTTGAGATGGAGTCTCTCTGTGTCGCCCAGGCTAGAGTGCAGTGGCACGATCTCAGCTCACTGCTGTAAGCTCCGACTCCCGGGTTCATGCCATTCTCCTGCCTCAGCCTCCCGAGTAGCTGGAACTACAGGCGCCCGCCACCATGCCCGGCTAATTTTTTTTTGTATTTGTAGTAGAGACAGGCTTTCACTGTGTTAGCCAGGATGGTCTCGATCTCCTGACCTTGTGATCCGCCTGCCTCAGCCTCCCAATTGCTGGGATAACAGGCGTGAGCCACCACGCCCAGCCTCCTGTGTGTCTTATTCCAATTCAATTCAGCAGCATTCTTTGAACCCCTACTGATACCAGGCTCTATGTGATGGATTAAGACAGCTCACAATGAGAAGAGGGGCAGAGGGATAGCCTGCTGCCTGGGCGCTGATGTCCTCATTGATTCTCAGTTAGGGCAAAACCTCAGGGAGTTCCATATGTAGCCCTGGGCTCTCTCTTCTGGTCTCAGCATTTGAAAACCTCCTCGGGAACCCCAGCAACTCTTTAGCTTAATAAATGAGAGGAGGATGGTCTTGGTGAGACCGCTGAGGAATATTTGACATCGCTCAGGTCCTGGCCCACACCCCCCCGAGTCACCAGGTGAATGAAGCAGAAATGTGTCTGCCTTGGGCAGAGCCATGGCTGCTTTCTCTCTTCATGGTCTCCAAATTGAGGGGGAGGGGAATTGACAGCTTTTCCCTTTGGCTTCACTCTCCCCTCATTTCTTTCTGCAAGGAGTCTCAGGATCTCTTTTCATTTTCACATAGAAACAACCCCTGCCTCCAAACCCTTGGAGTCTTTCTCAGAGAATTCCATCTTGGCTGTTTCCTTCAGCATCGACAAAAGCTGGACCATCACAAGGGGCTTCTCCTCCTTATTTTTGAAAGAAGAGCACAAGAAAAGAGCCTTCCAAAGTGAGCCCCAAATGCTGACTTGCTGCTCCCCCATTAAAGTCGGTGTTGGCCCTCACTCTGTCTTATTTTAAGCAGCAGTGCTTCTGTAGAGCAGAGCTAAAGATTCAGCAAGACAGGATAGGTCTTTTATGGCTGCCCCCAGGTCTGCCCTCAGAGACTTCCAGAAAAGCCTTCCTCTCTGTCACTTTGCCTGATTCGCCATTAGCATTCCTGCAGCAGGTCAGCAGGTCTTGGGTACCCAAGTTCCAGCTACATGAGCTATAAAATCCCAAGCAGAACTGGAGCATCAAATTGCTGTGGGTTCATTTTTGGCTGGCAGGCCTCTTCTATTAGCACCATAAACACCACCACTATCCCCACAACACACACAGAGAAATACAGCCTGAGGATAAGAAGGCACATTGAGGAGCTGAGGGCGCTGGTGAGGAGGGGACTGGTCCACTAGCCATGACGAGGAATCCCTTTACAAAGGGGCCAGCTTTGATGTGGGAGTGGAGCAGGGAAATCTAGAAAGCCTCCATCAGAGACGGAATCCAAGACCTGCAGTCCCAGGACTCTGGTTCTGTTTAGACTCTTAGGTTATTCCTCCTTATGGGAAATCCTGGAACTGGACCAGCTTCTGTGATAACCTGCAACCCTGGGGACACATTCAATTTGCAGATGTGTTGCACAATATTGAGCAAAGGTTGATTCAACATTTATAAGCTGGGAGTCGCAGATTCATGGCTTCTTTTGGAGAAACAGTAGGTATTGGTACCCCAGGCCCTCGTGGCCAAATAGACTGGGCCTTTTAAATAGAGTGAATGACTCACAAGTTTGCACTTTCCACCGCTCCCTGTGACAGCCCTCATAAGAGGCCAGGTGATCCTGACCTTGCACGTGCACTGCTGTTTATTCTTATAGTGGAAAAACGTTTCTCTGTATACTCATTGCCATCAAACGTGATTTCCCACACAGGACTTCCCTGACTCCTGAAGGTATTTGATTTTGCAACCCCTGATCTAAAGCGCCTTGATTAGCCTGGATTGTTTCAATCACAAGGGATGGAAGATAAACCCATCCAATTTAAACAAAAATAAAAAGAGAGGCTGACAGGCTCCCGGTGCTGGGAAGGATTCCTGGGCAGTCACAGAATGGAAGGAGGGACTGCAGGAATCACAGAAAATGACCAGTGAACTCTGCCAGGATTCTGTCTCCAGCTCTCCTTCCTGCCTGTCTCTGTCTTTGGATGTTGGCCTCATTCTCTTTCGGCAGAGACGCCTTTGCCACGTGGTGAGGATCATGGCCACCAGAAGTCCCAATTTAGAAATCCCAGTAGAAAAAAGAGCTTCCTGTCTCCAGTTCTGAAAATCAATCCCAGGAAAGGATGCTGGCCTCACTTGGGTCATATGCTATAGAGCTGAAGGCTATTTTCTTTTCAAATCAAACACTTATGTAGCTAGTCACTGTTCTAAGCAGGTCACGAATATTAACTTATTTAAACCATATTTTAAAGAGCCTATGAGTTAGGTGTCATTATTGCCTCCATTGCAAATAAAGAAAGTGAGCCCCAGAGATGTTAAGTGGCTATCCCAAGGCCACAAAGCTATTAATTAATGGAGTTGACATTTGAAGCCAGCCAGCCTGGCTCCAGGGACTATGCTTGTACCCCATTGTATGGTTGTGCAGGTTTGTACCACATAACTCCAGGAAAGCAACCACTGAACTTACACAGAGCATGACCTGTACAGGTGTTGTGGAGAGCCTGCACGTGCCTGAAATTTAATAACCAGTCCTAGAATTTGACCTGTTTTGGATATTCCGGCTCAGTTTCTACATCTGTAAAGTGAGAGGATAAGCGTTATCTTCTGGGATTGTTAGGATTTGGGGAGATAAGTAACCATCTAGCATGGCTCTCGGCACAAAGAATGCTCTAGAAAAGGTCAGCCATTAAAGACTTAACTTTCTTCCTGGCTCTCATGGGCAGGTGTCATTCCCAGCCCTCTGCTCTCACTTATGACAACATCTAGTCTGTACCTCTGAGAATTACACAGGCCCTGCCACCTCTCCTAGTTTAGCCTTGGCTTTCTAGGATGAAACATAAGCCCTGCTCCCTGTTAAGGAGGGTTGCAAAGGGCAGGGATAAGGCCAGGTGCTGAGTATGTGGGTGGATGGGTGGGTGGTGGCTGAGGGGAATCAGGGCAAGTGATGGAAGAACACCAGGTGCTTTCATGATGAACTGTGATGTGGGTGAATGAGATGAAATACAAAGGAAAAGGAGCAGAAAGAGAGGCAGGGAGAATGCAACTACCAAAACAAGTAAAATTCTGTGACTGATCATTGAGCTTTACAGTTAAAGGAAACTTAGAGGTGATCCAGTTGAGAGGCTATTCAACCTTTTTTTAAAAATAAGATCTTACGCAGGACCCAATTCTGCAAAATGGATAGAGGCAAGGTGCCCTGGATGGGTGAGGGCAGGGGACTTAGGGAGCTGTTAGTTTGGCTTTCCTGTTGCCCTGCACGCAGGGCTCCTATGAACAAAGTTTGAAAACCAGACCTGGGTCAATCCAGGATCCAACACCACCACAAATATTACCCACTTTGTTTGTACTCTACAAATAAATTATGTCATTATTCATGCCACAGCTTAATATCTAAAGAAATGGCCATTTTATTTGCTCATGATTCTGTGGGGCAGCCATTTGGGCTGGGCTCAGCAGGGTGGTTTTCTAAAGTTACTTCTGCAGCCACTGTCATCTAGAGGCTTGAATGGGGCTGGATCTTTTAAGATGACCTCACTCACATGTCTGGGGGTTGGTACTGGCTGTTGGCTGGGTTTCTCTCTATGTATGGTCTCTCATCCTCAAAGAGGCTATTCTGGGATTCTTTACATGTAGTACCAAGTTCTAAGAGGGCAAGAATGGAAGTTGAAAGGCCTCTTGAGCTAGAAAGTCACATAGAATCACTTTTGTTACATTCTACTGGTCAATGCCAGTCACAAGTTGCTTTTCCCAGAATCAAAGAGTGGAAAAATAGACTCTTGATGAGAAGAATGTCAAAGTCACATGGAAAAGAGTTGTTTGTACAGGAATGGGAGAATTTTTGACTATTTTTTTTTTGCAACCTACCACATTGCCTTATTTTCTATAACCTTTTTTTAATAAATTTGGCATGTATCTGGGTATACAGATTTATAGTATGTGTGGGAGAATGTGGCAAACTCTGCTAGTTCTCTACTCATTATTCATTCTCCATTTCTTTTCTTTTTTTATCTTTCTCCATTTTTTTCTTATTAACACAACCTCAGTTATTTTTTCTCAGGGTGGCAATGTGCCCAGTTACAAATATTCATATCCCCAGATTCCCTCACAGCCAGGGTCACTGCATGACCCAGTTCTGGACAATGAATGTAACTAGAAGTTTCCTGGGCAGGGGCTCCAGGAAGGCTGTTAATTTCTGTATAAAAGGGAACAGACTCAGTAGCACTTGCCTTTTTTCTTTTTCCCTTTTTCCTTTCTGTCTCATTCTTGTCTGGATCACATATGCCACATTTAAGGGTAGAGCAGCCATCCTGAAATCATGAGAATAATGAAAAACATGGCAGAATAGAAGAACTGAAGAAACCTGATCTCTAATGGCATCACAGGACCCCTATTCTGGTCCTGGACTCCCTACCTCTGGGCTTCTTTTTGTCTAAGAAAAATAAGCCCTAATTGGTTAAGTCACTAGAGTTGTGGTTTCTTCTACCGAAACTGGAAGTGATGAGGAGACGAGGCTGAGAAAGAAATCAGGAGGCTGACTGCGAAGATCCATGACTATTAAGAAGACACCATAGCTGCTATGAAAACTGAAATGAGTTTCTGCCTTTTATGTGCATAGATGTTTGTGTGTATTTGGATGTGCATGAGTCTAGACAGATGTGAGTTTGGGTGTGGGGGTGGGAGTGAATGTGTGTATGTAAGGAAATGCTATAGTTGTTGCAAAATTTAAAATCAAATCAGAGTCCAGATTTTCAAAAACTGAAATAATAAGTTAAAATGAAAAGGTAAGTTTAGTGGTGATGACTATAAACCTTGTACTTGGGAATTTTAAAATATATCAGGATGGGAGGGTCTAGTTTCACAGCCTGGGGGTTTGAGTTGTCTGCAAAGGCTCAGAATGAGCTCACAGAGTGAGCTGTTGTGCCAAGAGCTGTGGCTCGCCCTCCAACTGAAGTGTTCATCTAGGATCCAGAGCACAGGGCAGAATTCCCTCAAGCTCTGTATGGTCAGAGCTCTGGGAGCAAGCATCATGTTTATCCCAGGACTGGTTAATGGAGCCCATCCAGAGGAAGACCGAGATGCCATCCAGGGATCTGGGAAAGTTTAAGCTGGACAAGAGAAGACTTGGAGGGGCCTGATAATAACTGTAATACGCGTTGATCATTATGTACAAACTATGCCTAAAACCTGGTTTCTTAAACCAACAATAACCGTTCATTTGTTCACAGTTCTGCAGTCTGGGCCAGGGAGCTTTCCTCTGTGCCATGTGGTGTCATGGTGTTGGCTGGGCTCCTTGATAGATCTGGGGCCAGCTGGTAAGTCAACTGGGGTTGGAGGAGCCCTGATGGCTTCACTCACACATCTATGGCCTCAGCTGGAATGGGCACATCCCTTCTCATGTTCTTTCACCATTCTTCTCCACAGAGCCTCTCATACTCAGGGAGGCTAGCCTAGACTTCATGACTTCTCAAGGCAGCAAGACAGTGAAAGTGGCTGCTACAGGGCTCTAAAAGCCCGGGCTCAGAATTTCTGTTGCTTTCCACTGGACTGAGAAACTCACAAGAGCAGCCAAAGTAAGAATGTAGAAAGTGACTACACAAAAGTACAAATTCAGGAGTGTGACTGATTGAGGACCACTTTGTGGCAGTCTATCAAAAAACTAGTATCTATAATTTCTATGGTCTTTATAGTTCACAAAGGACATTTACTTGCACTAACTTAATTTTATCCTTACCACTAAACTGAGATATGGTTAGTGGTGTGCTGGTAAAACAACAAACAAACAAAAAGCCCTCATTGGTAGCATTTGCCAATTTCCATGGTATAAATATCCTACAGTACCAAGTTCAAGAGACCAATATGAGATCACTCATTGCAGAAGTATAGATACACTGCCTGCAATGGGGGGTAGTATCTCTACTTGCAAATGAGGTTATGGGACTTTTTCAAATTCACACGCAATCAATAGGGGCGGAGCTGAGACTCACCCAAGACCCAAACTGTATGCTTTAGTCACAACATCACCTTGCCTCATAGCAATTTTCTTCAAACATCTGAAAGATTGCTATAGAGAAGGAGTAGCCCTATGCTAGGTTGCCCCAGGAGGTAAAGTAAGAGTTGTTTTGTTTTCTTTTGTTTGAGACGGAGTCTTGCTCTGTGGCCCAGGCTGGAGCGCAGTGGCACAATCTCGGCTCACTGCAACCTCTGCCTCCTGGGTTCAAGTGATTCTCCTGCCTCAGCCTCCTGAATAGCTGGGACTATAGGCACGTACCACCACACCTGGCTAATTTTTGTGTTTTTTTTTTTTTTTTTTTTTTTAGTAGAGACAGGGTTTCACCGTGTTGGCCAGGCTGGTCTTGAACTCCTGACCTTGTGATCTGCCCACCTTGGCCTCCCAAAGTACTGGGATTGCAGGCGTGAGCCACCGTGCCTGACCTGTAAAGTAAGAGTTAATACAAATGAGTTTCAGAGAGGCTGACTTTAGTATAAGAAAGTCAATATGAAAATCAGTTCTACAATAATAGAGTCATCCAAAGAGAATGAATTGCTTTGTATCATCATGGTCTTCCTATCATGAAGGTGTTTGTCAGAGGCTAGACCCTTGAAGATTTCAGAATTAACAAAGAGGTTAAATTAGATGGCCTCTAAAGTTCCATTTATCTCTTGGATTCTGGTTGTTTAAGAGCGTTTTGAAATCCAGATCCGGAATCACTTAATGTCCTTTTGAGACTGAAGAAGGCAAGTGAAGGGAAGAGAAAGGAAGGGAAGAAAGAGGGAAGGTGAGTGTTAAATTTTGGGAGGAGCTTGGCCAGATGAGAAGTCCCAGTCCTGGAGAGCTAGCTGTCCTGAGTAATTCAGGGATGGAACATGGGTCTTCACGAGGGTAACTGACTCTGCTCCAGCTCGCAGAGCCATATGACTCATAATATGAAAGCACAACCTTTATTTTATCCCAAGCCAGTTCAAATGGCAGCAGAGAGCCCCGATCTTGTGTCTGAAATGTTAGGATGTTCTCAGTGTAGCAGGATGCAACCGCAGATCTTAGCTGTTTACAAATCCTCTTTCTTTCCAATCAGGCTTCTTTATTTTTTCTCAGAAGGAAACCTTGCTGAGGATTTTGGCAGTTAACTCTCTTTGGCTCAAACAGAACCCAACTCCTCCTACCCCACACTGCCCCAGCTCAGCTCTGCAGGGGTCTTAGGGGATCTGCTTGGAGTCTGGCCATCTCCCCGCTTAGCCCTGGGGGCTTCCTGGGCAGTTACAGGTTGCGGTTTTATACTGAGAACTACAAAACTGGAAGCTTTCCTGAAGGAGCAGCTCAAAACTTGAGGATGAAATCTCAGCATTTGAGAATAAACACCCAGGATATTTCCTGGGATGACTCAGGCTTCACCAAACACGCCAAGAAATTACACGGGTAATTGTAAGGCTTTGGTGCTTCCAGGGAATGCTCAAGATGGTTACTGAAGTAGATAACTCATCTCTGAGAATAAGTCATTCTCCTTAAAAACTGCAAAGTCCATGCATCTCCAGTTCTGAGGAGCTGGTATTTCCCTGTGCCAAACTCAAAGAAAGGAAGGCAAGTTGACTGAGTGAAACCCGGCCTTTCTCTTTCAGCAGGCAGCTCCCAGAGCAGAAGCAGCCCCATCAGAGATTTTCCAGCCTGGTGTGGTGGCTCCCGCCTGTAATCCCAGCACTTTGGGAGGCCAACGTGGGAGGATCACTTGAGCACAGCAGTACAAGGCCAGCCTGGGCAACATAACGAGACTCTGCCTCTAAAAAAAATATTTTTTAAGTTGGCCAAGCATGGTGGTGTACACCTGTAGTTCCAGCTACTTAGGAGGCTGAAGTGGGAGGATGGCTTGAGCCCAGGGATTTGAGGCTGCAGTGAGCTATGATTGTGCCACTGCACTCCAGCCTGGGCAACAGAGCAAGACCCTGTCTCAAAGAAAAAAAAATTCTAAGGGCACTTTAACATCGAGGTTCCCTGGTGCCCATTCAATAATATGCTCCGTGAGGTCCAGCAGATCCCAGTTACCAGTGGGTAGAAGGATCTGGAAGGGTTGGGCAGGATGTGAAATAAGAAGCAATGATGGTCTCAAGAACTGCTCAGGTGCTAGCAGTTGCTAGGATGACGGTACTCCACTCTGAAAAACATTTAGGCAATTAGGAAGCCCCATCATTTTACACACAAACTGGTCCTGGCTCCTGTATACCAGGAGCGCCCTCTCCCCAGGCTCGGTGTGCCCTCACTTATTTCTGTTTGCTTGTGCACAGAAATAGATCTGGAAACCTCAGGGAACAGGGCAGGAGCTATTAAATTAGAGCTCACTGTTCCCATTTCCTCATTCAGCAAACGGCAGGACTTGGGCATCCAGCCTGGTCCTGGAGCTGTGGAATCCACTAGGACTGGGGCTTGGAGCCTTGAGCAGGCTCAGGGTTCAGGGCTCAGGCTGCTTCATGGGGCTCAAGTTTCTGTCTCCCTATTCTCTTCCCCTTCTTCACTCCTCTCCTAATAACCTCTAAGTGCAAATACCCCAGACTTTAGAAAACTTAGAGATCGTACTCGTCCAAATACCTGACTTTACAGGCAAGGCCCAGAGATGTTGACTTTTGAAAGACACTCATCCCGTTAATAGAAGAGCTGTTCATTCATTAGCCAGGTCATACCACTAAACTTTTCATTGCATGATGCTCTCCCTCGCCTTCTCTCCTTTCTGAAACAGGCCTCCATGATGGCCCCCAAGGTCCCTGCCTCCTGGAATTCACACCCTTGCACAGCCTATGCCCACATCAGTGTTTTCTGTGTCACCAGAAGAATGTAGCAGAAATGATAGAATGTCACTCCTGAGATTAGGTTATAAAGGACTATGGCTTCTGTCATGGACTCTCTCTCCTTCTCTTCCTCTATCTTTCTCTTGGATCACTCTGGGAGAAACCAGCAGTCATGTCATGAGACACTCAGGCACACTGTGAGAGGCTCAGGTTGTGAGGAACAGATGTCTCTGGCTAACAGCCAGCAGGGAGGTAAGGCCTGCCAACAACCACATGACTGAGCTTGCAAGCAGATCCTTCCCCAGTTGAGCCTTCAGATGACACCAGCCCCAGCCAGCAGGTTAACTGCAACTGTGTGAGAGACCATGAGGCAGAACTGCCAACTAAGCCCCAGATTCTTAACCCACAGAAACTGTGAGATCATAAATGTTTGTTGTTTTAAGTTGCTTAGTTTAAGAATAATTTGTAGCCGGGCACGGTGGCTCATGCCTGTAATTCCAGCACTTTGGGAGGCTGAGGTGGGTGGAACATGAGGTCAGGAGTTCAAGACCAGCCTGGCCAAGATGGTGAAACCCCATCTCTACTAAAAATACAAAAATTAGCCAGGTGCGGTGGCAGGCGCCTATAATCCCAGCTACTCAAGAGGCTGAGGCAGGAGAATCATTTGAACCCAGGGAGCAGAGGTTGCGATGAGCTGAGATCAAGCCACTGCACTTCAGCCTGAGGGACAGAGCGAGAATCCATCAAGAAAAAAAAAAAAAAAAGAATGATTCGTTACATAGCAACAGAAAAAAACACTGGGTTTTTTTCTTGGCTTTTTTTTTTTTTCTAGGCAAACAAGAAATCCCTGCATCCACATAGCTAGCCAACAAGGCCTTGTCCTATACCACTTTCAGGGGTGAAACTGGTGAATCAGAATAAAGAAAGCTTCCCAGGAGGCCTGGGGCAAGTGCCTCCTTGGCACAAGACTTAGTGATCTTTCCAGGCCTAAGGGAGAGAATTCCAGTTGGTGGGCTGCTAGAATACACCAGCTTCCTTTATAGAAGTTGTGGCCAGTGCAAATGTTAACCAAATAAGATGCGTAATGTATGAGCCTTATAACACTTTACAAATGGAGTTCCTTGGCTGGGTGCAGTGGCTCATGCCTGTAATCCCAGTGCTTTGGGAGGCCGAGGCAGGTGGACCATGAGGTCAGGAGATCGAGACCATCCTGGCTAACATAGTGAAACCCCATCTCTACTAAAAATACAAAAAATTAGCCAGGCGTGGTGGCATGTGCCTGAATAGCTGGGACTCCAGCTATTCAGGAGGCTGAGGCAGGAGAATCGCTTGAACCTGGGAGGCAGAGGTCGCAGCGAGCTGAGATCTCGCCACTACACTCCAGCCTGGGTGACAGAGTGAGACTCCGTCTCAAAAACAAAAACAAAAACAAAAGAAATGGGGTTCCTCTTTGGTGGCTGTTCTGTAACTTAAGGGGAGTAAGTTGACTTCCCATGACTCTGGCTTCCCAGTTGGGATGGAATTTCCATATGATGTTTTCAGAGGCTACAGTAATGGTGGAACCTTCACTCACTATGTCCTCCCCATCCCTGCTCACCCCTATATTGGTCCAGCCCTGTCTGCCCCACACACACCTCCAAAGAGAAAGCTTTTTGAAAAGTGCCTGTGCAGAAAGCATCCTACAAATGCATACATTCCACAGAACATGGTCACACGTGCTCTTTCTGACACACTTAGTCATTGGTGGGTCCAGAGCTGCAGGGTCCTTAAGCAACATCCCCTATCCTGCTCATCTATGTGCCCTAAGTTGAGCTCTGTCTTGTTTTCTCTGCAGAAAACCTGTGGCTAGAAGCAAAATTTGGCCTTTCAGGTGCCCAGCATCTGCTTCCTAAAATACAGCTAAACTAGGTTAACGCTTTTTTCTTGACCTTGAAGTGGAGACTCAGAGCCTTTGGGAACCTTCACAGCTTCTTGTTTTAAATATCCAACAGGAATACTGCTTTACCATCCTTTCAGCGGGGGGATTTCAGTTGAATATCCCGGGACCAGACACACCAGAGAGGTAGCACCCATTGGACCTCTTAGGCCAGGTGGAGACAGTGAGAGCTGCTTAGGCATTCACTCAGCGATGCCAGTATGTCTTACTATACAAAACAGTGCTGAGTTAATTTCACACAGCTGGGGGAGGACTGGAGGTGCTTTTGGGGCCTATTGTGTGTGAGCCAGCAAACTCATCTCTCCAGCTGTTCCTTGGTAGAAGTAGAAGTAGAAGAAAACGAAGAAGTTGGAGCCAGAAGTCAGTTTCTGCCAACGGGAACAATGGGTGCAATTGTGCATCTCACATAGCAGCAAGGAGTATTAAACAGAATTATGTACACACTGTTACTACCATGAGAACCTTGCCATGGGAACTTCCGGATGTACTTTTTTGGAATCCAGGGGATCTAGGAAGACCATTCCAGAAAAAGAGATTCCATAGAAATGTCAGGGAGTGGCCAGTTCTTGGATGACCTCTCCAAGCAAGAGAAAACATAAATGTGTACTTTAGGAGTTTCAAAAGCAATGAAGATCTTTCTTAGTGCAAAAGCCCTGTTTTCCCCTTAATATTAAAGATAGTCTTGGTCTTATTTCTGGGAAGTTTCCAAGGACAGAGGCTAAACTGTGACCAAACTCACAGGAAAGAGACCCTCAGAGCTGGGAAATGATCACTTCAAATGGTTTCTTGCCCCTTGCCTTGAACTGCGTTCAAGCTAAACCCTGCAAAATCTCCACATGAGGGACTTCTCCAAAGGAAGACGCAGGTGGAATCCCAAAGGCAATGTGGTGATTGAGGTCTCTGAGCCTGAGCTAAGCCATCATAACCCCTATGACATGCATGTATACATCCAGATGGCCTGGAGCAACTGAAGAACCACAAAAGATGACATTCCACCATTGTGATTTGTTCCTGCACCACCCCAACTAATCAATCGACCTTGTGACATTCCCCCCCGCCCCCCTCCACTGGACAGTGAGTCTCATGATCTCCCCACTCTGGACCTTGTGACCCCCGCCCCTGCCTGCAAGAGATAACCACCAGCTTTAACTGTAATTTTCCACTACCTTCCCAAATCCTATAAAACTGCCCCACTCCTATCTCCCGTTGCTGACTCTTTTTTCGGACTCAGCCTGCCTGCACCCAGGTGAAATAAACAGCCTTGTTGCTCACACAAACCTGTTGGTGGACTCTTCACGGGGACCCACGTGACAGTGGTAAGAGACCTGCCTCAGTCTCTTGAGCTGTTCACCTCAGAAGAGTTCCCTTGCTTCTCTGATCTTCTGTTTCATCTTCTCGGCAATGGAGATGACACCTACCTCATGGATTTTTTTTTGTGAATTTTTTCTTCTTTCTTTCTTTTTTTTTTTTTAGACGGAGTCTCGCTCATCACCAGGCTGAAGTACAGTGGTGCGATCTTGGCTCACTGCAACCTCCACTTCCCAGGTTCAAGCATTCTCCTGCCTCAGCCTCCCGACTAGCTGGGATTACAGGCGTGTGCCGCCACACCCGGCTAATTTTTGTATTTTTAGTAGAGATGGGGTTTCACCATGTTAGTCAGGCTGGTCTCGATCTCGTGACCTCGTGATCTGCCCGCCTCGGCCTCCCAAAGTGCTGGGATTATAGGCGTGAGCCACCGCGCCCAGCCAAATTTTTTCTTCTTTATTACTTAATTTTATTTTTCAAAAACAGAGATGGGGTCTATGTCACCCAGGCTGGTCTCGAACTCCTGGGCTTAAATGATCTGCCCACCTCAGCCTCTCAAAGTGCTGGTACCACAGGCATGAGCCACCATGCACTGCCTTTTGCAGTGAAATTTTAACAAGAGTATGAATAAGGTTTAAACACTGAAAAAATAAATCATCTCTGAGTTGCATTTAGTTGTGCCGGACCCACCACATTAACAACCTAAGAGAGCTCTGCCCCGTGCCCCATGCCACACGAGCCCTCATCCTGGGCCTACCTGGCTGGCTGCTCTCCCGGATGATGGGGACTCTGCTCAGCGATCTCAGGTGGCAGAGCAATTTGTCCCAGGGTCTGCCCCCAGCAGTAGAGTGATGCCGTTGGGAGATCTTTGTTTTTATTCCCTCCTCTTCCTTCTGTCCATCTAGGATTGAGGGTCCTCTTCGTGGCCTCTCTCCTCAAGTGTGGTGCTCGTGCTCCATTTCTCACAACCCATTTGGATATATTTATAAACCAAAACACAGTTTCCATAGTCTGACTCACCCAGATCTCTTTCTCTAGCCCTGAGCCCAATCCCAAGTGCCGGCGGGAAATGACTAGCTACACGACCACCCCACCACTGATTCCATTTGTCTGAAAGTAAACCTTCACCTCAAAGTGGTTCCAACTCCCAACTATGACAGACTAGTAAATAAGGAATTTTTTTCATCCTTTACTCTCCTTTGTTCCCTATTTCAACCTTTTCTGGTCTGAATTGCCCCCACAACATGCGTATGTTGAAGCCCTTACCCTCAATGTGACTATATTTAAAGACAGGGGCTTTAAGGGAGGAAGTAAGGCTAAATGAGGTCATAAGGACAGTGTCCTAATCTGATAGGACTGGGCTTCCCTTTTTAAAAAAGACTTAATTAATTAATTAATTAATTTTGAGATAGGTTCTTGCTCTGTCATGCAGGCTAGAGTGCAGTGTCACTATCTCGGCTCACTGCAAACTTCACCTCCTGGGTTCAAGCAATTCTCCTGCCTCAGCCTCCCCAGTAGCTGGGGCTACAGACATGTGCCACCATGCCTGGCTAATTTTTATTTTTTGTAGAGACAGGGTCTCACTATGTTGCCCATGCTGATCTCAAACTCCTGGCCTCGAGTGATCCTCCCACCTCAGCCTCCTATAGTGCTGAGATTACAGGTGTGAACCATGGTGCCTGGCCAGGACTGATTTCCTTATAAGAGGAGGAAGAGACACCAAAAACCTGTCGCTCTCTTTCTTTGTACACACAGAGGAAAGGCCATATGAGGACACAGCAAGACGGTGGCCATGTGCAAGCCAGGAAGAAAGAACTCACCAGAAACCCACTCTGCCAGTGGCATCTTGATCTTAGACATCCAGTTCTCAGGACTGTGAGAAAAATAAGTGTCTGTTGTCTAAGCCACCCAATCTATAGCATTTTGTGATGGCAGCTTGTATTAGTCCATTTTCATGCTGCTGATAAAGGCATACCTGAGACTGGGCAATTTACAAAAGAAAGAGGTTTATTGGACTCACAGTTCCACGTGGCTGGGAAGGCCTCACAATCATGGCAGGTGAAAAGCACATCTCACATGGTGGCAGAAAAGGAAAGAGGGCTTGTTCAAGGAAACTCCCCTTTTTAAAACCATCAGATCTCATGAGAATTATTCACTATCACAAGAACAGCATGGGAAAGACCTGCCCCCACAATTCAGTCACCCCCAACCAGGTCCCTCCCACACTGGGAATTCAAGATGAGATTTGGGTGGGGACACAGCCAAACCATAATCACAGCTCAAGCAGAATAACACACAACCTGTTACCAAAACTGGCTACCTCTTCCTTTACAATGGCTCTCAGAGTCTCCTCCTTCTTTCTAGATCTTCTCTTGTTGCCTGCTTCGTGTCTTCCTTCCCTGACACCTGGATTCCTGGTCCCACTTCTCATTACCGCTTCACTGCCATCCTTCTCTCCCATCTATCTGATATTCTAAAAACACAACATGTTCCTTGTCTCAGTCAGGATAGGCTAGGTTATGCTACAGTAGCAAATGACCCCAAAATCTCGGTGGCTTCACACAACAAAGATTGACTTATTCGCATCATGCATCCATCATGGACTGTCACGATTGAGTTCTGTCTCTGCCCCAGGTTGTTTCCATTCTGGGACCTGAGGGGATGGAGCAGTCCCTATGTGGGACTGTGTTGTTCTCGTGGCAGAGGGAAAAGGGAACATGGTGAACCATGCAATGGTTATCCATTGCTTTTGCCTAAAATGACACACATCCCTTCTACTCATATTTCATTGGTAAAAGTTTCACACTTCCAAGTGTGATATCATCTGGGTAGGAATGTAGAATCCTTCCATGGGGAAGGGAAACAAATAATTTTGAAAACTGCAACAGTTTACCACCATAGCCATTCCTGCTTGTCAGCTTCCTCTTCTCTCCTATGATGTAAATGCTGTGTGTTGAAGCCCTGGCCATCTCACTGCCCTGTGAATTCCACTCTTTCCAGCTCAGAACGATTCTCTTTCCTATGATCTTTAGTTGAGATTGTCATCAAGAACCCCCATCCCGGAGTTGTTTTAGGTGTCTAGCTGCCCAGAGCCCTTTAGGTGATCTTGTGATTACTCCTGGCCACATCTGACCGGACTGTCAGGAGGGACAAGTGACCAAGGATTGCTAAAGCACAGGCTCACAGAGGCCTAGGAGCTAGGCCAATCAGAGCCTCTCCTGGGAATTAGAACTACCAAATACAGAAAGAATGAACCACTTAGGGTAGTAGTTGAAGCTGAAAGGATGTCTAGAGGTGGAAAGAGAATCCTGGCTGGTGAAGTTATGTGTAAGTTGAAATTAGGAGAGAACAGGAGCTGAATGAGCAGAGGAAGGGTCATTAGAGACAGGAGCAGGGGACAGATGCACAGAGAGAGCAGGGATCTTGAGGGAGGGGTGAGATGGAGAGGCCTCCCCAGGCCTCGGAGCTGTCTCCATGACAGCACCAACCACTTGCACTCCTACATTAAATCCCTCCTTTCTTGAAACATGTGGAGGGGTCTCTGTCCTTACGATCGGCAAATCCTCAGTAAAGCCACTTTCAGTTTAGAGAAACCTCAGTTGTCCACTTGCTTCACATAGATTTTGACCTTCCCATTCAGACTTTAGGCTCCTAAAAAGCAAGGCTCATGTTTGTGTTGTCCATGAGCCTCCCACAGCATAGGCCCTAGTACATGATTCACCACCAATTTCACGTACTTTTTTTTTTTTTTTTTGAGACAGGGTCTCACTCTGTTGCCCAGGCTGGAGTGCAGTGGTGTGATCTCTGCTCACTGCAATCTCTGCCTCCCGGATTCAAGCAATGCTCCTGCCTCAGCCTCCTGAGTATCTGGGATTACAGGTGCCCACCACCACGCCTGGCTAATTTTTGTATTTTTTCAGTAGAGTTGGGGTTTCACCATGTTGGCCAGGCTGGTCTCTATCTCCTGACCTCAGGTGATCCTCCCACCTTGGCCACACAAAGTACTGGGATTACAGGCGTGAACCACCACACCCAGCCCAATTTCACATACTTTTGCATCATTATTGTCATCATCCTCTTTGTTACCAAGCCTAGAAAATCAACTCAAAGCATTTTTATTGTTGAACAAACAAAAGAGAAAATGCAAATGTCCTTACCCAGAAAACAGTCTCTATGCTGACTTAGCACACATTTCTGGGACCTCTGTAACTGACGTGGTATGGATCATGGGCACGGAGTGGACTTTTCAGAATTGCTGAAGCCCAGGCTCCAAGCCTCTCATTCAAGTTCCCCAGAGTAAATTGCTAGGCCTCAAATGCAGCCTCTTAAAAATGGGATTAACATCTGGTTATGGTAAGGAATAAATAGTAAAAATGAAGAACCGTCACAGTACAAGTGGCACAGATGCTTAGTAGCAACTGAGTCTTCATTTCTGCTTAACAAAATGCCCCATGTAGGCTGGGCATGGTGGTCCACATGTGTAATCCCAGCACTTTGGGAGGCCAAGGCAGAATGACTGCTTGAACCCAGGAGTTTGAAACTAGCCTGGGCTACATAGTGAGACCCCATCTCTACAAAAAGTTTTAAAAGTTAGCCAGGTGCAATGGTGCACATCTGTGGTCCTAGCTACTCAGGAAGCTTGGGTGAGAGGATCACTTGAGCCTGGGGGTAAGGCTGCCATGAGCTGTGAATGTGCCACTGCACTCCAGCCTGGGAGACAGAGTGAGACTCTGTCTCAAAAAAAAAAAAAAAAAAGCCCTATATGCTCAAAGCAACCTTAGCTCAGCCCCTTGTGAGGTGAGACAGGTAAAGTAGGCAGTGGGAGGAGCCGGATGGTGGCAGCTTGGCCCAGTGGCTGGCTTTTGCAGAGCCTGTGGGTGTCCTTTGACCTTCTTCCCCCATCCCTGTGGACTTCCAATTCCACAAGCAGAAATCAAGCAGTGGATGAGGTGGGGGAACCCAGGCGGGAGAGATCACATACAAAGTTTTTTCACGTGTGCATTTGTGCACATGCAAGAATCATTCAACAAAGAAAGTTTAGTTGGGGTTTGCAGACTGTTCATAAGTTGAAAGATGCCTACCCATTTAGACATTTAGATTTTTCTGCCAGGAAAAGGAAAAAAAAAAGATTAAATGGATGGATGGATAGATGATAGATAGATAGGTAGATGATAGATGATAGATAGATAGATAGATAGATAGATAGATAGATAGATAGATGATAGATATTCAGACAGTCCTTGCCAGTCAGCGTCAGTTGTGCTTTCTGGGAAGTAGTCTTGTTTAACATGACCCCCAGGAAGTGAGCAGAAAAGGCCTTTCTGAAAGATTTGGTCTCTGTCAGGATACCCTGGTTGCCTCCAGGTGGAGAGAGGACTCCTTGAACTCCTCTACTGAGAGGAATATCCAAGGGAGACTTCTGGCCCAGCCAGGCCAGGTAAGAGTTCCAGAAAATGAGCATGAGAAGAGAGGGGAACCTGCTGCTTTGGGGTTTCTGCTGTTTCAAGGTAGCCCTGACTGGGGCAGCCACCAGCCACCAGTGATAGACAAAAGAGGTTAAAACACACACACACACACACACACACACACACACACACACACTGTGGCAAACAACATGGCTTGGGAATGGCTTTCACTCAGCACAGCAATCTCAATCAGGAACTACTGTGTCCAACACAGGATCGCATGGACTCCAGTTCATGCACTTAAAGATGTCGTGGTTAAATGTATGGACTCTGGAGGGAGTCTGTTTGGGTTCAAACCCCACCTTTTCAGCTGGGTGCAGTGGCTCACTCCTGCAATTTCAGCACTTTGGGAGGCTGAAGTGGGAAGATTGCTTGAGGCCAGGAGTTCAAGATCAGCCTGGGCAACATAGCGAGACCCCAGCTCTACACAAATAAACAAACAAAAACCCCCAAATCTCACCTTCTCTATGTATTAGCTGCTAACCTTAAGTTGCTTAGCCTCTCTGTGCCTCAGTTTCCTCATCTGTCACAACAACAAAAGGAATTAGAATATTAAAGCACTTCAAATAGTTTCTGGCAAATTAGCAAGCACTACTTATATAGTTGCTACTGGTGCAAATAACAGCCTTTCTGAAAGGGAACCATCCGATGCTTGAAGGGATGCAGCGTTTCAAGGCCACGAGGATGTTGGTGGTTTTTTTTTTCACTTTCCATCAGCTACAGAAATATAGGGGAGGCTAGCTGCTCCCCACATCTTCATGTCCCGATGTGAGGCTACAGGGAAATCGCTTGACTCCAGTGGCTGTCACCAAACTCCTCTGTTCTTTGGTACTTGAAGGATCTTGCCTGAGTTTGCTAGGGCTACCCCGACAAGTTATCACAAACTAGGTGACATAACCAACAGAAATTTGTCTTCTCAGAGTTCTAGAAGCTAGAGGTGCAAGATCAAGGTGTTGGCAGGGCTGGCTCCCCTGAGGGCTGAGAGGGAGAATCTGTTGGATGCCTTTCCCATGCTTCTGGTGGTTTGCTGGCAATCTCTGGTATTCCTTGGCTTGTTGAAGCACCACCCTGACCTCTGCCTGTATCTCACATGCTGTTCTCACTGTGGGTGTGTCTGTCCCCACCTTTTCTTTTTTTTCTTTTTTTCTTTTTTTTTTTTTTTTTTTTTTTGAGAAGGAGTCTCACTCTGTCACCCAGGCTGGAATGCAGTGGCTCAATCTCGGCTCACTGCAACCTCTGCCTCCCGGGTTCTTCTGCCTCAGCCTCCCAAGTAGCTGGGACTACAGACGCGTGCCCCTACACCTGGCTAATTTTTGTATTTTTAGTAGAAATGGGGTTTCACCATATTGGACAGGCTGGTCTCAAACTCCTGACCTTGTGATCCGCCCCCTTGGCCTCCCAAAGTCCTGGGATTACAGACATGAGCCGCCACCGCACCCGGCCAAATTTCCCCTTTTCATAAGGACAGGAGTTATATTAGATTAGGGCTGACCTTAATGACCACATTTTAACTTGATTACCTCTGTAAAGACTATCTCCAAATAAGGCCATAGTCTGAGGTACTGGGGTTTAAGCCTTCAACTTTTTTTTTGAGGCAGGGGCAGAGGGGACAGAATTCTATGCATCCCCAGCCTCACCGCACCCAAAGCCAGCATGCTGAGGCCTGCAATCACCCCAGACAGCCCCAAAGGTTTGTAACTAAACATGCTGACCTTCTCCCCTTGACTCTTGATGTTTTGGATTTGGTTAGCCAGAGGCTGGGGAAACAGATCCATTAAATTCTGCGTAGCTTGAAAAACCCATCTGCGTAGCTTGAAAAACCCAAGGCAGGGCAGGTCAGTGAAAGCACCTCCAATAATTCTTGTGGATTCTCTAAAAGGGTATGATTTTTCCAGCTCTGCCTGAGTATTGTAACTCTTCACACTTTCTTGGGAAGGGTGAGAATGGACAGGAAAGACCAGTTGCTTTGCTGGACTTTGTGTGATTCCCTGCGGCAGGACCTTTGCCAGGGCAGCCACTGAGGGAAGGTAGCCAAGACTTGGAGCACCTTCGGGCTGTGAGCCTCATTCATTCCTGGAGGCAAAAGTGCCCAGGGCAGGCCTAGCTCTGGTGTGGGAGTCAGGAAAGAGAGGAGGTGCAGGGCCGAGGGGAGGATAAGGGGATCAAGGAGGTGATGAAGGAGGCTGGGAAAATAGCTATTGTAATCACAGACTTTTCTATAAAATAGGTAATTTATGTGTAGTGCAGAACAATGATCTTTTCATTAAGCTGAAAAGAAGCTGTGTATAGTAGTTAGGATTATATTTGGCTGTGTGTGACAGAAAATGTCAAAGTAATAGATGCTTTTTTAAAAATTGACCCTTATTTCTCCCTTTTACAAAAGAAGTCGGGAATTAGGCAATCCAGGGCTGGTATGGCAGCCCAAGGCCATCAGGGAAGGAGGCTCCATGTAATACGCTGACCCTCCAACCTTAGCATGTCTCGTCCCTAATGGCTTTTCAGCCTCCAGCCAGGTACCAGGTAGCAGGAAAGGGCCTTCTCAGAGGCCCCGCATATTACCTCTGCTGACATCTCATTGGCCAGAACATAGTAAGGTGGCCACATAATCTTTTCTCTGGGTAGCTATGTACCTAGCAAAAACTGGGGACTTGTTATTAAGAAAAGACAAAAAGTTGGAGACCTACAGTGGTCTCCACTACACTGTATATGAAGGCAAGACAGTTAATTTCTACCTAAATTCCCAAATGTATCCTCAGGAAGAGAATGTTTCTGAAGCATGAATTCTTTGTGCATTGGAGGATCTTCCCTTTCAACCTTCAATTGCACTGCGTGAAAACCACTCCTCAGGTTCTCAGCTTCAACCTCACTTTCTCAAGGAACCCTCCTCAGGCCCCTCAGTCTGCATTAGGCTTCCCTGTTTTATGCTCCCATTGCACCTTATGCTTCTGCTTCAAAGCCTCTGCACCCTGGTCATTATTGACTCATCTGGAATTATGTGTGTAAGGGCTGTCTTGCCTGTAATCTAAACTGTAAGCTCCCTGAGGGCAGACTCTGCTTCACCCTCCACTGTCTTCCAATGTGTGGCACCTAGTAGGCCCTCAATAAGTATTTGTTAAGTGATTGAGTGATTAGAATATGAGAGAGACCCCAGATTCAAGGCCATTTCCACCGAGACCTTTTTTTTTTTTTTTTTTTTTTTGAGACAGAGTTTTGTTCTTGTTGCCCAGGCTGGAGTGCAGTGGCGCGATCTCGGCTCACTGCAACCTCCACCTTCTGGTTTCAAGCAATTCTCCTGCCTCAGCCTCCCAAGTAGCTGGGATTACAGGCATCTGCCACCACGCCCAGCTAATTTTTGTATTTTTAGTAGAGACGGGGTTTCACCATGTTGGCCATGCTGGTCTCAAACTCCTGACCTCGTGATCTGCCCATCTCAGCCTCCCAAAGTGCTGGGATTACAGGTGTGAGCCTCTGCACCCGGCCAACCTTTTCTTTCTTTAACTAGACTTCCCTGGCTGAGACCAAGACAAAACCAGATTCCCCTGAGCTGTGCACCTGCCGGGACTGGAGCAGCCCAAATGCCCATGGGAGGGCTGTTGACTGGGGCTGTCAGACCAGGCTCTCCGAGGAGGACTCCCACACCCACAGCCAACTCCACTTTACAAAACCAGCTCCAGCCAGAAGTATGCTCGGGGGGGCAGGAGAACAGAAACTGCAGTAGTGTGGGTGGATTTTAAATCTGCAAATGCAACTGGCTGCCCAATGTTTGGGAGATAAAATAGGTCACTATCCTCCCCTTGGTTCGGCGTCACTCCCAGGCCCTAAAGGGGAGGGAAGAATTTTGTGATCTTTGCTGTCACAGGCTATGGACAAATTTGGTTATGTTCAGCTTTACAAGAGCTGCCCGCCCACCTGACTCTTGTTCACAAGACCCCTAAAAATCAGAAAAAGATCAGTCCAGGCTGTTCAGAGTTGGATGGGGAATCTTCCTGAGGACAGTTTTTAAAGAGTCCATTTTGACACCAGCCAAGACAAAAGCCAGGACCCAGAGTCTAGACAGCTCCCAAGCCTGCCGTTTTCAACTTGGCCTTAGGATGGAGTCTTCTGTTCTCTGGCAATGAATGACAGGCTTTTAAAGGAGTGACAAAGAGCAAGCCCTGGAGAGAGCCCCATGAGGCCTTGGGGTAAGGGCTTCCAGGACTGTTCATGAGAAGCTGTGCATGTCTCCCTCCAGCTTCCCCAGATGAGACACCAAGATTGAGAAGTGAAGAGTCATCTCCAATTTGGCAGACATCCTGACCCTCCACACTCACCATTCTGATATTTAGTCATTACCATCCTGGCATAGTTAACCACTTCTCCTTCTGACTGAGAAGCTGAAAGTGATATTCAGCCTGGGTGTGATGTGGGGATTTTCTGGGACAGGGCGGAGATGATGAGATGCTGGAGTTGCATGAGCTGGTCATTACAGTCAAGACTTGTGAACCAGTTGTGAAACCCTTGGTAACCTGAAATCTGCTATGGTGGGAGTATTTACACTACAGAAATTGGCCAATGCTGCAAATCAGGGTTTCTTTCTTTTTTCAGTGAGACACTGCACCAGCACACACTGCATTACTCACGCAGGAGGAGCTCTGGGAGGGCGGGAGAAAACCATGGGTGAGCAGAGTTGAGGATGTTTGGTGCTTCCCCTGATGGCTTCATCATGTCATCTTTCTTGGCTCTTCATGGTCAGTGTTTTCTCCGTGGAAACACCAAGAGATTCTACCTCTGCTCCGTCAGCAAACAAGGAAGTCATTGATTTTCATGGCCCCTGTGCTAGAGAACTCCAAGAGCCCAACTTCTTCAAGCAGCAGGCCCATTTTCTGGTGGAGAAGAGAGAAGGCAAAGCCAGGGAAGGGCATTTAATAGTGACAACTCAGCGAAAAGTAGAGGCAGCCCAATGATCAAAGGTGTCTTCCTTCAAAGCCCCTGAGTGAAAACAGCAATCCATGCTTACCGATGAAGGCCACAGGTGATGTTTCTTATGTGAGTGCATCCATCTGCTTCAGGTCATATTTTCAGAGGTCATACAAGGCTGAAAGGAAGCAAATCATTTTCATGAGAAGGATAATAAATGAGACCAGGATTGGTATCGAGAAAAGTTTTTAGACATTTCTGAGCTGGCCAGCCTGGGGAAGAAAGTGCTTCTAGATACACAGATTTCCAGGACTCTCCCTGAGAGGGTTAGATTCTGGGGGTCTGCAGATGGGGCCAAGAACCCGTGTTTTAAACAGCCCCTTCCTCACCCCGTGATCCCGCTGATGGCAGCCTGCGGACCGCACTTGGAGGAACTGGTCTAGTGAGGGTCCTCGGAGGGCGTTTTGCAGTGGGTGGAACTGAACTCTGAGTGGGATCTTCCTTCAGTACCTAGGCCCTGCCCTGCCATGGCTATGGATCTTCAGCACTCATCCTTGGGGACTGGTGCTGGGTGTTACGGGAACAGCATAAAAACACAAAACAAAAAAATTCCATTTCTCACCACCGGCGGTGAGAAATGGGGGTGGAGCCTGGAACTGTGGTCACAGGGCTCCAAGAGGAGCAGCCAGGATGCCATTGCACAACCAGCCACCTCTAAGAGAAGCAGGACCAGGCCCAGGGCTAAGCCTTCACAAGCCCTGCCGCCAGCTGCCAGCCACCCTTCCTCCCTGGGAGAGCCAGAAAGGGAAGCATAGTGAAGCCCTACATGGTGGCCTCCATCAACAGGGAGGCCCCTCTCCTCCCTCTGCCGCAGCCATCCTACTTTCGGCCAGAATGTCCCAGGGCCAAACTGAGGACAGGGCGGCCTCTCCAGAATCCTGCCCTTAGGGGCCCTGCCAGAGACTGGTTTTTCTTGTTGGAGGCACCTCTGCACAGTTTGCATTTATAAGGCCTGAAGAACTCATCCCAAGAACCCAAGCCCACTTGCAAAGATGGGATAGAGAAGGGGCATGGCATTCCACAGATGGGCTCACTCTGGAGAGGAGCTACTGACCCAGCAGCAGTTCCCCCTCCCTCACCCCTGCTCACCACCCCAGGAAGACATCCGAATCCCCATCAAATGGTCCCTGCCAAGAGCATCGTGGTAACATGGGGAAAGAGAGGATGCTAAGTTGCCCCTCTGCCCACTGGACTCCGTCTCATCTGAGGAGAATTCCACAGCAGCCCCTTCTGGGCTGTGCTCTTTATGTCTCTAAGCCACTTCCTGTTTCCTTTTCTAGGTCATAAGCCAGGCTTATAGTTGGTGTGAGTCACTTACCTAGGAAGCCCAGAGCACACGGCTGCCTCTCAGGGAGGGAGCAAAGGATACAGCTTAGAAGTGCAAGGCACTGGTTTGCTCCTAAAACACATAGATTGTCCTAGACTTTTAGCAGTGCTGTGTACCATGGCCCCCAAGCAACGCACGCCTGGGAGATCCGTGATTTGCCCAATTTGCGTTCCTCTGCTGATGCCAGGCTTTCAGTTCCCAGGAGGCACCGGACAAGCGTAGTTTTGCAAATGAAACATTGCTTTGCCAAGGGGCTAGGCCTATCAGACAATCATCAGGCAACAGCCAGCAGGCCCTGTGAAAGTCATGGCCAAGAAGCCATTCAAAAGCATTGTCTTCTAGTAACTAAATTTCAAATCCAGGGGGAAACCACAGCTCAGACATCGGCCAGTGTTCAGCAATCTGGATTCACAGGGAAACGGACAGGAATAGATTCTGCACAAGTCTATTGTGCATTGTTTTCCCTTCATGACATCTAGGCAGTTTATTCCTCCTGACTTCCACTACTCACTGCATGAGGATTATTCTGTGGAAACCAGAGTACTAAGGACGAGGCGCTGGATGATTTGGTCAAAGTCAAATGTGCCAAGTCAGCATCGAGCAGCTATTTTTGCCTTCCAATTCCATTCCCTGAACTTTTTTTCTGTGAAAGTGTCTTGTAAGCTGGAACACACCTGAGGTGGCAGAGGAAAAGCAGAGTTCGAATCTCTTCCCCAGGCCTCTGAGTGAGTTTTGCATTCAGGGATGATACTGGGGCAAGGGGCTTGAAAGGTCCTGATGTTGCTGACACCCACATAAAACACTTTCTGCAGCAGGGAAGGGAAGGGGAGAGGAAAGAACAGGCAGAGAAAGACCCAGAAACTCAGATCAGCCTAGGATGAGGGTAGCTGTCCTGAAAACAATCAGAAATCCAGAGTCCTGACTCTCCAGCAGGTATGGTCTTGATCCTAGTGAGATTATCTTCAAAGAGAAAACAAACTCTAGTCATGCAGAGAAGCAGCATTGTTCCATGCAGATCTATAAAAAACAACAGAAAGAGCATCATCCCCTTAATTATTGAGGGAATAGGAAAATAGGAATCCGCATACCCTGCTGTTGAGAATATAAACTGGAAAAACTGAGGTGGGGAATCAGTTGAGGCCAGGAGTTCAAGACCAGCTTGCCTAACGTGGCGAAACCCCATCTCTACTAAAAATACAAAAATTAGCTGGGTGTGGTGGAGTGCACCTGCAATCCCAGCTACTCGGGAGGCTTAGGCTAGAGAATCGCTTGAACCTGGGAGGCAGAGGTTGCAGTGAACTGAGGTCACACCACTGCACTCCAGCCTGGGCAACAGAATTAGACTCTGTCTCAAAATAAATAAAATAAATAAATAACTGGAAAAACATTGCTGATTGGCCACTTGGTAATGTTTGAGGCAGAGACTATGCTTATTCTGGGTCCATTACACTCTTGTTTTCCTCCTGGACACTCAGGAAGACTACACTTTCCAGCCTCCCTTGCAGTTAGGAGCAGTCATGTGACTGAGTTCTGGACAATTGGAAGGTGGGCAGAGGAAGCGATGTGAGTCACTGCCAGGCCTGACCCTAAAACTACCTGTGTAATTCTCCATGCTCTGTCTCTCTCCCTTTACTTATCAGGTGAAATCAGAGCATCCAGTGGAGACGTCCAAGGCCGGTGGCAAATGGAGACCCATCATGTAGGCAAACCCTGGTTCCAGACGACCATGCAGAGTGCCCTCTACTCCCAACCAATGACTTGTGTTGAACTGTGACATAAAAGAGAAATACATCTTTATTGTGTTAAGCCACTGAGATGTTGGCTATGTCTGTTACAATATTTAGCCTATCCTGACTGACACACTATCACAATCCTTTAAAAGGTCATAAGCTTTGACCTAGCAATTAAATTCTTTGGAACATATCCTAAGGAAATAATTAAGAAAATCACCTAGGCTAGGCTCGGTGGCTCATGCCTGTAATCCCAGCACTTTGGGAGGCCGAGGCAGGCAGATCACGAGGTCAGGAGATCGAGACCATCCTGGCTAACACGGTGAAACCCCGTCTCTACTAAAAATACAAAAAAGTAGCCGGGTGTGGTGGCAGGCGCCTGTAGTCCCAGCTACTCAGGAGGCTGAGGCAGGAGAATGGTGTGAACCTGGGAGGCGGAGCTTGAAGTGAGCCGAGATCGGGCCACTGCACTCCAGCCTGGGTGACAGAGCGAGACTCCGTCTCAAAAAAAAAAAAAGAATAATCACCAAAAATTATAAACAGACTGGGCGTGGTGGCTCACACCTGTAATCCCAGCACTTTGGGAGGCAGAGATGAGAGGATTGCTTGAGGCCAGGAGTTTGAGACCAGCCTGGTCAACATAGCAAGACTCCATCTCTAATAAAATTTTTTTAAAAAATTATAAACAACATTAATCTCCAATAATAGGCAACTCATTAAATAAATAATAATACAACTCTACAAAGGAATATTTAGGCACTTAATATCGTTTAAATGTATTTATTGACATGAAAAATTTTCATGATTTAGTATTACATGAAATAGAGTAACAAAGCAACATGGACGGTGTGAGCCCATAACTATTTATATATGTATATGCATGCAAAGAAGAAAGTTTGGAAATATACCAAAAAACAGTGATTATTTCTGGACTACAGGTGGCTTTTAAAAATTATCTCTTTCTTGCAGTTTTATGCTTTTTTTACAATGAGCATATATTTTTCTCAGTTAAAAAAATTTTTTTGGCTGGGTGTGGTGGCTCACGCCTGTAATCCCAGCACCTTGGGAGGCCAAGGCAGGCAGATCACAAGGTAAGGAGTTCAAGACCAGCCTGGCCAATATGGTGAAACCCCATCTCTACTAAAAATACAAAAAAAAAAAATTAGCTGGGAGTGGTGGCGCACGCCTGTAGTCCTAGCTACTTGGGAGGCCGAGGCAGAAGAATCGCTTGAACCCGGGAGGCAGAGGTTGCAGTGAGCCGAGATCACGCCACTGCACTCCAGCCTGGGCAACAGAGCGAGACTCCGTCTCAAAAAGAATTTTTTTTTTAAGTAGCCTGTTGGAAATGGATGGGTCTCCTTTGAACTTTAGGGCTGGCCTTACTCGCTCTCAAAGTGTTAAGTGTAATGAGTGCAAAGGAACCACAGGTCCCTTCCACTCTTCTGGGCTAAAATGCCACCATTAGTAAGGTTAAATACCTATTTTATCTTCACCACTGAGAGCAACTCTCAAGCCCTTCATTCACTTAGCTTCAGGGCTCAGTTCTGACATAGTGCTCTGGCTTTAAGGAAAGATGTACCTTTTTATCACAATGTTTTTCAGGATTTTCTCAGAGTTGCTGGGCCTCAGAACTCTCTTCTTTTGAGTCCTAATTTGGATAATTTGGGAAACTGCAGCCACAGGTCCTCCCTCCCTTGAGATTGGCTGAGTGAGGCAGACTACGCCTACAGCGCAGAAAGCAGGGCAGGAAATCATACTCTAATCATAGGTCTTTATTCAGAAACCCAGCAGCCTCACTACCAAATAACCTCAGGAGTCCTAAAGCCTCAGTGTCCTGACCTATAAGATCAAAGAGTCTCATGTGATGTCCCCAAGTGGACTTTTAATAAAAAGTAGCACTGCCAGTTTCTGTTTTGACCTTCCAACCACAGGATCATGCCAACATTCAGTAGTAAATGCATTTTTTTTTCCTGCCAAATCGACTCCTTGTTCTTTTCAACACATCCTCACACAGAGGGAACAAGCCACTGAGGTTTCCTGTTGAGGAAGGTTCTTTGGTGTTCTGTGAGGAAACCATATATTCAAAGAAACCATGTGTAAGTTTTCTGTGTAGTAGGACAGAACTACCTTAATTTAACTTGATGTCTTTTCGACAAACCATGTACCCCTAACATGAAGAAATGGAAGGAAGGTGTTTATTTTCATCCCAGCTCTTACTCTGCTGCATTGTTCCTGTGTACATTTCTCTTATTCCACAGAGTAGGAGCTTCTTGAGGACCATGACAGTCATTTATTTCTCCCTCCCTGCTCCTGGCACTAGCAGGACCTCCCTTCCTCCCTCTTAACAAAGTTTTCAGTGAATAAGTGAATGAATGAACTTTCCCCTGTTTCCTTATGGGTTTCAACCAGCACAGACTACCTGCCTTTGTTAAAATGGTTCCTGTGTGTCTTTGTCTCTACGGGCACTGTGTTTTATGGGTTTCTCGAAACCTTCCCATGCACACAGTAGTGTAGCAGTAAGATCAGCTACATACATTGTAGGACCCACTGAAAAATGAAAATGCAGGGCCCCTTGTTCAAAAATTATTTACAATGTCAAATTATTCAAAATTAATAAAATTAATTTTTAAACCCTAAATTAAATAGTAAATGATTAAGAATTTCAAAGCTTTGCAGGGTACAGCAGCACAGGCAAGCCTGGTTCTCGTCCACCACATGGCTCAGCTTCCTGTTCCTCCCCTCTGCTCGGAGTCACAGTCCCGAGGCCAGCGGGGTGTTTACCGACTTGGGCCTACCCACACCCTGCCCTGCATCCTGTCACCAGAGTTTCATTTGGAGTCCTGAGCAAAGGTCTCCAATTGCTGATTCTACTGCCAACAGAAAACACTCTCCCCCTTCTGGATGTGTTGGCAGGAAAACCAAATTTTTATCTCTCCAGGTCAGCTAAAATCTTGAGGCCAGTTAACTTTCCCAGTGATCTCATCCGAATCATCCTTCACTTCTGCCCCCAGTGAAACTGAATCTGCACTCTGCCCGACTCTCAGCCCAAGTGAGGTGCCACACCCACACCTCACTTGTCTTCTACTGAGGCCTTTCCTGATAACCCGTTTCCCTGGGTTGCCCTCTCTCACCCTTGAGACCCCTGTTCAGTTGTGAACAGTCTCTCCATTCTATGGCTGCAGACTCTTGACTGAAATCTGTTTGCCTCCATCAAAACTAGATGTTTCCAAGGAAACCACCTGCCCCTGTGTGGCTCTAACAGTTCCCAAGTGGAATCTTCCAGTGCCTCTCCCCACTGCCAGATCTGCCATCACCACAGAAAAGCTGAATTTTCATGTGTGAATCAGCCAGTATCCTGGCCTCAAATTTGTTCACCTCCTTAACTTTGGTGACCATTGTCTCCTCTCCACCTCAGCCATCTCTATATCCTGTACATTCTCAAAACTCAGAACTGAAATGGTAAACTTCAATATCCCTAAACTTATTGAAAACACACAAACTCCAATATCCCACATTCTCATTTCAATTCCTTGGTTTCCAGCATTCATACTGTCAAACATCAGCATTTTTGTGCTCCTCCACATGGCCTGTCTCCATGTGGAGAGCTTGGGCTTCCTCACAGCATGGTGGTCTCGAGGTAGTCAGACTTGCTACATGGTAGCTGGTCTCCAAGAGTAAAAGCAGACGCTGATAAACCTTTTGAAAGTTAGGCCCAGAACTGGCACAGCATCCTCTCTGCCTTGTTCTGTCAGTCAAAGCAAGTAATAAGAAATCATGAGGTGAGTCCAGATTCAATGGAAGGAGAAATAAACTTCACCTCTTGAACAGTGGAGCAGCATGTGTATACAATGGGAGAAGGATTTGATGGTGGCCATTTTTGGACACTGTCTACTACAGAGGAGAGAGAAAATAAATATATAGACAAACAGGAAAATACCAGATAGTAATTGTCAGGCCTCTGAGCCCAAGCTAAGCCATCATATTCCCTGTGACCGGCAGGTATACATACAGATGGCCTGAAGTAACTGAAGAATCACAAAAGAAGTGAAAATGGCCTGTTCCTGCCTTAACTGATGACCTTACCTTGTGAAATTCCTTCTCCTGGCTCAAAAGCTCCCCCACTGAGCACCTTGTGACCCCCACCCCTGCCTGCCAGAGAACAACCGCCTTTGACTGTAATTTTCCACTACCTACGCAAATCCTATAAAACGGCCCCACCCCTATCTCCCTTCGCTGACTCTCTTTTCGGACTCAGCCCGCCTGCACCCAGGTGAAATAAACAGCCTTGTTGCTCACACAAAGCCTGTTTGGTGGTCTTGTCACACGGACGCAAGTGAAAGTAGTAAGAGCTGTTCAGAGAATCGAAACAGGGTGATTTGATGGAGAATGACTGAGGAACTCCTGGAGATTGAGGGGGTTGTCAGGGAAAGTCTCTCTCAGGAAGTGATGTTTAAATTACAACTTGTGGCTGGGCGTGGTGGCTCACGCCTGTAATCCCAGCACTTTGGGAGGCCAAGGCTGGTGGATCATCTGAGGAAAGGAGTTCGAGATCAGCCTGGCCAACATGGTGAAACCCCATCTCTATTAAAAATACAAAAATTAGCTGGATGCAGCGCTAGGCTCCTGTAATCCCAGCTACTCAGGAGGCTGAGGTGGGAAAATCGCTTGAACCCAGGAGGCAGAGGTTGCAGTGAGCTGAGATTGCGCCATTGCACTCCAGCCTGGGCGACAAGAGTGAAACTCCGTCTCAAAAAATAAAAATAGAAATAAATTACAATTTGAAAAGCAAGAATTTCCAGCTGTGTGAAGGTCCAGGCAGGAAGAAGAGCCAGCAGAAATGCTCTAACATGGGACTGAGCCAGGCAAGTTTAAGGAATAGAAAGACCACATGTTAGGAGTGTAGAAAAGGACAGGGAGCATGGGCTGGAAAACAGGTCAGACAAGTGGGAAGGGCCAGATCAAGTGAATCAGGGGAAGGAAGCTGGACTTTATTCCCAGAACCATTCATGGAAAGTGATTGAAGGGTTTGCAGCAGAGAGGGGACATAATATGACTTACATTAGTGAAAGGTCACTCTGGCTGCCTTGCAGAGAACAGGAAGTGTAAGTGTGGAAGCAACAAGACCAGTCAGGAGGCTACTGTGAAAGCCCAGGGGAGATGGTGGCTTGTTCTGGCTGCTGGCTGTGGGGAGGAGACAAAACAGAGATAAGTTTGGTGGCTGGACCAGAAGTTGCTGAGGATTGAGCCTTTGCTGTCTTGGTTCAATTCCCCTTCATGCCCAGGTGATCACTGCAGAAACCTCCTGGTTGGTCCTCACCCACACCTAGCTGTCGGTTAGTGCCCCTCCTTAGAGTTTTGTGGGGGGTTTCTGTTTTGTTGAGACAGGGTCTGCTTCTGTTGCCCAGGCTGGATTGCAGTGGTGCAATCATAGCTTACTATAACCTTGAACTCCTAGACTTCAAGCAATCCTCTTGCCTGGCGTCTGTAGTAGCTTGGACTACAGACAACACCACCATGCCCAGCTAATTAAAAAAAAAAAAAAAAAAAAGATAACTTTTGTAGAGATGGAGTCTCGCTATGTTGCCTAGGCTGGTCTCCAACTCCTGGGCTCAAGTGATCCTCCCACCTTGGCCTCCCAAAGTGCTGGGATTACAGGTGTAAGCCATGGTGCCCAGACCTCCTTAGAGTTTTTAAGATTACTTTAAATTCCATATCGTTGCACACAATGAGACCCTTCATGGTAGGCTCTGCTCCTTCCCACTTAGATTGGTTTCCCATCTCTGTCCCACATAGGCCTTTGCTCCAGCCAGATCTAAGTCTTCACTGTTCCCTGACCATGTCCTGGTTCATGACCCTGTGCCTGGCATGTGCTGTCTACTCTGCCTAAAATATTTCTTCTCCCTCACCTCCATTACTTTGTCTACCCAACTTCTGTTCCTCCCTCAAAATCTAACAGGTGTCACCTCTTCCACTAAGCCTTCCCTGAAACCCCAGTTTTATATAGATTTCTATGCACGTGACACACAACAGCATAAATGTCCAACATCTCTTCCAATTGGTTGGGGTTTCTTAAGGACAGAGACCATCCCTAGAACCCGGCACAGGGCTCCATAAGCTGATGCTATCATTTTCAGCACAGGTTACCCTTGGAGTGTGAAAATGTGTCTTACAAGGTGAAATCACAGCAGAAAGATTTGATAGACCCCCGTAATGAGGTCCTCCATTCTCCCAGGCTGATTCTGGGAGGCTGGACTCATCACTTAAGAAGCCTGCAAGTAAGGGCCGGGCACAGTGGCTCACGCCTGTAATCCCAGCACTTTGGGAGGCCAAGGCAGGTGGATCACGAGGTCAGGAGTTCACTCTAGCCTGGCCAACATGGTGAAACCATGTCTTTACTAAAATCACAAAAATTAGCCGGGCCTGGTGGCGCATGCCTGTAATCCCAGCTACTCAGGAGGCTGAGGCAGGAGAATTGCTTGAACGCAGGAGGTGGAGGTTGCAGTGAGCTGAGATCGTGTCACTGCACTCCAGCCTGGGGGGATACAGCAAGACTCTGTCTGAAAAAAAAAAAAAAAAAAAAAAAGAGAAGCCTGCAAGTCTTCAATGGGAGAACTGACACAAGATCTTCAGGGCTCGACATGCTCCAGGAAAGGTCTGGCCCCTGCACACAATGGTCACCATTACTGCTGGTAATAGCATTGGCTCTTGGCAGAATTAGTACTCAGACCACCATTCTCCCCTCGCTCCTACCCATAGTCTCTGGGAAGATCTGAAAAGCCTACTGCTGTCAACATGAAGTTCACCATAGTGCTTAAAGGTAAATACACTACAAGTGGCTGACTCTAAAATCTATACCCAGACCCGGTCCTCGTTTCTGAACTTCAGACTCTCATATCAAATTGCCTGATGGACTTCAGTACCTAGATATCCTCCAAACTTGGCAAAACTGAACTCATCGTTTCTCTTGCCCCCATATACTCATAAGTGGCAGCCCACTGGGAATGACTGATGGATGTCTCTTGAGTTCATCCCCTTCATTGCCATTGCCAGGATCCTGTTGCAAGCCCTTAGCTTCTCTGGCCTGCAGAACCACCTGAGCCCTTCCCCAGCCTCCCTCTTCCTGGCCTCATCTTCCTCAGGTACCCAGAGCATCTCTCCAAAATGCAAATCTAATCTTGTCGTTCCTCTCTCACAAAACCCTTAATTGCTCAATGCAGGTTATCAAACTTTAGTTTGCATCTGAATTGCCTTATAAGCTTCTTAAAAAATGCAGATTCCTGAGCCCCCTCCAGACCTCCAAAAATCCAAAGTTCTGTGGGTGGAGTGATGCACATTCTCAACCAGTGCCCAAGGGGTTCTGATAGAGCTGGGTTCCACTTTGAGAAACACTGCCATGCACAGGCAACTCCAAGTTCCATCATTCACTCCACCGGGCCCTTCTCAGGCCAGGGACACCTCAAGCAAGGTCTGTGTCATCCACTGCCTCCTGACACACCCTACTCTCCATGGTATGGCTTACCTTCCACCTTTGCTCTATCTTGCCTGGTGCCAAGAATGTCTTCTTCGAAAGACCGAGCCCTTTTTTCATTCCGATAACTCAATAATCCTTTGGAACGTTGCTACTCAAAGCATCAGCATCTCCTGGGATCTTGTTAGAAATTCAGAATCGCAGGCCCCACCCCAGCCCTACTGAATCAGAGCCTTGGTAATTCCAATGCACATAAGAGAAGAAGAAGCACAGCCTTATAACTTGGCTCAATAGTCACCTGTTCCAAGAAGCCTTCCTAAGCTGACACAGACTCATCAAATACCCATTCCTCCAAACTGACATTGGACATCACAATCACAGGGCTTGTAACATTTAAAAGTTAGGAATCTCAAGCTGCCGGGGGATCCCTGCACGCCATGCCACATCCTGCCTGTCTGTCCCCGCGGGTCGTTGCCCACGACAGCCGCGCCATGACCACCCAGCAGCTCGTCCTCCAGGGCCTGGGCCCATGGGGCTTCCGTCTCGTGGGTGTCAAGGACTTCGAGCAGCCTCACTATTTGCCGGGTCACTCCTGGAAGCAAGGTGGCTCTAGCTAATTTATGTATCAGAGATGTAATCACAGCCATTGATGGGGAAAATTCTAGCAATATGACGCACTTGGAAGCTCAGAACAGAATCAAAGGCTGCAAAGACAACATGACTCTCACTGTAGCCAGATCCGAACATAAAGTCTGGTCTCCTCGGTGATGGAGGAAGAGAAGTGTCGTCCATACAAGATGAATTTAGTCTCTGAACCCCAGGAGGTCCTGCACATAGGAAGCGCCCACAACCGAAGTTCCATGCCCTTTACCACCTCGCCTGCCTCCAGCACTAACGCCAGGGTCATCACAAACCAGTACAACAACCCAGCTGGCCTCTACTCTTCTGAAAATATATCCAACTTCAACAACGCCCTGGAGTCAGACTGCTACCAGCGGGGTAGAGGCGAACATGCTCAGCCTCCAATCAGCCTTGTCATCGACAAAGAATCTGAAGTTTGCAAGGTGCTTCAGGAGATACGGGAGTTGAATGAGCCCCCAAAACAGTCTGTGTCTTTTCTGGTTTTGCAGAAAATCCTGGAGTCTGAAGAAAAAGAGGATCCCAACAAGCCCTCAGGATTCAGAAGTGTTAAAGCTCCTGTCACTAAAGTGGCTGCATTGATTGGAAATGCTCAGAAGTTGCCTATGTGTGACAAATGTGGCCCTGGAATTGTCGGTGTGTTCGTGAAGCTGTGGGACCGTCACCGCCATCCCGAGTGTTACTTGTGCACTGACTGTTGCACCAACCTGAAACAGAGGGACCATTTCTTTGTGGAGGATCAAATCTACTGTGAGAAACATGCCTGGGAGTGAGTCGCACCACCCGAGGGCTATGAAGTGGTTACCGTGTTCCCCAAGTGACCCGGCAGATCCGACCACTGTTCTCCAGCCGGCCTGTGCTGCAGCTTTTTCTCTGAGTGTCCTGGCCCTCTCCTATCTTGAAAGTTCTCTGCTTACTTTGGTTTTCCCCCTGCTCGTAAAACATTGAGTCCCCTGCCTTGGTTAATTGATTCACACTGGTTGTGTGATGCCCGTTTTTACAATTAAAGGAAAACAGTTTTGTTCAGTGTCCCCTTGCCAGAAACACCATGTCCTTTCCTCCCCTCTCTTCTTCTCTGCTGCATTTAGACATCAGCCAAATTTGAACCCAATCAAATATAATGTATCTGACATCGATTTTGTTTTTACTCAATAAATTTATAGACTCCAAAAATAAAAAATAAAAATAAATAAAAGTTAGGAATCTCATAGTCCAGTCCCAGAGAACTGTCAGATTTAAAGAGTGGCCCAAAGAAGAATTCCAATGCCATTATCCCCAAAGCCCAGGGAACACTCCTTTTTCATTCTTGCAGTCCCATGCCCCATCTTGGCACCTTGCCCCCTTTCTTCTCTGCTGGTGTTCAGCCCCACAGGAGGTGTTTCCGACATGCCCGGTCCCCCTGTCTCATCTGGCCTCTGTGGCGTGGTTCTTCTTCGGCACTGCTTTTCTCCTGAGAATCTTGCTGGGTGGCTCCGTCTCTTCTCCTTTCAGAGAGTGGGGCAGGTGGAAGGAATGAAGTGGGCAGTGCCTGGTGTTCTCAGTGGGTTCTGGGCTGTCATAGAAGTGCCTCTTCATGTTTCTCTCTCTCCCATCCTTGGACAGCAAGAGTCCTGTTCATTGTTGGACACCCAACATGTCCCTCACATGGTGGGAAGAGCACCAGCCCAGGGGCCAGAGGACTGTTCTCACACCCGGCTCTGCCACGGACTAGGGATGTCACCTGGGGCAGGCCCCTGTACCTCTCTGGACCTCTAGTTATTGGTCTATTAAAGGGGATAATACTTGCCCAGTCGGCCTTACACCTTCCATAAGATGTTTCTTTTCTTTTCTTTTCTTTTCTTTTCTTTTTTCTTTTCAGATGGAGTTTCATTCTTGCTATCCAGGCTGGAGTGCAGTGGCACGATCTTGGCTCACTGCAACCTCCACCTCCCAGGTTCAAGCCATTCTCTTGCCTCAGCCTCCTGATTAGCTGGGATTACAGGTGCAGGCTGCCAGGTCCAGCAATTTTTTTTTTGTATTTTTAGTAGAGATGGGGTTTCACCATGTTGGCCAGGCTGGTCTTGAACTCCTGACCTTAGGTGATCTGCCCGCCACGGCGTCCCAAAGTGCTGGGATTACAGGTGTGAGCTACTGCGCCTGGCCCCATAAGATGTTTCTACAAAGTGAAGACAGTACCTGGGTATGACACATAGGCATGCATGCACGCACGTGCGTGCACACGCACACACAGACACACACACACACACGCTTATACTCACAGCCACTCCATCTCGGTGCTGTTCATCAGCCAAAACAAAAGACAGCAGAATCCCATCTTTCTTCCATTTTCAGTGCTGCCGCAATGGTCTGCATGAGTGGCCTGGCTGACACCCTCAGAGCACCAACAATGCTGAAAAGAGAAGCAGACACCAGGTTCTTTTTTTCTCTTTCTTTCTTTTTTTGAGACAGAGTCTTGCTCTGTCACCCAGGCTGAAGTGCAGTGGCGCGATCTCGGTTCACTGCAACCTCCACCTTCTGGGTTCAAGTGATTCTCCTGCCTCAGCCTCCCAAGTAGCTGGGACTACAGGCATGCACCACCAAGCCTGGCTAATTTTTGTATTTTTGGTAGCGACGGGGTTTCACCATGTTGGCCAGGCTGGTATTGAACTCCTGATCCCAAGTGATCCACCTACCTCAGCCTCCCAAATTTCTGGGATTACAGGCATGAGCCAGTGTGCCTGGCCAACACCAGGTTCTTATTAGGCTGTGCTCCAATATCATCATCTGGTTTCTCATTGTGATGATGAAGCTTGATAACTTTGGAAAATTTGAAATCGTCGTTGATCCTAGAACTGAGAAAATTGTTGTGACCCTCACAGGCAGGCTAAATAAATGTGCAGTGATCATCTCCAGATTTACTGTGCAACTCAAAGACCTAGAAAAATGGCAGATTAGTCTCCATCCCATCAGTTTGGTTTTATTGACCTGATGACTGAAGCTGGCATCATGGACCACGAGGAAGCACGAGAAAGGCACAGAGGAGAGAAAACCCTGGGATTCTTTTTCTGGGGATGAAATACATGATTACAAATTAAATGCTTCCCTCAATAAACAAAACCGAGAGAGAGAGAGAGAGAGAGAGAGAGAGAGAGAGAGAGAAGAGAGTGAGCAAAGCCCCAGGTCAGTTGTCTGCCGGCTGCTGCTCTGAGTCTCAGCCAGAGCTCTGGACGAGGAGGAACTCAATCCCCTTGGCATCCCCATGAGTGCCTAGAGTGGAGATTTCTCCTCTGCAGCAAACTGGGTATCTAGTACATGTGGACGTTCTCACTGAGGAGTGTTTCAGAGCCATTAGCAGACACAGAAGTATTCTGGCCATCCAGGGAGTTGGTCGCAGCTCGCTCTAGCAGAGGAGTGAGGGACTAGGGGCCCGGGAGTTAGCATGCTTGCCTAGGACATCTGTGGAATCTTTATTTTCCCTTTTTTCCTGCTGAATGAGGTGAGAGAGTTCTCTAAATGGGTATGGGGTCAAGGAACACTTATTATTTTTGGAATAGTTACAAAGATCTCTCAGGCATAAATGAGACTTGGAAACTGGACTACTCCTCCCCTCCCCACTTCCATTTGATGAATGACAGCTCTTCATGTATGACACACCTACCATGTGACATGCACTGTATTAGATGCTTGACTTCTGTTGTTTTAGTTGGCACGTTCTTTTCACACAGTTGAAAATGAGGCCCAGGTGCTCACGTGATTTTTAGAACCTAGGGTAGAGCCTGGAGCATCTGCCCTTCACCTCCATCTTCCTCACTCTGTCAGCCTTTCCCAAGGCATTCTCAGTAGAGGCCTAGTCTGGGGGGACCTTCTGTGGTCAGATGAATTGGTTGGGCACTGTCAGCACTTTATGTGCCCCTTGGTTTCAGGATGCTGTGAGCTGAACATCACAGGATACCCTAAGGCCTAAACTACAAAGTGACAAACCCAAAGGGCCATTCTGGGGTGGTTAATGCAGCAACTTAACAGCATCAAAGATCAAGACCAGTTTCTCTGAGATTTTCTTGGCTTTTCCCTCATGATTCCAACAGGACTGCAGTAGCGCCAAGCCCATGTCTTCACATGACAATGTCCTAAGGCAGGAAGGGGCAAGTACTCATCCTGTGTCATGTTTTAAGAGCCAAGAAATCCTTCCTAGAGGTTCCCAGGGCCGATCGTCTTTGCATTCGTTACATGCAGGACCACAGCACATGGCTATAACTAAAGCAGTTACTGAAGGAAAATGGCTCCGACCTGTGAACATTTCATCCTGGGACCAGGGAGGAGCCCATGAGACACACAGGTGCTATAAACCAACAAAACTGAGGGTCTCTCAGCAAAGGCGTGCGGCAAGGAATGTTGAGCAGGAAACCAACACGGTTTTCCATACCCTTCTTGAAGATTTGCATTGCACATTAATATGTTTAAGGCTCTATTGTAAAGAAAGGTATTTTACTTCTTTTTTTTTTTTTTTTTTTTTGAGACAGAGTCTCACTCTGTCACCCAGGCTGGAGTGCACTGCCGTGATCTCAGCTCACTGCAAGCTCCACCTCCCGGGTTCATGGCATTCTCCTGCCTCAGCCTCCCAAGTAGCTGGGACTACAGGCACCCGCCACCACGCCCGCTAATTTTTTGAATTCTTTAGTAGAGACAAGGTTTCACCGTGTTAACCAGGATGGTCTCGATCTCCTGGCCTTGTGATCCGCCCACCTCGGCCTCCCAAAGTGCTGGGATTACAGGTGTGAGCCACCACGCCCGGCTGGTATTTTACTTGTTTTAACCCAGTGCTTCCCAGACTTTTTTTTTTTTTTTTGAGACAAGAGTCTCGCTCTGGAGTGCAGGCTGGAGTGCAGTGGTGGGATCTCGGCTCACTGCAACCTCTGCGTCCCGGGTTCAAGCAATTCTCCCGCCTCAGCCTCCTGAGTAGCTGGGATTACAGGCGTGCACCATCATGCCCGGCTAATTTTTGTATTTTTAGTAGATTCAGGGTTTCACCATGTTGGCCAGGTTGGTCTTGAACTCCTGACCTCAAATGATCCACCCGCCTTGGCCTCCCAAAGTGCTGGGAATTCAGGCATGAGCCACTGCGCTCGGCCCAGACTTATTTTTTCTTGGAGTTCTTATTAACTCCCTGCAGACACGGTGAGCAAAACTGGGTCCGCCATGCTGTTTTCCTCAGTTAAACGACTGTCCTGAGAGCTCTTTGGCACAGCCGTGCAGCCAGATAGTGCCCTTTGCAAACACCAGAGAACAATGAGAGCTAGAAGAATGGCTGGGTTCAGTCATTTGAAGGAAAGAGTTTTCTTTGGCTCATTTAATGGGAAATAAAGGCAAGAGTTCTTTCCTGTGGGCTTCTTTTCCTTTTGGCCATTCTAAATTAATAGGTTTAAGACATTACTTTTAGTTTAATTTCTTTCCATTACACTTTCAGTACTCCAGTGCCACCAGGGAGGGCAGCAATGACTGCTTTTAATAGTGATTAAAGACGGACCCATGGTTAGGTCAAACCAGGCCTGCACCTCCTCCCATGCTGCACGTGCATCGGCATCAGCAAAGCCTGCAAGAATGCTCTTGAGTGATGACTTCCCCATGGCCACTTGTCTGCAGCAAGCAGCCTGCCAGAAGCCGGGACAGCTGGCAGCCCGTGCCCACCAAGCTCTCAGCCCCAAAACCTCTCCTTCTCTCTCCTCCTCAGTCCTCCTGTCTCCCCACCCATAGTGTGTTCTCTAGCAATACATCCATTAGTTGTTTCCCTGCTGCTAGACATCTAGATTACTTAAACTGCTTTTGCTGTTGGAAGCAATGCCTCCCTGAGCATGCGTGTGAGCATTTCTCAAAGGTAGATCCCAGAACGAGGAATCACTTGGTTCACCAGGCTTGCACATTTAAAAATGTGACAGATACAGGCTTTTAAACTGCTCCATCGCCTTGGTGCAGAATGGAACTCCTGAGAGGTGAGGTCAGCGAGAAGATGTGAGTGGCTCTGAGCTGACGTTAGCCTGTGTGTTCCTGTCCCAGCACTCACACCGTGCAGGGAGGGAGAAGTTACGAGTGGCTCTGAGCTGGCCAGTGGACCGCATGTTCCTATCCCGGCAGTCACACAGTGCAGTGAGAAGATGTGTGTGGCTCTGAACTGGCCGGTGGACCGCGTGTTCCCGTGTGGCACTCACACCAGGCAGTGAGAAGATGTGTGTGGCTCTGAGCTGACGGTAGCCTGCGTGTTCCCGTCCCGGCACTCACACCCGTGCAGTGTTGCTTCTCCTGCACTTGCTGATCCTATAATTGATATAGGGAAGGGCCTGGTAATGGATTGTCTCAGGGGGAAAAAATGATTCCCCTTCTATGTTTCTGCTCAGTCATTTCCTCTTCCGCCGGGGTGGGATGAGATAGGAATAGGAAGGGTTTGAGGAAAGAAGTCCTTTGTTTAAAAATAGCAGAGAAGTGCTGCTTGGTAATTTCCCTGATTTTTACTCACTGAAGAACCTGACTCCAGCTCTTCTTGAGTTTGGGATGGACAATGGAATGGCTTGGCGCCATCCTAGGCTCTGTCATGCGTTCATGCAACAAGCATTTGTTGAACACCTCAGGGGTATAGCATACTGATTGATCAGGGCATCACTGGCCTTCATGCAGATGTGGGGTCCTGGGAGCCCCCTACTATTTGAGTCAAGGCCTGTTTCATTGTTCTTGACTGAATGTTTGTGTTTCTCCCAAAATTCTTATGTTGAAGTCCTAATCCTCAGGGCAATGGTATTTGGAGATGGGGCTTTTAGGGAGGTAATGAGTTAGGTGAGGTCACAAGGGTGGGGGGCCTCGTTCTGATGGGACTACTGTCCTTTAGAAGAAGGAACACCAGAGAGCATGCTCACTCTCTCTCCCCCCTCCCCATGTGAGCACTTAGCAGGAAGGCAGCTGCCTGCAAACCAGGAAGAGAGACCTCACCAGGAACCAGATTAACTCGCACCCTGATCTTGGACCCGGAACTGTGAGAAAATACATTTCCGTTGTTGAAGCCACCTAGTCGATGGTATTTTATTATGGCAGCCCAAGAAGACTAAGACAGCTGGGTAGCTGGGAGGTGCCATGGGGAGCACACAGGGACTTGGGGAGTGACCAGCCACCCACTGGTACAGAAGTATTTCAGTATTTCAACAACAGATACAAAAATGCTAGCACCAGCACTGTTCATGGGGTTTACATGCTAGTGAGAAGAGACAGACAATATACAAAATAAGCAAAATAAATAGTGTGTCAAATGGTGTAACCTCTGTGGAAACAAACAAGGCAGAGAGAGAATTAGCAAGTGCCTTGGAGGAGGGAGGTTGCTACTTTATGTTGTACAAAGAAGGAAAGAGAAGGAGAAAGGCGTGCTCCCTATCCTTTAAGGCACACTATCATTTAAGGGCATTTTACAGAAGTTGTGCACACTTACTTATTCTTAAAGCCTCTTGCTCAGAACTTAATCATACAGCCACACCTTGCTGAGAGAGAAGATGGGAAACACAGACCAAATTCTGGAAAGCCATGTGCACAGCTGTGGGTCAGGGGAGGTGGGGGTCTCTGCTACTGAAGGTGCAGAGACTAGGAATTGGGAGGCCACCAGCCACAACAGGGGAATAACATGACTGGATTGTGTTGTAGAAAGATAATTTTTCAGGATCTGTTGGGAGACAGTTCTCCATGCGTCTCTAGCATTTGTGGGTGTCTTATGAGCAGGAGCACTCACTGCCTCTGTTCTGGAATCTCTTTCCAAAGGCATTTGAATAGCAAATAGCCTTGGAAGACAAGACTCTCCCTTTGGAGCAAAGTACAGGCATGCTTAGTGCCTAGTATAAGAAAGATAATGTCTTCTGCAGAAGAGGTCAGAGACTTATTGCCTATCATAAAAGATGCTGATTCTCTAAGCTCAGCATTCCTCCCCTCTAACACAACCCACTGTGTGTGCAGGTGCAACTGGGCCTTCTTTATGTTGACCTGTGGAAATTGGAGCCAAGGGAACCAGCATAAGAACATATACTTAATTTCCACTTTACAAGAACAGATATATATATATGTAATTATTCCCATGTATCAAGGGAAAATTGTACCTTTACAATGAAAAGATCTGGCAGACACCACCTTAACAAGGTGATCAAACTTAACACACCAATAACTGACATCATGTGTCTCTTAATGTGATACACTGAAAAGAATCCAGTGTTATCTCTGTTAAAAATATACAGCATGACTCTAATCATGAGGAAAAAGCAAATCCAAATTGAAGGATACAAAAAATGCTAATATGATGAAATATAAAAAAGGACAGGAAAACAATTCTAGGTTACGGGGGCTAAACAGATAAGACAACTAAATGCAATTTGTTATCCATGATTGGCTCTTGAATTGAAAAGGGAAAAAAAACTATCATAATATCTTATATCCATAAACAAATTCCACTTGGCAAAATTGAATGTGGATATATATTAATATTAGATATTATTATATCATTGTTAATATTTCTTTTCTTTTTTTTTCCTTTTTTTTTTAGACAGAGTTTCAATCTTATTGACCAGGCTGGAGTGCAGTGGCGTGATCTTGGCTCACTGCAACCTCTGCCTTCTGGTTTCAAGCGATTCTCCTGCCTCAGCCTCCCAAGTAGCTGGGATTAGAGGTGCCTGCCACCACGCCTGACTAATTTTTTGTATTTTTAGTACAGATGGGGTTTCATGTTGGCCAGGCTGGTCTTGAACTCCTGACCTCGTGATCCACCTGCCTTGGCCTCCCAAAGTGCTGGGATTATAGGCATGAGCCACAGCGCCCAGCCCTGTTAAATTTCTTGAATGTGATCACGGTATTGTGACTGTGGGGAAAATGTTCGCATTCTTAGGCAATACATGCAGAAATATGTAGGGGAGAAGTGTCATGGCATCAGCAACTTATTTTCAAATGGTTCAGAAAAAACACACATACATGAATATATAGGGAAAAAGAGAACATAACTGTCACTAAATGCTAATAACTGGTGAATCTAGGTGAAGGGTATGTAGGTATTCACTGAATTATTCTGTCAACTTCTTTGTAGTTGGATTTTTTTAAAACAAAAAGTTGGAGAACATGGAAAAGAATCCTGGTGGCCTGTGAAGGATGGATGGGGGCAGGGGGTGGACCTGGTTTGGGGACAGCTGTACTGGGAGCTCTGTCCCCTCAGGAAGTCTCTCTCCACCACTCATCATGGCTTCTCCCTGCAGCATGTCCCCTCGCTGCTGCAGGCAGGCTTTGCCAGGCTGCAGATGCATGGCCACAGGCCCCTCTGGATTCCCAGCCTTCCAGCAAGCATCTAGAGAGAAAAGAGCCTGCTGCAGCTAGAAAAACCCTGGGATCTAATGAGCTCAGCTTGGGTCATGTGCTCCTCCCAACTCCCACTCCTACCCCTGCCAACCACCCATTGGGTCAGACCCATGCACTCCAGGCACTGAGGGGAGAGCTAGGAGGGAGAATCAATCAGACTCGGGAGGGAGAGGGCAGAGCAGCAGAGGGTTAAGGATGAGCCAATGGTTTCTAACTAGGGGGACTAGGGAAGGCAGCCTTAACTGAAAGAGAATACAAGACAAGCCAGTTTGGGTGTTCTGTTTTGAACTCGATAAATTCAGAAGCTTTGCGAGGATCTAGGGGGAGAATCTCACAGATTGCTGGGAATACAAATCTGTAGCTCAAAAACGCATTGGCAGTGCCTGCTGCTTGATGAAGGCATGGGTGTGCGGGCTTCATCTGGAGAATGCGGAAGATTCCATCATGCCTAGCAGGCTAGCACGGAGCCCCCTCTCCTTGTAACCAGGCTCGTTGGCGACAGAGATCCTGGCAAATTATGAGGAAGTAGAAGCTGGGAGCCATTCAAAGTCATCACATCCACGTTTCTCTTCAGGGACTCAGCCAGGGCCGCTCCTGCTGCTTGTTCCAAGGCACACTGGGAGTTGTTGGGCAAATATTTGCACAACATTTAGGCCCTAAACCTGCAATGGCCTGAGCCCCTCCATGACAGAGCCTCCTACCCGGGTGCAGGCAGCTCTCTCAGCTTCTCCATCAAACCTAGCTACAGCAAGGGCTGTTGAGCCACTCCAAGCTCAAGTCTGGTTTTCCAGAAAAGATGTCCTGCCAAGAAATGTGTTACTGAAGAGGGAAAGGGAAATATAACCAAAGGCCAGGGTACTGGCACCTTTCTCCTGTCCTCTCCTGAAAACAGGGACCTCTGCTTCCTTTTGCCTTCTTGTTCTGTGTTCAGGAAAAGTTGTGTCTGTGGTTAATCTCTCGAGATCCGGAGGGAGTTGGAAATGGGTTTGAATTCCAGTTTCCCCATCCCCATCACTTCCTTGGGAGTCAGTGAAAGTCACTGAGGTAACACAGCAGAGCGCTCGGCATATGAGAAGCGTGAGCCAAATGTGAGCTGTTCTCTCCCAGGAGCGTGTCTGAATGGGGCTGGAGATGGACGCCTCCTTTCCTCATTTCTCTCAGACCTCCTGGGGTGGTTTCCTGTCACAGAACAGAAGCAATTGCCTCAAATCAGATACCCAAGGATGCTGCAGGGAGAAGAGGCTGGAAGAGGGTGGCTGGGGTTTCACTTGTGTAAGCCACACACCTAAAATAAGCCCCCGCAGGAGACTCTGGGAATTTCCTGTAATTTTCACTGTAAATGTCCTATTTATAAAGCTGAGTCACTGCAAGCCGTTGTTTCACAACCACCCAGCATGTGGAGACAGGCCGGCACAGGAAACAAGGAGCATACCCCAAAACGCAGGCCTCACTCATGGCCTTTGGGGGTTCCCTGGGGCCAGCCTGGGCCTGGCCGTTCAGCCCCTGTAAACACCTCCACAAACTCAGGATTTGGGTCACTGGGCCAGGCTTACGCTCTCATCCCCCATTAGCCCTTTTTCTGGCTTCTTTGCTCCAAAATAGTCTTTTTTTTTTTTTTTTTTTTTTTTTTGGTTATACATTTACAGGAAAAGTCTGGCTTCTTCGAGAGTTGCTTACAGACAGTGCCAGGCCTGTCCCCTCTGGAGACCTGAAGGGTCTGGCCTTAAGTAGGATCCAGGGCAACTCTCTGCTTTCCCACATGAATAGACCTGCCTGGATGCCTCTGCTCATCACCACCTCTATAAAACAAACAGATTCTCCCAGGACAGATTCCATACGTTCAGGGCTCAGGGTGCCTGAACCCAGAATTCATTAAAAGCAGTGAAGGGGCAAAAACGGGAGCAGATGTCAGCAAAGCACAACTGCACTTAGCAAGTTCACCTTTCCATCCAGAGTTCCTTGCAGGAGGGGCCAGGAGGGAACACAAAACCCTCCTCACTTCCTGATTTTACAATCACTCAGCTAGCGGCTACAATCAGGGTCACTAATCACAGCTGTTGAACCAGGCCGCCACATCCTGCCACCAGCAGCCCCGGAAGACACTGTGCAGAGCAGGAGGCAACCCTATGCCACTGGTTCTCTGGTGTGCAGAGAAGTCTCCAAATCAAAGAAACCTTAATGCTTAGTGACAGCTTCTCGTTAAACAAGGTAAACAGTGGTCCAGTGAAAACATTCTCAATGTTGCTGAGAATGTTTCCCTCAACACACTTCTTTTTGGGAGCCAGCTCAGAGGCCCAGCTCTGTGTGCCTTGTGGGTTCAGCTCTGATTTCTGGGAGCCCTGGGAATGTAGGAGGTTTGGACCCTGAGAAGTCCCTGGGCCGGCAGTGCTGTGTGTCAGTGTCAAGGCAGTGCAGTGGCATGGGGCAAGGCCTCTGTGAACTAGTCAGCGGGGAAGGGGCGGGAGGGCATTGCCAGGTGCCCAAGGCTATCTCCAGTGCCAGAGCTCCTCCCTCCCCGTCCCCACATTATGTGACCAAAGGTCTTTGGGTGTTGCTGCCGGATGGTGGGTCTTCTGGTCCAGCTGCTCTCTAACACCTGATGCCCTTTTATCACCCTCTGTCTCTCATACTTCCCAGGCCCCGGCCTGAGCCCCAACCCAGGCAAAGTCCCCTGAAGTCGCTATTCCTTTCCTTATTCTTTATTTTCATCGCCACATCTCTCTCTCTCTCTCTCACCCCCGTTACCAGAGAATTTAGGCTACCTTTTCTCCATCAGCATGGCCCGTGGCCCGACAGCAAATGTCTGAATGTGTGTGTGGTAGCTGGCACTCAGCTTCTCATGAGCTCCGTGATGTGAGCTCCATCTATGGAGGACACAGATGTTAGTGTCACAAAAACCCAGGCATTTTCAACTCCTGTCTAGTGAGTCACCCTTCCCCTAAGCCCCACCCCCACCTATCACAGAGATTAACTGGGGTTGGGGGAGGGTGCTTCTTACTGTAGCAGTAAAAAAACAAAGTAACCTGTCAATTTAGAAAAAACAGATTCAGGCCCAGTGCAGTGGCTCATGCCTGTAATCCCAGCACTGTGGGAAGCTGATATGGGCAGATTGCTTTGAACTCAGGAGTTCAAGACCAGCCTGGGCAACATGGCAAAACCCTACCTCTACAAAAAATTAGCCAGGCATCATGGCACATGTCTGTGGTCCCAGCTACTCCAAAGGCTGAGTGGGAGGATCAACTGAGCCCAGGAGGCAGAGGTTGCAGTGAACCAAAATCGTGCCACTGCATCCAGCCTAGGTGACAGAGACCCTGTCTCAAAAAAAGAAAAAGAAAAAACAGATTCAAACCAATTAGAACTCAGAAGGTTCAGCAAGTTCACCAGACACAAAATCTACCTGCAAAAATCAACAACATCTCTGTCCACCCACAATAACTGCTGAAAAATATTATTAAAAAGATACCATTTACAATAGCAGCAAGAATTACAAAATATATCTAGGTAATAGCCAAGAATACCCAAAACTTCTAAAAACATGTCTTAAATTCTAATAAGGAAACATAAAATGATCTGAATAAATAGAGTACATTCCACATTTTGGGTAGGATGACCTCATGTAAGATGACTTACTTTGGATGACATTTATAAAGACCTAGTTATATGAACAATGAACCTATAAATTTAATGCAATGCTAATCAAAATTCCAACTGGATTTCTTTTTGAGAAACTCAATGGAGAAATAATTAACTTTTACAAAGAAGAGTAGAGGGGAGACTTGCCCAATTACCTACACTACAAAATCAGAATAACAGTAGCAGTGCCAGCTCCGTGGCAGTCCAGTAGACTAGCAGAAAAGCATGGGTAGCTGGGCAACACACTCCGGTCCTTTAGGAACTACACAGAGAGAAAGTTAACCCAGCAAACACAGGTCCTCAGTGGGCTCAGCCACCAGTGGAGGTTTTGCTGGGATATTTTGCTACACTACTATCATTGCAACAAGTATACCTAAGGGATAACAAAACATGTGCCTCAAGGTCCCCGTGTGACTTAAAATGCACTACATCAAACTGGCTCTGTGGAAAGAACAGGACTTAACCGTTCAGCAGGCCTAACTCTCTGGAGCTGCCCCTGAAGTCCGCAGCAGCTACACGTCCTTCATGAGGCCAGATGTGCAAAGCCGGGCCCAGAAAGCTGAGGTAGGTCCCTGCACAAGGCCACAGGGCTTCCATCTCTCTCCACAGAAAACACATCGCAGAGCTCATGAGAAGCTAAGTGCCAGCTACCAGGAGTGCTGGAGGGTGAGCTGGAGGAGGTGGCCTTAGGTGGAGATGAAGGGACAGGAGTCCACAAAGCAGGCCCACTCTGAGTGTCCAGCAATGCTAGGTAAAATTCACAGGTGGAAATCCTAGGCCCCAGGGTGACGGTGTTTGGAGGTGGGGCTTTGGGAGGTGATTCGGTCTTGGGGACAGAGCCCTGAAGAGCCCTTTAATGGAGGGGATTAAAGCCCTTATGAAAGAAACCCCTTCTGCCACAAGAGGACTCTGGGAGAAGGCGCTCTCTATGAACCAGAAATCCAGCCCTCACCAGACACCAAATCTGCCAGCGCCTTGATCTCAGACCTCCCAGCCTCCAGAACTGTGGGAAATAAATGTCTATCCAGTCTGTGGATTCCTGTCCTAGCAACCCAAATGGACTAAGACAAGCATCTTTTACTTCAACTAATTCAAGCAGATGTTCAGCTCTCCTGAATTACTAAAAGCATACACATTTTTAAAAATAGAGCATACAAATCAAATCTCAAGCATTTTGTGTCCACTCTCTTTAGCTCCTTGTCGCTCGTCTCATGTTTCTGTAAAACCACATTCTTTCCTCTCATTTTCGGTGGGGTCTGTCTGGGTTGTGCTGTAGCAACAAAAAATTTCCAAATCACAGAGGCTTTACACATTGATCATTGATATTTGAGCACTGATCATTGCTGAAGCTGAGTAATGGGTACAACAGGTTTGATATTATATATATGCATATATATATTGTATTGTATATATACATATATATTTGAAATTTTCAATAATAAAAGGTTTTGTAAATCTCCATGGCTTAAACCCACAAAGGCTCGTTTCTTGCTCATCTTCCATGTCCCTCATGGATCAGCAAGGTCTCTACTCCACTTCATCCTCATCCAGAGACACAGGCTAGCCAGCCTCCACCCTCTAGATTATTACTCACTACCGTAGCACCAAAAAGGAACCACGGGGAGAGCATGTGATGGTTCTTCAGGCTTTTGCCTGAAAGCGAAACCCATGACTTCTGTTCACATTTCATCAGCAAAGCAAGCCACATAGCCACACCTAATTTTAGTGGCTCAAAGACAAATGGATCTACTATCTACTCAGTAGAAAGGGAACTGGAAATATCTGGTAAACAGCACTAATGATGACCACAGCCACGAAGAGATGTAAATCTAGAAATTCATTCAGAAAGAAGCCCTGATATGCCATAGAGTTGTTCCCAATGGGTTTCACCCCCAACCAAAACCAAACACTCAGTTTTCTCCATTTTAATAAAACATTCAAACTTATACTAAGACTGGGAGTTCCACAATGTCAGGGACAGTTTATATAACTTCTTTACTTTTCCAGTACCTAACAAACACAGCCCATTGAGAACTGTCCCTGACATTGTGAAACTCCAACCTTGATATAAGTTTGATTGTTTTATTAAATGATAAGAAATGTCTTCTTATTGTCTTCCCTCTGTACTGTTTGTGTCCCATTTTCCTCTTCCTATAAGGATGACCGTCCTCTTGGATTAGGGCCCGCCCTACTGACATCTTAATTTGATTACCTCTGTAAAGACCCCATTTCCCCACACAGTCACACTCTGAAGTGCCAGGGGTTAGAACTCAGCACTCTGTCTTTAGCAGGTGCTAGATTAAGATCTGCTCAACTGAAGAGACACAGGAGGCAAGTAGAATGGATTTCCAGGCGTCCTCTAGAGAAGCCATTTCTCATCTTTGTTCTTACTCTTACCAAACTCTGTCTTATGACATTCCCAGGAGGAGACAGGAGGGGGCTGGTGCTTTTCTAGGAGGCCACTGGGTCATTGAGGCTGTCCCAGGTGGCCAGTCTTTCTCGGCTGCAAACTCACCAAATGTCAGGGGGTGCAGAAGGGAGCCTTGGGATCATCCTACTCAAAAGCATGCATCTTACAGGTGAGGAAACTGAAGCCCAGAGAAGGCAAGGACTTCTACCTGCTTTAAGTCTACCGCCTCCTAAGTCCTTTTGCATTAGCAATCTCTGAAAGGCTTGTGACTTTGAAACCTGGGTATCCTGGACCATTGTCCAGTCCTGTCTGTGTCTGCCATATTATATCCAGCCATGCTGTACACTGCTGTATGTTTAGTAAGGCTGAACTGAGAGAGAGAGAGAGAGAGAGAGAGAGAGAGAGAGAGAGAGAGAGAGAACATTTAAATAGTGTAGGCAATTCTGCCCATTTCACTCAATAAGGGGATATAAATCTGCTGTTCCCAATAGATGTTGGTTCCTGCCTCATTCTCATACGTGAGCACTAGCAAGCCTTTGTATAATACTAGCATGGCCCCTAGACACAGGCCAGTCCTGTCCTGGGGCTTTACTGAAGAGACAACACTCTGCTTCTGCACCGGAGAGAGAGCCCGTCCTATGCTTAGTGAGAAATGGTGTCAGGGTCTCCAACACGGCAATTTCTGAAGGGATTTGCAGGCGTCATTTGAACTGTACTCTCCGTCTTTACACCCAAAGCCTGGTGTGATATGCTCTGCTGTGACCATTGCCAGTGCCGGGGTTGGGCTGCCGAGAAAGGACACGTTGAGAACAGTGCCATGTATTAAATGAGCCTTCGGCGGGCTCTTGCTGGAGCATCTTATGAGCAATGGCACATGTAGAGAATAATAACTTGAACAAACCTATGCATCGCTTGACCATAAAAATCATTAAAATATCAAGGGGTTTAACGACGTAATGACCTAGCACAGATGGAAAATACGTTTAAGATCTCAGTCACTAAAAATGCATTTGGCATGCCACATTTGCCTCCTCTGAAAATGGGGGAAAATACATTTAGGGTAAGATGGCCACAGCTCCCCAAGAGGAAGGGTGGAAAAGAGAGAGACAATCCTCATTGGGTGCCCAATGAGGCAAAAGCTCTGAGGTGCTCAGATTGCCCTTCTGTGAGGGCTGGTGATGCTATCACCATTGGAAGCTGCAGCCAATTCACCACTCCAGAGGCTTCTGAACTATGCGAGATGCAGGAAGCATTTTCTGAAAGAGAGTCCCTCTTAGGGGAAGATACCAGAGTCTGCTTACCAGAAACATCAAGAGGGGAGGCAGCTGCAGAAATGAATGTGGACAGAAACACTGAACGCAGCAATTTATAAAAGAGGCTACTTTGGTCTCCTGGATACGTGTTTCTTTTTTCTTACCAGATCTTAGTTACTGTATTAGTTTGCTATGGGGCCCATAGCAAAGCACCACAGACTGGGTGGCTTAAACAATAGAAATATATGTTTTAGTTTCAGAAGCTAGAAATCTGAGATCCAGGTGTTGACGGGGTTCGTTTCTTCTGAGGGCTGTGAGGGAAGGACCTGTCCCTGGTTCTGCCAGGTTTGTAGATGACCGTCTTATTCCAGTGTCCTTTTATCATCTTCCTCCCTACTGTTTGTGTTCCAGTGTCCTCTTCCTATAAGGACAACAGTCCTATTGGATTAGGGCCCACGCTGATGACCTCATTTTAATTTGGTTACCTCTGCAAAGACCCCATTTCCCCACACGGTCACACTCTGAGGTACCGGGGGTTAGAACCTCAACATATGAATTGGGGAAGGGGAGGCAGGACAGGGTTCAGCCCACAACGTTACTCAATGATTATAATACATCCAAAGGGAGGCTTTGAAGGGGTGTGTTTTGTCACATGGAGAAAACAAAAAGCTCACAGTGTATGGAATGGTTCCTGTTTTACTAAGGTGTTTGGTCAATGAAAGTCTAACTCACCAGGGACAAACTGCATAGACAGTGAAGGGCGAAAGCTGGGGCTGTTGGCCGTGAACCAGTTCTGTGATCTTAAGCAAATAAAACCCTTCCATGACTCAGTATTCTCATTTGTAAAGGAAAGGAATGAAGTTGGTGAGCTGGATGTGGTGCCTGGCACTCCCACCCACTGTGAGCCTTCCTGTATGACAGAGACAAGAACACTAAAACCTATGTTTCCAGATTCCTTTGCAGCTAGAATTCTGCTTAGGCATTAGGTGCTCCCAACAAGATGCACTGGGATGAGATCTGAAGGACCACAGTGAGGTAGAGGCCACCTTCTTATTGCTGCCTCTGCGGGCAAAGCCTGGTCAACTGTGTGGAAAGAAGCTGTGGAAGATAGGGTTAGCACTCGATGTCTCTTAACCAGCCTGAGGGGCTTGCCGAGCATTTGCCGAGATGGGGCAGCAGCAGTGACTGCCCAGGAGTCCTTCCCAAAGACATGCTAGCAAAAACACAAAAACACACACAAGCGTGATCATTGCACTGTTGTAATAAGCAAAGGACTGGCAGCAACCCAAGAGAGGGAACTGGTTGAATAAATTATGGCCTATCCACACACATAATGGAAGGCTGTGCAGCTCTCCAAAGGAGCAAAAATAATATTTTCATAACATGCCATGGAGTAATTGTTAAGATTTGTGAAAATGGATGCAGGGTGATCTGGCTGTGACATCTGTCACTCCATTGATCGCCAGGGTTGATTCGGCTGATCTGGCTGGCTAGGCAGGTATCCCCTTCCTCCCTCACTGCTCTATGTGCCTCCCTCCTGAAGCGGTGCTCTCAATCGAAGAGGACGGCCATCCCTGATAGAGGAGGACTGGTCCTTCTTTGGTCAAAGGTATACGAGTACCTGTGCTCCCCTGCCAGAACCTCCAAACAAGCTCTCAAGATTGGTGAAAAAGCCGGGCATGGTGGCTCACACCTGTAATCCCAACACTTTGGGGAACTGAAGCAGGTGGATCACCTGAGGTTAGGAGTTCGAGACCAGCCTGACCAACATGGCGAAACCCCCTCTCTACTAAAAATACAAAAATTAGCCAGGCGTGGTGGTGGGCACCTGTAATCCCAGCTACTCAGGAGGCTGAGGCAGGAGAATCGCTTGAACCCAGGAGGTGGAGGTTGCAGTGAGCCAAGTTGCCCCATTGCACTCCAGCCTGGGCAATAAGAGCAAAACTCCATCTCAAAAAAAAAATAAAAAATAAAAAAGATTGGTAAAAGAAACAAACTGGAGAAAAAGGTATAAAGTACACTTCCACTTACAAATGAGGGATACGTATGTGTATTTTAAAGGAATCTCGGAATAATAAACAAACCAAAAAAAGGTAGTCCTAAAGATCTCTTTTAATAGGAAAAATAGTGAGACTAAGATGTCAGGCCCCAAACTCTGGCTGTAAAACTAGAAGCAAAGGATGAGTGGACCCGTCTCTCTTCTGCTCAGTTCAGAATGAAGGAGGAGAAAACACATAGAGGGCAGGTGAGAAAGGGAAATTAGCATTTGCTGAGCTCTCCCTTTTAAACCACCTGGGCAAGGTACTCTAAGTACATTTCTTTCTCTAATCCTTTACAGCTTTGCTTTGTGATAGGCATTTTTATTATCCCCATTTTATAGATAAGGAAAGGAGAACAAAGAGGAGTGAAGCCACAGAGATCAGAATCATAAAGCAGGGAGAGTTGCACCCAGGCCGTTGGACCAAGCTCTAGCATCCCTCTCTTGCTGGGCCCCCAGATTGAACCTGTAGGCAGTGGCCATAGGAAGGTGCTGTCTCCTTGGAATCCTGGTTTCTGTCTTCTTTCCCCACTCCAAGGCTGGGCCCCAATCCTGGATTTGAGAGATGGGCCCCAAGCCTAGCCAGGGCATCTCCCAGCCCTCCAGCTTCTCTGGGATTGGCTGAGAGGAGGAAGGGAGGGCCACTAAGCCACTGTTTTTTTGTTTGTTTGTTTTTTGTGTTTTTTTTATTCGATCGGCTATTGAAATCATTCGATGGCCAGGCACGGTGGCTCATGCCCATCATCTCAACACTTTGAGAGACCAAGACGGGAGGACCACTTGAGCCCAGGAGTTTAAGACAAGCCTGGGCAGCATAGTGAGACCTCATCTCTAAAAAAATAGGATAAAATAAAATTAGCTGGACGTGGTAGTGCAAGCCTGTAGTTCTAGCTACTTGGAGACTGAGGTGGGAGGATCACTTGAGCCCAGGAGGTCAAGGCTGCAGTGAGCCAAGATAGTGCCACTGCACTCCAGCCTGGGCAACAGAGTGAGACCCTGTCCCCATCCACCCCAAAAAACAAAACAAAACAAAACAAAAAACATCTGAGGAGTTTTAAAAATGACTGATGCCCAAGTTTCACCCTCAGAGATTCTGACTGAATAGGCATGGGGTGCAACGTTGGCATGGGATGTTTGGGAGCTCCCTATGTAATCCTAATGTGCCATAAAGTTTGAGACTCCTTCTGGTTTTGAGTGTAGCAGGGGCCAATATCAATGACACCACCCACCATGTGGGAGCTTGTTAGAAATGAGAAATCCATGGCCTACTGAATCAGAGACAGGGTGGGAGGGCAGGGGTGGAGGGAAGGGAGCCAGTATTTTAACAAGCCTTCTACATGGTTCTGGTGTGCCTGGTTTGAGATTCACCGTTCTAAGCAACAGCTAGAGACAGATCGTGTGCCATGGTTTGCTTTGTCAACTATCACATAACTGCTATGTTGATTATAAAACAAGTTAAATTTAATGGCCCCAGGGAGCGAGAGTATTCAGGCCTTTTCCCCAAGAAAAAACCTTGAGGCAAATGAGAAAGTGTTTAAATGTAATTTGGAATCAACCGGAACTCACTCTAGCTTCTGAGAAGGAGAGCAGCATTATCAAAACATGATGATGCCCCTGAGTAACTATACCACGAGCTTCCAAAGCCAGCGTGGATGCCTCCGGGTCTGTCCCTGAGGACAGACGGGCGCGGGTGAACAGCCATGGTGACCCCGGACTGCCAAGGCTTCCCAACTTGATGGTGTGTTCATTTCCTAGGGCTTCTGTGACAAATTACCACAAACTCAGTGCCTTAAAACAACACAAGTGTATCCTTTCCCTGCTCTGGAGGACAGAAGTCTGAAATCAAGGTGTCGGCAGGGTTGGTTCCTTCTGAAGGCTCAGAGGGGGAGTCCCTGCCATGCCTCTCTCCAGCCTCCAGCGGCTGCTGGCAACCCTTGTGTCCCCTGGCTTATGGACCCATCACCCCAATCTCTGCCTCCATCGTCACATGACCGTGTGTCTCAAATTTCCCACTCCTTTCTCTTCTAAGGACACTCAATGCATTTAGGGCCCACCCTCTCCTAATTTTACAGGTGAAAAAACAGAGGCTCAGAATGAATGATTCAGGGCCTTGAGGTCACTCAGCTGTGAGGTAGACGTCAGAATCCAGCCTGAGCTCTTCGCACTACACTCTTACTTTCATCCTGATTTAGCCTTCCTTTGGTGGCTCCCAAATTTGCTACTTCTCTTTTTTGTTTTGAGACGGAGTCTCACTCACTCTGTTGCCCAGGCTGAAGTCCAGTGGCACAATCTTGGCTCACTGAAACCTCCGCCTCCCAGGTTCAAGTGATTCTCCTGCCTCTCAGCCTCTCAAGTAGCTGGGATTACAGATGTGCACCACCATGCCTGGCTACTTATTTTTTAATTTTTCTGTATTTTTAGTAGAGTCGGGGTTTCACCATGTTAGCCAGGCTGGTCTTGAACTCCTGACCTCAAGTGATCCACCTGCCTCAGCCTCCCAAAGTGCTGGGATTACAGGCGTGAGCCACCGTGCCCGGTTCTTCAGATTGGCTACTTCCCTTCTGCTTTTGCTAGGACTACCTTAGTCTAGGCCTTCACCATCTTCTTCCTGAATTGCTAAAACAGCTTGCCTGCTAGTCTCTTTGTCTACTCTTTTCTGCTCCAATTTGCCTGTGCCCTGCTGCTGTATACTTTTTCATATTTCAGCACATTTTGTTAATAGAATGATCTGGGCCTAACTCAGCAGGAAATTTATTCTCTAGCATCTAAAAATGGTTTTTCATTAGGCTAGGTGTCACCTACTCATCTGTGCCTTGTTAGGATGGGGAGCAGTAAAGTCATACGAGATATAGACTAGGTTTATAAGATAGCTGACTTTTTACCATCCTTGGTAATGATAGATGAGGACAGAACTCACATGAAGTTCATAGCTAATCTACAAAGCTTGCTGTGGCTAACAGCTTTAATCTAAAAGCTTAGGCTGATATGTTTGCAGCCAGTTGTGTTTCTCTACCACTGTACAAATTCAGGTGGGGCCCAAAAGTCTCAGGTGTTAATGATCTACACACTAACCCTCCAGCTGAGGTGGGAATCTTTAAAAGCCACAAATGCAAAGGAATTACTGAATTCTCAGGTGGCTTCGATGAAGAAAGTCAAGTAAGTTTAGAGTAACCTGATTCAGCAACACACATCTTGAGATGTACATTTCAGAGGGGAAGGTGGATTTTATAGAGTTGAATTCTATATGCCTCCCTGATGTAGCATTCAGGGAGGTGTACAAGTTCATATCATATGCATTTTCTTTACCAACCTGGGTTTAGATCAAAAGAGGATGATGTTAGGAGGTCCCAGTGAAATATGGTAAATATCTTGCACAAGTGACCATTTGCAAGTTACCAGACATGAAAACCACACCCGATTCTTCTCTGCCACAGGAGTGTCATTGCCAGAGATTCATCAGGCTCTCACACTCTTTCCCATTAAGTAATTCAAAACATTTTGACAAATGTGTCCATTTGTTTACTATATTTATCATCTGATTTACCTGTCATACCACACAGCAAAGCTGTATATTAGTTATATAAAACTCTAGTTAGATAACAAGGATGGTTAGACTCAGCATTGAAAATTCCTTCTCGGTGGGCGGAGGGCGGTGGGGGGGGGGGGTTCCAAGATGGCCGAATAGGAACAGATCCAGTCTACAGCTCCCAGTGTGAGAGACGCAGAAGACGGTGATTTCTGCATTTCCAACTGAGCTTTGAAGAGAGTAGTGGTTCTCCCAGCATGGAGTTTGAGATCTGAGAAAGGACAGACTGCCTCCTCAAGTGGGTCCCTGACCCCCGTGTAGCCTAACTGGGAGGCACCCCCAAGTAGGGGCAGACTGACACCTTATATGGCTGGGTACCCCTCTGAGACAAAACTTCCAGAGGAACGATCAGACAGCAACATTTGCTGTTCGGCAATATTCGCTGTTCTGAAGCCTCCGCTGCTGATACCCAGGCAAACAGGTTCTGGAGTGGACCTCCAGCAAACTCCAACAGACCTGCAGCTGAGGGTTCCGAAGGAAAACTAACAAACAGAAAGGACATCCACACAAAAGCCCTATCAGTACATCACCATCATCAAAGACCAAAGGTAGATACAACCACAAAGACGGGAAAAAAACAGCAGGAAAAACTTAAAATTCTAAAAATCAGAGCGCCTCTCCTCCTCCAAAGGAACGCAGCTCCCCCCTTTTTTTTTGAGAGGTTGGAGGGTGTACTGATTCTACAGATGGTGAAGGCTTCAGATTCCGAAGAATCTGAAGGCTTTTGGTGAACACCACTGATGCATTCAAGAAAGCTAATGAAAGGTTGGAGGCGTTTAGCCACCAATTGAGGTCATGTGTGAAAATCAGAAGGCCTTGTGCTGTTTAAAGCCACCACATTTGTGGTATCTGTTATGCAGCACTAGAAAACTAAGAGAGATGTGGCTACCCAGAAGTGGGATGCTATAACAAATATCTAAAAATGTGGGAATGACTTTGGAATTACACAGTGAGTGAAGGCTGGAAGAATTTTGAGGAGCTTGATAGAAAAAGCCTAGATTTCCTTAAGCAGACCTTTCTTAGAAATATGGATACCGGATATGAAGCGGAGCCGCTGCCGCGACCGACCGCAGCTGCCGCCGCCCGACCGCCGGGAGGATGGAGTTCAGCGGGCAGCGGAGCTGTCTCAGTCTTTGCCGCCCCGCCGGCGAGCGCCGCCCGGGAGGCAGCGGCTGGAGGAGCGGACGGACCCCGCGGGGCCCGAGGGCAAGGAGCAGCCGCCTGCCTTGGCCTCCCAAAGTGCCGAGATTGCAGGCTCTGCCCGGCCGCCACCCCGTCTGGGAAGTGAGGAGTGTCTCTGCCTGGCCACCCATCGTCTGGGATGTGAGGAGCCCCTCTGCCTGGCTGCCCAGTCTGGAAAGTGAGGAGCGTCTCCGCCCGGCCGCCATCCCATCTAGGAAGTGAGGAGCGCCTCTTCCCAGCCGCCATCACATCTAGGAAGTGAGGAGCGTCTCTGCCCGGCCGCCCATCGTCTGAGATGTGGGGAGCGCCTCTGCCCCGCCGCCCCATCTGGGATGTGAGGAGCGCCTCTGCCCGGCCGAGACCCCGTCTGAGATGTGGGGAGCGCCTCTGCCCCGCCGCCCCATCTGGGAAGTGAGGAGCCCCTCTGCCCGGCCACCACCCCGTCTGGGAGGTGTGCCCAACAGCTCATTGAGAACGGGCCAGGATGACAATGGCGGCTTTGTGGAATAGAAAGGCGGGAAAGGTGGGGAAAAGATTGAGAAATCGGATGGTTGCCGTGTCTGTGTAGAAAGTAGAAGACATGGGAGACTTTTCATTTTGTTCTGCACTAAGAAAAATTCCTCTGCCTTGGGATCCTGTTGATCTGTGACCTTACCCCCAACCCTGTGCTCTCTGAAACATGTGCTGTGTCCACTCAGGGTTAAATGGATTAAGGGCGGTGCAAGATGTGCTTTGTTAAACAGATGCTTGAAAGCAGCATGCTCGTTAAGAGTCATCGCCAATCCCTAATCTCAAGTAATCAGGGACACAAACACTGCGGAAGGCCGCAGGGTCCTCTGCCTAGGAAAACCAGAGACCTTTGTTCACTTGTTTATCTGCTGACCTTCCCTCCACTATTGTCCCATGACCCTGCCAAATCCCCCTCTGTGAGAAACACCCAAGAATTATCAATAAAAAAATAAATTTAAAAAAAAAAAAAAAAAAAAAGGAACGCAGCTCCTCACCAGCAATGGAACAAAGCTGGACGGAGAATGACTTTGATGAGTTGAGAGAAGAAGGCTTCAGATGATCAAACTTCTCTGAGCTAAAGGAGGAAGTTCGAACCCATCGCAAAGAAGTTAAAAACCTTGAAAAAAGATTAGACGAATGGCTAACTAGAATAACCAGTGTAGAGAAGGCCTTAAATGACCTGATGGAGCCGAAAACCATGGCACGAGAACTACGTGACGAATGCACAAGCTTCCGTAGCTGATTCGATCAAATGGAAGAAAGGGTATCAGTGACTGAAGATCAAATGAATGAAATGAAGCGAGAAGAGAAGTTTAGAGAAAAAGGAATAAAAAGAAATGAACAAATCCTCCAAGAAATATGGGACGATGTGAAAAGACCAAATCTACATCTGATTGGTGTACCTGAAAGTGACGGGGAGAATGGAACCAAGTTGGAAAACACTCTGCAGGATATTATCCAGGAGAGCTTCCCCAACCTAGCAAGGCAGGCCAACATTCAAATCCAGGGAATTCAGAGAAGGCCACAAAGATACTCCTTGAGAAGAGCAACTCAAAGACACATAATTGTCAGATTCACTAAAGTTGAAATGAAGGAAAAAATGTTAAGGGCAGCCAGAGAGAAAGGTCGGGTTACCCACAAAGGGAAGCCCATCAGACTAACAGCTGATCTCTCTACAGCCAGAAACCCTACAAGCCAGAAGAGAGTGGGGGCCAATATTCAACATTCTTAAAGAAAAGAATTTTCAACCCAGAATTTCATATCCAGCCAAACTAAGCTTCATAAGTGAAGGAGAAATAAAATCCTTTACAGACAAGCAAATGCTGCGAGATTTTGTCACCACCAGGCCTGCCCTACAAGAGCTCCTGAAGGAAGCACTAAACATGGAAAGGAACAACCTGTACCAGCCACTGGAAAAACATGCCAAGTTGTAAAGACCGTTGAGGCTAGGAAGAAACTGCATCAACTAATGAGCAAAATAACCAGCTAACATCATAATGACAGCATCAAATTCACACAAAACAATATTAACCTTAAATGTAAGTGGGCTAAATGCTCCAGTTAAAAGACACAGACTGGCAAATTGGATAGTCAAGACCCATCAGTGTGCTATATTCAGGAAACCCATCTCATGTGCAGAGACACACATAGGCTCAAAATAAAGGGATGGAGGAAGATCTACCAAGCAAATGGAAAACAAAAAAAGGCAGGGGTTGCAATCCTAGTCTCTGATAAAACAGACTTTAAACCAACAAAGATCAAAAGAGACAAAAAAGGCCATTACATAATGGTAAAGGGATCAATTCAACAAGAAGAGCTAACTATCCTAAATATATATGCACCCAATACAGGAGCACCCAGATTCATAAAGCAAGTCCTTAGAGACCTACAAAGAGACTTAGACTCCCACACAATAATAATGGGAGACTTTAACACCCCACTGTCAACATTAGACAGATCAACGACACAGAAAGTTAACAAGGATAACCAGGAATTGAACTCAGCTGTGGACCAAGCAGACCCAATAGACATCTACAGAACTCTCCACCCCAAATCAACAGAATATACATTCTTCTTAGCACCACATCGCACTTATTCCAAAATTGACCACATAGTTGGAAGTAAAGCACTCATCAGCAAATGTAAAAGAACAGAAATTATAACAAACTGTCTCTCAGACCACAGTGCAATCAAACTAGAACTCAGGATTAGGAAACTCACCCAAAACTGCTCAACCACATGGAAACTGAACAACCTGCTCCTGAATGACTACTGGGTACATAACGAAATGAAGGCAGACATAAAGATGTTATTTGAAACCAATGAGAACAAAGACACAACATACCAGAATCTCTGGGACACATTTAAAGCAGTGTGTAGAGGGAAATTTATAGCACTAAATGCCCACAAGAGAAAGCAGGAAAGATCTAAACTTAACACCCTAACATCACAATTCAAAGAACTAGAGAAGCAAGAGCAAACACATTCAAAAGCTAGCAGAAGGCAAGAAATAACTAAGATCAGAGCAGAACTGAAGGAGATAGAGACACAAAAAACCCTTCAAAAAATCAATGAATCCAGGAGCTGGTTTTTTGAAAAGATCAACAAAATTGATAGACCACTAGCAAGACTAATAAAGAGGAAAAGAGAGAAGAATCAAATAGATGCAATAAAAAATGATGAAGGGGATATCACCACCGATCCCACAGAAATACAAACTACCATCAGAGAATACTATAAACACCTCTATGCAAATAAACTAGAAAACTAGAAGAAATGGATAAATTCCTCAACACATACACCATCCCAAGACTAAACCAGGAAGAAGTTGAATCTCTGAATAGACCAATAACAGGCTCTGAAATTGAGGCAATAATTAATAGCTTACCAACCCAAAAAAGTCCAGGACCAGATGGATTCACAGCCGAATTCTACCAGAGGTACAAGGAGGAGCTGGTACCATTCCTTCTGAAACTATTCCAATCAATAGAAAAAGAGGGAATCCTCCCTAACTCATTTTATGAGGCCAGCATCATCCTGATACCAAAGCCTGGCAGAGACACAACAAAAAAAGAGAATTTTAGACCAATATCCCTGATGAACATTGATGCAAAAATCCTCAATAAAATACTGGCAAACTGAATCCAGCAGCACATCAAAAAGCTTATTCAGCATGATCAAGTGGGCTTCATCCCTGGGATGCAAGGCTGGTTCAACATGTGCAAATCAATAAACGTAATCCAGCATATAAACAGAACCAAAGACAAAAACCACATGATTATCTCAATAGATGCAGAAAAGGCCTTTGACAAAATTCAACAGCCCTTCATGCTAAAAACTCTCAATAAATTAGGTATTGATGGGACGTATCTCAAAATAATAAGAGCTACTTATGACAAACCCACAGCCAATATCATACTGAATGGGCAAAAACTGGAAGCATTCCCTTTGAAAACTGGCACAAGACAGGGATGCCCTCTCTCACCGCTCCTGTTCAACATAGTGTTGGAAGTTCTGGCCAGGGCAATCAGACAAGAGAAAGAAATAAAGGTTATTCAATTAGGAAAAGAGGAAGTCAAATTGTCCGTGTTTGCAGATGACATGATTGTATATCTAGAAAACCACATCGTCTCAGCCCAAAATCTCCTTAAGCTGATAAACAACTTCAGCAAAGTCTCAGGATACAAAATCAATGTGCAAAAATCACAAGCATTCTTATACACCAATAACAGACAAACAGAGAGCCAAATCACGAGTGAACTCCCATTCACAATTACTTTAAAGAGAATAAAATACCTAGGAATCCAACTTACAAGGGATGTGAAGGACCTCTTCAAGGAGAACTACAAACCACTGCTCAATGAAATAAAAGAGGATACAAACAAATGGAAGAACATTCCATGCTCATGGATCGGAAGAATCAATATCGTGAAAATGGCCATACTCCCCAAGGTAATTTATAGATTCAATGCCATCCCCATCAAGCTACCAATGACTTTCTTCATAGAATTGGAAAAAACTACTTTAAAGTTCATATGGAACCAAAAAAGAGCCCGCATTGCCAAGTCAATCCTAAGCCAAAAGAACAAAGCTGGAGGCATCACGCTACCTGACTTCAAACTATACTGCAAGGCTACAGTAACCAAAACAGCATGGTACTGGTACCAAAAGAGAGATACAGACCAATGGAACAGAACAGAGCCCTCAGAAATAATACCACACATCTATGACTATCTGATCTTTGACAAACCTGACAAAAACAAGAAATGGGGAAAGGATTCCCTATTTAACAAATGGTGCTGGGAAAACTGGCTTGCCATATGTAGAAAGCTGAAACTGGATCCCTTCCTTACACCTTATACAAAAATTAATTCAAGATGGATTAAAGACTTAAGTGTTAGACCTAAAAACATAAAAACCCTAGAAGAAAACCTAGGCAATACCATTCAGGACATAGGCATGGGCAAGGACTTCATGTCTAAGACACCAAAAGCAATGGCAACAAAAGCCAAAATTGACAAATGGGATCTAATTAAACTAAAGAGCTTCTGCACAGCAAAAGAAACTACCATCACAGTGAACAGGCAACCTACAGAATGGGAGAAAATTTTTTCAATCTCCCCGTCTGACAAAGGGCTAATATCCAGAATCTACAAAGAACTCAAACAAATTTACAAGAAAAAAACAAGCAACCCCATCAACAAGTGGGCGAAGGATATGAACAGACACTTCTCAAAAGAAGACATTTATGCAGCCAACAGACACATGAAACAATGCTCATCATCACTGGCCATCAGAGAAATGCAAATCAAAACCACAATGAGATACCATCTCATACCAGTTAGAATGGCAATCATTAAAAAGTCAGGAAACAACAGGTGCTGGAGAGGATGTGGAGAAACAGGAGCACTTTTACACTGTTGGTGGGACTGCAAACTATTTCAACCATTGTGGAAGACAGTGTGGTGATTCCTCAGGGATCTAGAACTAGAAATACCATTTGACCCAGCCATCCCATTACTGGGTATATACCCAAAGTATTATAAATCATGCTGCTATAAAGACCCATGCACATGTATGTTTACTGTGGCACTATTCACAATAGCAAAGACTTGGAACCAACCCAAATGTCCAACAATGATAGACTGGATTAAGAAAATGTGGCACATATACACCATGGAATACTACGCAGCCATAAAAAATGATGAGTTCATGTCCTTTGTAGGGACATGGATGAAGCTGGAAACCATCATTCTCAGCAAACTATCCCAAGGACAAAAAACCAAACACCGCATGTTCTCACTCATAGGTGGGAACTGAACAATGAGAACACATGGACACAGGAAGGGGAACATCACACACTGGGGCCTGTTGTGGGGTTGGGGGAGGGGGGAGGGATAGCATTAGGAGATATACCTAATGTAAATGATGAGTTAATGGGTGCAGTACACCAACATGGCACACGTATACATAGGTAACAAGCCTGCACGTTGTGCACATGTACCCTAGAACTTAAGGTAAAATTAAAATATAAAAAAAAAAAAAAGAAAAGAAAATTCCTTCTCACTGAGAGCAAATTGGTGCAACCTCTTTGTGGCATATGCAAATATCAATTAAAATTTAGAATACAAATATTCTTTGACCTAACGATTCCAATTCTAGGATTTTTTTTCATAAATAATAACGAAACCAGTCCAAGACAAAAACACACGTGTGTAAATATTTATTTCAGCATTATCTGTAAGATGAGACCCAATAGAAATATTCTTTTTTTTTTCTTTTGAGATGGAGTCTTGCTCTGTCACCCAGGCTGGAGTGCAGTGGCGTGATCTCTGCTAACTGCAACCTCTGCATCCCAGGTTCAAGCAATTCTCCTGCTGCAGCCTCTCAAATAATTGGGATTATGGGCACCTGCCACCACACCCGGGTAATTTTTATATTTTTAGTACAGACAGGGTTTCACCATGTTGGCCAGGCTGGTCTTGAACTCCTGACCTCAGGTGATCTGCCTGCCTCAGCCTCCCATAGTGCTGGGATTACAGGCGTGAGCCACTGCACCTGGCCTAAAATATTCTTTAATATATGATAAATTTGTATACATCCAGGCCAGGTGCGGTGGATCACCTGAGGCGGGCAGATCACCTGAGGTCAGGAGTTCAAGCCCAGCCTGGCCAACATGGCGAAACCCTGTCTCTAATAAAAATACAAAAAAAAAAAAAAAAAAATAGCCCTGCATGGTGGCAGTTACCTTGTAATCCCAGCTACTTGGGAGGCTAAGGCAGGAGAATTGCTTGAACCCGGGAGGCAGAGGTTGCAGTGAGCCAAGATGGCTCCATTGCACTCCAGCTCTGGGCAAAAGAGTGAGACTCTGTCTCAAAAACAAACAACAACAACAAAAAACCTATTAATACTAAGCCTGGTGCTGGCTCCTTATGCCATTTATGGCCTAAAGAGCAGTGCTAGTTCCTGCTTTTCTTCCAGCAGCCATAAAGTAAGGGCTGAGCACTGGAGATTAGAAAATAAAAGATCCCACCCATGTTTCTGCAGAATTTCCAGACCAACAGTATGGTAGGGGTAGACTAGGGTGTTAAGCACCAAGAGGATTCAGCTGCATACACTTAACCTTGGCATAGTAATGTGATGAAATGCACACGTGCACAGGGAATGTTTAATAGTTCTTAGTCTCATAGGTTTGGTACCTGGACTCTCTCAAAAGGGTAGAGAATGGCTCTGAAGCCAGAATCAGAGATTTGGTCCCAATGCTGCTGTTTACTAGCTATTTGACCATGAATAAGCTACTCTTTGGTCTCAGTGTTCTTATCTGTAAATGGGATAATTCTAGCACCTATCTCCTAAGGTTGTTGTGAAGATTAAACAAATAAGTAAAATACATACCAAACGCTTGACCAATGCTAGACATTGCTATATATTTAAAAGCTATTCTATTTCAGAAAGAGAAAACAGTCCTATTTCCGCACAGCTGTGGCTCAAGCCTGTAATCCCAGCACTTTGGGAGGCCAAGGCAGGCAGATCACGAGGTCAGGAGATCAAGACCATCCTGGCCAACATGGTGAAACCCTGTCTCCACTAAAAATACAAAAATTAGCTGGGTATGGTGGCATATACCTGTAGTCCCAGCTACTTAGGAGGCTGAGGCAGGAGAATCGCTTGAACCTGGGAGGCAGAGTTTGCAATGAGCTGAGATCACACCACTGCACTCCAGCCTGGGTGACAGAGCGAGACTCTGTCTCAAAAAGAAAAAAAAAAAAAGAGCTTCAGAACTCTCACTCTTCCTCCTCTCTCCAAACACCCTGAGGCTATGAATTAAAATAACAGTCATGATCTTTGTCTCTGAAATTCTACAGAGGAGGAGTTTTCCTAAGCAGTGTTGTCTACTGCAACGCAAATTTTCTTGAACTATTCATTTTATCTCAAAATCATTTCTGAATCCCGCGGTCATTAATTTCAAATCCAGACTTGCCTTTGTATGTAATTCTATGTAGTATTTTCATTCATTTACAAAAGTTCGGGGGCCCACCGTGATGGCGCCGGTGGTCTCTGAAAAGATCCAACCAAGCACTTGGTCTAGTGTGCAGGAACTCCCATCTGCTGCTGCGTAAATAACTCGCAGCGGAGTTTCTAGGCTAAAAGCACAGCAGTTTCCCTACTGTGTAGGCATGATACAGGATTCCCGAACAGGAGGCCGTCGTGTGATCCAGAGCAAGCCCTCACTTGTCTGGAGCTCAGCTTCATCAGCTCTAAAACAAAGGGATTGAATTAAATGGCCTATTTTGTCCTTTCCAATTAAAAAGACTCTAAATATATAAGAACCCTGTCTCAGGAAGCTGAGCTCTTTCTTATACTATGCTGAAACAGCTCCCCCCGCCCACCCCAACCTTGCCACCATGCACTCAAGCACACAGAACCCGTGAAATAATAACAGCTCCCACTTACTGAGTGCAAAGTGCCGAGGGCTTTATATACGTCATTGCAATTAATCTTCACAGTAAATCTGTGAGGTTGCTACTAATTCTTCAGATGCCCAGAGAAGTCAAACTGAAGGCCTAAGTGGGAGCCTTGCTTCTTCTTTGTTAGACAGGAACCTGGCCGGATTTTTTGTGTTTGTTTGTTGGAGATAGGGTCTCGCTCTGTCGCCCAGGCTGGAGTGCACACTGCAGACTTGATCTCCTGAGCTCAAGCGATCCTCCTGCCTCAGCTTCCTGAGTACTGTAACTACAGGCCTGCACCACCATGCCCTGCTAATTTTTTACTTTTTGTAGAGACAGAGGCTCGCTATGTTGTCCAGGCTGGTCTTGAATTCCTGGGCTCAAGCAATCCTCCCGCCTTGGCCCCTAAAAGTGCTGGGATTACAGGCAGGAGCCACTGCACTGGGCCCTAGCCTAGATTATTAAAGTACCTGCTGGCTCTGTAACATCCTATAAATCTAGCTTCGTGGTCTTCTTCAGCTTTCCAAGTCAGCTACACCGGGGATGGGGGTCCAGGAACGTGGGATTCTTCCTGACGTGCAAGATGTGCAGTGATGTGCACCATCATCCTTGGATTCTACTTTTTGAATATGTTTTTTTTAGCCATGCTGGTTTTATTCATATAAAGCAGCACCCAAAGTGTTCTCCTGGAGCCTTTAAGAGCGTCCAGGACAAGCAGAGCTTCTGCACACTTGATTCCAAACCTCCTCCTTGCTCTCAAAAGGCCAGACACCTCCAGAGTTTCTCTCAGGAGAGAGACTGAGCGGAGTTCCCCTCCTGTGGGTGTTTGGCTTGCATCAGGCCGCTGAGTGAGGCCGAACCACAGCAGAGTGATGTCACCTCACTTTCAGGTCTGCTTTCAAAGCACATATTAAAGTTTCTGATTCTACCACAGCCACACATTTTCTCAGTCTTCATCTTCCATCCCTGCCTTAAGCATTTCAGTCTATCCAGCCAATCTCTCTCTGTCTTTCTCTCTCTCGCTCATACACACATGCTCATATATACACTCATACTCTCATTCATCTTATATTTCATAGTTCAAAATAAACATCAAAATTAAGGCTGTTCCCGTGACAAGAAAGTATATACAAAGAAGTGAGAGGCTGATTCATAAAACCGCCCGCATTCAGGGCTCTTTGGAACCATCCTCCTCTTTACAGGGCTGAGGGCTGCAATAAATAGAGCTCATCAGAGACTCAGACATACTCAGAATAAGAAGTGCACACATTTAATAGAGCAGCTGTGTTGGTCTGCGTTCCTGGAGGGGTGTGGGAGGAGACTGGCATCCATTCGCTGCTCTGGAAAGGCTGTGCCAACAGCACCAAAAGGACCAAGGAAGTACCCGGTGCCGTGGGCGGCACCCACCAGGCATGAGGTCCACCAACTGGACCAGTCTCCTCGCCCACCCACTGGCCACGGCCACCAAGGGGCTGGCCACCAACACCGCACCCACCTGTGGGGCCTCCAGCCTCTTGGAGGCGAGGTGGGGCTGTGTGGGGGACTCCCCAAAACCCTCCCACCAGAACATCCAGGAGTGACTCAGTCTGGTGCGAGTCTGGAGTGGGAGGGGCAGGACCCATCCTGGGCAACCTGCAACTCCTCGGGGAGAAGGACACCAAGACTTCGAGGCCATTGGAGGCCACCTCCCCACAGGAAGGAAGCGCCTAGGCCTCCATGTCCTTAAGGAGAAAAATCCTGCCATCCAGGAAAAGGAGGCACCACTTTACTTCCCACTGGGCCTTCACTTCCTGTGGGATCTCTGGATGGTATTTAGCAAACAGAAATACAGAACACTCAGTTACATCTGAATTTCAGATAATCGGCAAATCCTGTTTCTATGTAAATATGTCCCACATACTGCATGGGGTACATTTAAGACTAAAACATTATTTGTTACTTATCTGAAATTTAAATATAACTGGGCATCTTGTTTTTATCTGGCAATTCTGCCTTCCTTATGGTCTTCCCTCTGGCCAGGCCTTCCCAGGTGAGAGTTAATTCTATGTGCTCTCAAGCAGAAATTTGTTCAGTTCAGATTCTCCTGGGATTCCTGGTGAAAAGGCAAAGATCTCAGGCCACATCTGTTGAATAATATCTCTGGGGGTGCGACCCAGAATACACATTTTATTAAGTTGTTATCTAAGTGGTTCTGATATACATTTGTATTAGTTATCTATTGCTTCTGAACAAATTACCCTAAAAATCAGGCTGAAAACCACCAATATTTATCACCTTGTAGTTTATATGGGTGAGGACTTTGGGACTGACTTGGCCTTATGATCCTGGCTCGTGGTCTTTCATGGCGCTGCAGTCAAGATGTTTGTCATCTCAAGCCTTCGCTGGTGCTAGGGAGTCTGCTTCCAAGCTCACCTAACTGGCCCTCAGCAGGCCTTGGGTCCTGGAAACATCAGTTCCTCACCACAGGGACCTGTCTATAGGGCTGCTCACAGCATGGCATCTGGCCTTTCCCAGGGTTAGAAAGGAGATGGAGGGATGGAGGGAGAAAGGGAAGGGGAGAGAGGGAGAGAAAGAGAGAAGTAGGGGGTGGAGGTGAAGCACAAACACAAAAGTGAGCCCTCAAGACAAATCTACTCAAGGGAAGAGGGAAGATAATTACCCAAGAGCATGAATGGCAAGAGGCGGGAATCCTGGGGGCTGTCTTAGAGGCTACCCACCACCATGTTCAAGTTTGGGAATTCCTGCTATAGATCGGTCCTCAACACACTGGAGCCAAGACCACATTGTAAACAATGGGATCCAGTGTATTTCTTTCCTTATTTTTCCTTGCTTCCACTCCTCCTCCCTGTCCACTTTTTGGTGATCTGAGACAATAACAATGAAGAACTATAAAGAAGTGAAGAAGAAAAAGAAATCAAAATAGCAATCTTAGGAGGTTAAGAGTAAATTTTAAAATGCTGGCAAATACTGTTTGGGTAGAATGAAACTATATGCAAATCCCATGCATATATAGCTGTGTCCTAAAATGTCTTAGCATTCAGTGTGGTTCTTGGAGAATCTCCTGTGAGTACTAATGAAAATACAGAAGTAGGGTGACCAATTATCTTAGTTTGACCAGGACTCTCCCATGTCTGGGCAGAACAATATGGTTGGTTACCTTTATAACAAGGAGCCAATAAGTCATTGCATCAGCCACTCTGCCCCCATCTAGAGACTGAGGGGGTCAGCCTCGTGATGGAGTGGAGAGGACACGGGTTTTGAGCTGCAGGCCCAGTATGTGCCTTTAGCTGTGGCCTTGAGCTATCTCATCTAGAAAACGGGAACCATGCATCTGCTTGGTAGAGCGTAAATGATACACAGGGGAGTGCCTTGTAAACTGAGAGGTGTCGTCTCGATTTTAAAAAGAACCCCTCCTGTCAAGGAAGGTGAGATCAAAAATATCACCCCTTTTCACTTTTGCGACCAAGTCTGACATTTTCTCTTTCACGTAGTCTGGCCATGCTGACTTCCTGGAGAGGTGAACACAGCCCACAAAAGCTGTGGGCTTTTACACTCGTTTAATTTTCATCTTAATTTGCCATTTAACCCCAAATTGATTTATACTATTCCCTCCAGAAAATGCTAATCTCCCCAAAAGAACAGTCATCTCTATTATATCCTCAGTGACAAGTTTCCCAGGAAATCTGTACCAAGTCCTGATGTAAAAGATGTGATTCATCTTTCACAGCTCTGGCGGTGTGACTCTCTCCTCTCAGGGAGAGAACTGTCCCCAGCAGCACTGTTTCCCTCACCCTCCTCCACTGCCATTCCTCAAGGTCTGGGAGTGAAAAAGTGAGTAATATTTAAATTCTGTTAAAGTGCTCATTCCCTCTCTTTTTTTTTTCTTCTGGGTTGTCTCATTCTGGGGAGTAAATGTGCAGGCCTGTACATTTATATGACCCAAAGTCTCTAATTCAAAATGGCAATACCATTTTGAATGAACTCTATTTTTCTTGAGATGGGTCAATTGCAAGAATAGCCATACTTCTCTTCTATAATGATTCTGTCCATCGTTCTCCTTCACCCACCCCGGGCCCTAGATGTGAGTCTCAGGCACCCTACAAAGACCTTGGACTGATGATAATGCAGAGGAAAGATGATCTCAGTCTGTTCTGTTCCCTGCCAGTTTGCAGCTATATGACCCTGGACCTCTCTTAGTCTCAATGGGGAGAAAGAGATCTGGCTGTCCCATGGCATCAGGTGGTTGTAAGGATGAAATAAACAAGATTAATATCAATGAAAGTCCTTTCAAAACCTTAGAGTACCATATAAATAAAAGGTAGTTAGTTTATTCATTAGAGTCCTTCCGTTGCCATACTTCAGATATCTTCCCAGCTGAGTATTCCATTAGAATTATTACTTGCTTTGGTTACTGGGTGAGAATTTCTGCTTACTGGCCTTGGCGGGTTTACCTAATAATTTAATTAAATTATTTAAATTTAAATTACTGGAGGTAATTTTAAAACTTTCACAAATCTGCTGCCTCATGCTTTTTGTTTTATAGTTTTAACACTTAAGAGGCTAATTTTTGGCTGGTCTGAGTGCATTGGTGTTTACAACTAATTGATCATAATCAGTTACAGATTTCTTTATTCATTCTCCACTCCCACTGCTTCACTTGACTAGCCTAAAAAAAAAAAAAAAAAAAAAAAAAAAAAAGGCTAAATTTTGCCCCTGCACTTTAGGCACACCATCATCAAGACCAGTTTACAAAGTATGTCCTTTCCCTGACATTCAAGATGGTGCGATTTCAGTTTACACAGAATTTAACTTTTAGTTTTATACCATTTCTATACAGATATGGAATTTTTTTTAAACCTACTTTTGCAATCAGCAGTTCTACCTCAATAAAATTGACTTTTAAAAAATGAGCCAGGCTTAGCTAATCTTAAACAAGTACCACAATTAAAGAGAAGATTATAAACACAGCTTCCCTCCCTGGTTCCTTTAGTTGCATGCAAGCTTGTAGTTAATATAAAAGTAAAACATTACCACCATGTCAAAAGAAAAGAGGAAACTTAAAAAAAAAAAAGGTTCACCTACCAGCCTGATACCACAAGTGGATAGACTGAAAATGAAACAAAGTGAATTGCTCCATTAACAACATTCTTCTTCTGAAAGAAAAAGGATGGGAGGGTTGGGTTCAAAGACTCAACCTTATCCTACAGTGCTTTTTCATCTTTCCAGGGCATGTGGTGAGTGGGAGTTAAGGTCAGTACCTTGCATAAGATTTCTCAGCCAATTCTTGATGGAGCTAGGCAAAAATGTTGTGATGGTTAATTTTACATGTCAATTTGGCTGGGCCAAAGTGCCCAGATATTTGGTCAAACATTATTGTGGGTGTTCCTGGTGAGGGTGTTTTTAGATGACATTGACATTTAAATTGGTTGACTTTCAGTAAAGCAGATGGCCCTCCATAACGTCTGATAAGCCTCACCAATCATGTGAAGGCCTGAATGGAACAGAAGGCTGGCCTCTCCTGAGCAAGAAGGAGTCTGCTAGCAAGCAGCCTTCAGACCTCAACTGCAACATTAGCTCTTTACTGGGTCTTTAGCTGCTGGCCCACCCTGTAAATATTGGACTGACCAGCCTCCATCACATGAGCCAATTCCTGAAAACCAATCTCTCTCTCTCTATGCACATCCTATTGTTTCTGTTTCTTTGGAGAACCCTGACTAGCAGAGATGTAAGGCAAGAAGAACTTTAAACAGCAGGATAAGAGTCTGAGCCATTTCCCTCCTCCACAGTAAATTCACTCACACACACACATGATTTTTAAGCTGAGATAGGAGCGTTGATTATTTCAAGGACATTGACTAGTGGAGTGGCTGTCAGAAGTTTGCAGCTCTGCCCTGCTGGGAGTCAAAAGGCTGGGTTGAGTCCCCTTCCCACAGCTTACTGGCTGGGGGGCCCCAGCTGAGTCATTTAACTTCTCTCAGCCTCGGTTTCCTCATCTGACAAAATAGAAAGCTCTTTGTAAACACTGCTATAGAGTGTCTGATATTATTTTTACTTACCATATTTCTTAAAGCAATGATAATAGCTAACATTAGAGGACTTTATACGTGCCAGGCTTTGTGCCAAGAAGATATATTATCTCATTTAATCTGTCCAACAACCCCATGATGTGCGTAGTACCATGTCTCCACTTTACAAATGAAGAAACTGAGGCAGAGAGTTGAGCTGCCTGCCGAGGTCACATTGCCGGGATGCAGCAGAGCTGGGATCTACACCTGGCCTATCAGAACTAGGGAACATTCTCCCTAATGATTACCTCTGTAACTGCAGATGGTTATTTAACCACTTTAAGTTCTGATATTCTTGTATGTGCCATGGGATACCTGCCCATCTCCTAGGCCTGTTGTGAGAATTCAGGGAATGACATTTGGGAGTGACATCTAGCACACTGCGTGGTGTGCACTCAAAGGGTGTGAGAAGAATTTCTATTATAGGCACTTGTTATGTACTGAATGTTTGTGGCCTCCCCAAATTCCGATGTTGAAATCCTAACCTCCAATGTAATGGTATTAGGAGGCAGGGCCTTTGGGAGGTGACTGGGTTATGAGGGTGGCAGGCTCATGAATGGTATTAGTGCCCTTATAAAAAGACACAAGAGCTTGCTCTCTCTTTTCTCTCTGCCAAGTGAGGACACAGCAAGAAGACACCCACCTGCAAACCAGGAATAGGGTCCACACTAGACGCCAGATGCAGGCACCTTGATCTTGGACTGTCCAGCCTCGAGAACTGTGAAAAAATTAAACAACAAAATTTCTATTGTCTAAGCCAGCAGTCCCCAACCTTTTTGACACCAGGGACTCATTTTGTGGAAGACAATTTGTCCACGGACCAGTGGTGGGAGGCATTAAAGTCTCATAAGGAGCACACAAGCTCCATCCCTCACATGACAGTTCACAGCAGGGTTTGCGCTCCTGTGAGAATCTGACGCCGCTGCTTATCTGGCAGGATGTGGGGCTCACTGGAGTGCTGCTCATCTCCTGCTCTGCACCTCAGGTCCTAACAGGCCATGGACCAGTAGCAGTCCACGGCCCAAGGACTGGGGACCCCTGGTCTAAGCCACCAGTCTGCAGTATATGTGTTATAGCTGCCTGGGTTAAGACAATGTCCCATGTCCCAAAACACCAGTCCCTTCACAGGAGATAATTTAATCCCATGTGCTAATAGGGGAAGCAGCCAGGTTTGCTGGAAATTAATGACTACTCTGCCATAGTTAACAAAACCTTGTTTTAAGAAATATTTTTCTTGAAAAGAGTAGATGAATTTGAACAAATGTTTAATGTTAAGTCTTTTGTTAAGCAAATACCTTCTTCTTGAATATATTTATGATTAGTTTATTTATACAGTCTAAACTACTCTATAACTCAGTTTTTGACATATCAAATAATCCTTAAAATGCTGATGAAATATATTTCATACTTTTAATTTTTAAATTTTATTTATTTATTTGAGACAGAGTCTCTCTCTGTTGCCCAGGTTGGAGTTCAGTGGCGTGATCTTGGCTCACTGTAACCTTTGCCTCCCAGGTTCAAGAAATTCTTGTGCCTCAGCCTCCTGAGTAGCTGGGATTACAGGCATATGCCACCACACCCGGCTAATAACTCATACTTTTAAAATATAGCTGTAAGATGAATTTATTAGTTTGTTGGGGCTGCCATAACAAAGTATCACAGACTATGTGAACCAAAATCTAACTGTGCCTCTCCCATCTTCTAAGAATATCACACTGGTACCTGAGAGAGGAGAGCACACAAAGCCAGGAGCACCTACTGAACCAGTAACAGCAAGTAGTTACTTAGCCAGAGAAGTACACCACGAGGGAAGGAGAGAGAACTTCAGAACTTGGGGAAGGCCAGATGGGCCTCAGGATCCTGATACATGGGGTGTGAGTGGGAGAGGGAAGAAAAGATGGCCCTAGAGATAATTCCTATTTCCCCAACTTTGCTCTCCTTTCCCCTCGTTTTCCCTTGACCTCCCCCAAACAGGCCACATGGCCCTCTCTGAGTCGCATATGCCACCCCCAATCATCCCAGCAATGGATCCTTGTCAACTTTGGCGCTTTAATGTCGGGGCTTACGTCCCTTCCTTCATTCAACAGTGAAAACCTGAGGACATTAGGGTGAGCCATTTTCTCTTTCACCTCTGTGTCCAAATTTAGCTACATCTCCTTCCATTCTCCCTTCCCTCCCCACCTTCACTTCCCTCCCTCTTCCTTTAGTCTTGCTGAAGAGGTGACTCTTTTTTTCAGGAATCAATCTGCCTGTGGTCAGCACGGTGCCTGGCCCATTCCTTCCCTCTAGGCTCTTCCACCCTTCGCTCCATCAATTATCCACCCGCTAGTCACCTCCGTTTATCTTCAACCACAACCTCCCTCCCCATGCACTTCTACAATCCTCTCAACCCAGTCTCTCTCCTGTTTCCTACCAAACTTTATGAAATAAGCTACTACTCTGACTTTCTCCACTCTTTTGCCCTGCTCTCCATTCATGTCTACTCATTTTTGTATTCCCTGTAGAACCTAGAACTCATATTGTAGGTGCTCAAGGAAAGACAGATTAATTATGGAACTGGATAATCAACTATTCCTGAGCAATAAGTGCAAGGATGGGGCAAGATGCAAAGAAGATGCTGTTCTTGTCTTCAAGGAGGAGGCCGTGGAATTTGTGAGTTAAAATAGACACACAAAAAAGTCGGTAGATCTACACTGTGAACAAACAGAACAAAGTCTTTAAATGGAGGCATCGGGAGAGAGGCCCCCGGGACTGCAGTAACAGCTTCCTGTCCCCCTAGTGCTTATGTGAGTGCAGATAAAGTCATAGGTAAATCCTAATAAGGTGCAAGGACCGACCCCTGAGCCACAGTTGGGACTTTTATAAAATGAATGCCCATGGTGAGTATCTGGGATCCTCCCTTGTTGAAGATGGACAGTGTCCCTGGAGGGAGGAAGCATCAGTGGACAAATGGTTCTGTGCCATGGACAGCTCAGCGCAGTGTGAATCAGTGTGGGGTACCCAGGGATTCCTGAGTATCTGAGTGATGGAAGCCGGAACCTGTTCCTGGCTTTCCTTGGCTGTGCACCCCATCTCTCCAGCTATAAAATGAGGGGTGATGCTCTGAAGACATGAAGTGTGAGCAGCAACCTCTGGGTGATTTTCCACATTCTCTGCCCACTGTCTTCCGTAATCTTCAGGGCTGTGCCCCTCCCGGCAGCAGCAGCACTTCCCTCTCTGAGCAGCGTTGGCAGCTGAGAGGACACTGGTGGGCTGTGACTGCTGAGCCTTCCCCTGAGGTTCGGGCTTGGAGGGAGCCCTGTCCCAGGGGCCAGGCTTGGTGAGAACTTGGCACCCTGGAAGCCCAAAGTCCCAGTGCTGCCTGATCCTCCACAGCAGAGCTTCTCACAGGCTAGGCTGCTTTCAATCAGGTCTTGGAGCTCCCACAGACCAAAATAGTATTTACAGCCTGCCTGGGAAGGTCTACAACCCTAAATTCTTCTAGGAATAATGAAATCAGAGTATTGAGCTGAGGAGTTGTTTCATTTGATAGGTTGAAGGAATTAAAGGAAACACATTTGCAAAACCAGGTCACTCCACTATGCTCCAGTAAGAAGAGTAATAATAATTGGTATCAAATATTGGCCTGTCCCAGGTTCTGTCCTGTAGTAGCCACTCCCTTCAGGAATTTGCTCCTCTACATAACAATGGGCAGCTGGTACCCAGAGCACCTGCCGCATGGCCTGGCCTGCCAGATGCAGATAAGGAGAGATGATGACTCCTTGTCTTGAGTCACCTTCTGTGAAGAGAAAGCATGAGAGGAAAAGATTGATAAGATCTCATCCAGGATCAGCTAGGGTCCGAAAGGAAGCCAGCCTGGGAGACCGAGGGGAGCGGATCCATAGTCCATCTCCACCCACTGCCATGCAGCAGGGGCTGAGGACCCTGCTCATGCAGAGATGCAGTAGATCTGCAGACAGCTGCTGTGAGCAAAGGTAGCTGGAAGTCCAGGTGCCCCATTTGTTCTTTTCAAATGTGGTACGCAGCTGAGAAGGGGAAAGAAGGAATAATCAAGCCATTTGTAAACCGTGAGAAATACCCACAGGAACTCACATTTCCATCCAGATTTCAAGTTGACGTTTGGCTCTGACATCCATCTTACTATTCGAGAACCCTAAGACCTCCATGGCTGAACATAACAAATGTCACCACCAGCCTGGGCATGGTGGCTCATGCATGTAATCCCAGCACTTTAGGAGGCTGAGGCAGGTGGATCACTTAAGGTCAGGGGTTCTAGACTAGCCTGGCCAACATGGCAAAACCCTGACTGTACTAAAAATACAAAAATCAGTCAGGTGTGGTGCCGCACACCTGTAATCCCAGCTACTCGGGAGGCTGAGGCACAAGAATCGCTTGAATCCAGGAGGCAGAGGTGGCAGTGAGCCGAGATCACACCACTGCACACCAGCCTGGGCGACAGAGGGGAAACTCTGTCTCAAAAAAAAAAAAAAAGTCACCACCACTATCATCATCCCTGTCTCACAGGTGAAAAAACAAACTCAGACTGAGGGACCTGCCTCAGAACTCACAGCCAGTCAGCAGCAGAGGCAGGAGTGCAGCCTTCTCCCTCTGGCTTCTGTTAGTCCAGAAAATCCCCACCAAGTGATGCTGAGATAAATCTTCAACCAGGAGAGGGACAGGGTGACCTGAGGGGGTCTGCATGGCCACGCTCCTAATCATAATCAATGATTGGCATGGATTGTTTGGAAAGATGGTAGCAAAATACTCTGGGGACTCATGGATGAATCAGAGTCAAGGGAAATGTCCTATGGTTGGGAAGTGTTTCTGGGGAGATTCACACACAAGCTCCTGACCAGGGGCAGCTGAACAGGCAAAACCCTGGGCTCTCTCTTTATAGAATCTCACGCTTCTTGCCAGGAACCTCAGGGGAGTATGAAAAATGATGGCTTTTGTTTTTGTTTTTGTTTTTTGTTGCAGAATAACAGTCACATTTTTCAAGGCTATCTGGAAAGTTACATCTGTCCTCTGGAGACACTAGTAAAAAAATAAAGTAATAGATTCCCCTCCAGCCTTTTACCAAGAATTACAAACCTACTAACAGCTTTCACCCTTTCTGTCTCTCTTTCCCTCTCTCTCTCTCTCTGTCTCACACACACACACCTACCTCTGCTCCTCTGCTCATATTTCACAGGGCTGGACAGAGATCGTCATCTAAATGCATAGCTCTGAATTGCTAAGTGGCAGGATTAGCTTGGATCCTATGTTATCCCTGATCACATTAAGCAGATCAATGAGGCAGAACTTCTGTCAGAATTTTTTTTCTTTTTCTTTTTTTTTTTTTCTTGAGATGGAATGTCACTCTGTTGCCCAGGCTGGTGTGCAGCAGCAAGATCTCGTCTCACTGCAAACTCTGCCTCCTGGGTTCAAGCAATTCTCCTGCTTTAACCTCCCGAGTAGCTGGGATTACAGGCGCACGCCACCATGCCTGGCTAATTTTTGTGTTTTTAGTACAGACAGGGTTTCACCATGTTGGCCAGTCTGGTCTGGAACTCTTGACCTCAAGCGATCCACCTGCCTCGGCCTTTCAAAATGCTGGGATTACATGCGTGAGCACCACGCCCAGCCGGCACTTCCATCAATTTTTGAGTCTGAAGCCCACCCACACGCAACCCCAACATTTAACCTGGTAAGCTGGTTAATTCTGCTACAACTGCAGCCAATCATCTGTCAATCATCAAAGCTGCCTTTAAGATCAACCTAGGACTCTACCGTGGGAACAGTAGATGTGGGGCAGGTATGTGTCCTATACTGGCCTCTGTCTTCACTTTCTGCCACCACACATAGGCAGTACCCAAGTGTCAGATTTTCCTGAAGGCTGGGTAACTGAAGGGAAATACAACAGAAAAGGAAAAAAATTGAAACTCCACTCTGAAAGTGACTTTCCCCATAATCCAAGAGAAAAGCAACAAGAAAACACCTTCAGTTTTAAAACTATTTTTTTTAAGCTAAGTTCGTGCTCTGTCGCCCAGGTTGGAGCACAGTGGCACGATCATAGCTGACTGCTGGCTCATCTCCTGGGCTCAAGCACTGCCCCCACCTCAGCCTGTCCAGTAGCTGGAACTTCAGGTATGTGCCACCACGCCAGGTTAATTTTTTGAAATTTATTTTTAGTAAAGACAAGGTCCCACTACATTATCCAGGCTGGTCTCAAATGATCCTCCTGCCTCGGCCTCCCAAAGTACTGGGATTACAACAAGCGTGAGTTACAACACCTGGTCAGATTTTTTTTTTTTTTTAAAGAAAGGCAAAATTTATTATTAGACTCAAAATATTCACAACCATTTTCTTTTTTTTTTATACTTTAAGTTCTAGGGTACATGTGCACAACGTGCAGGTTTGTTACATAAGTATACATGTGCCATGTTGGTGTGCTGCACCCATTAACTCATCGTTTAACATTAGGTATATCTCCTAATGCTATCCCTCCTCCCTCCCCCGACCCCACAACAGGACCCTGTGTGTTGTGTTCCCCTTCCTGTGTCCAAGTGTTATCATTGTTCAATTCCCACCTATGAGTGAGAACATGCGGTGTTTGGTTTTCTGCCCTTGCGATAGTTTGCTGAGAATGATGGTTTCCAGCTTCATCCATGTCCCTACAAAGGACATGAACTCATCCTTTTTTATGGCTGCATAGTATTCTATAGTGTATATGTGCCACATTTTCTTAATCTAGTCTATCATTGATGGACATTTGGGTTGGTTCCAAGTCTTTGCTATTGTGAATAGTGACCTGGCCAGTTTTAAAACTTGCTCTCCTGGCCAGGTGCAGTGGCTCATGCCTGTAATCTCAGCACTTTGGGAGGCTGAGGTAGGAGAATCGCTTGAGCCCAGGAGTTCAAGACTAGCCTAGGCAAAGTAGCAAGACCTCATTTTGTTGTTGTTGTTGTTGATTTGTTTGTTTTAATAAGTTTTAAAAAAGAAAAAAGGCCAGGCACAGTGGCTTACACCTGTAATCCCAGCACTTTAGGAGTCCGAGGCAGGTGGATAGGCCAAGGCAGGCAGATCACCTGAGGTCGGGAGTTCCAGACCAGCCTGATCAACATGCAGAAACTCTGTCTCTTCTAAAAATACAAAATTAGCTGGGCATGGTGGCACATGCCTGTGATCCCAGCTACTCAGAAGGCTGAGGTAGGAGAATCATTTGAACCCAGGAGGCGGAGGTTGCGGCAGTGAGCCGAGATTGCGCCATTGCACTCCAGCCTGGGCGACAAGACCGAAACTCTGTCTCAGAAAAAACGAAAAGAAAAAACAAAACAAACAAACAAAAAAACACTTGCTCTCCAGATGGCAAACCTCACTGCCCAAGTACCTCTCCTAATACATGTTGCAATTCTCCCTCCACTTCTCAGGAACCCCCATAATCATGGGGGTTAGAACCAAGCCCCAGAATCTACCTCCTTATGTAAGCTACTCATTTTCTCATCTCTTGAGTTATTCTCACTAAATAATGATCCCTTGATTGGGGGATGGAGAGGTGCAGGCTTGAACACTTTCTGGGTGCAAAGAAGTACATTTCCTCTTTTGTTACATTTAAATCAAACCACTCCCACAGCAGGTTTTTGTTTCCTCCCTTTTACTTTCTGATGAGTTTCATAACGCTTACTTTTGTAGTTTGATAAGATCTCCACAGTATGATCAGCAACCAACACTATTCTAGAAAGCTTCTAAATCAACTGTTAAGATGATCTGGTGGGTATTATGGACAAAATGCAAACTTAAAAAGCAGATTACTTTCTGGGAAGGTAATGATTGAGAAGGATCTTAAGAGTAGGGTTTAATGGGCTGAAAGGTTTGAATGCTCTACCAGTTAGGATCTGATCCACTGCAAGGGAGAGAAACCCAGCCCCAAACCAGCAGAACAGAGTTAACTAGGTGAGGTAACTGGGAAGTCCAGGAGCTGCGGTGGCTTTAGACATAGCTGGCTTCAGAGACTCAAACAGAATCATCGGAAAAACGTTCTAATTTCTCTGTTTGCTTCTAGACTCTGCTTTCCTCTATCTTGACTTTTACTCTTGAGCAGCTCAAAACTTACTTTATCCTTGGCACTAGCTACCCCAGAAAAGAAGGGCCTCTTATGCAGGGGGAATCCTGTGGGTTAGCCTCGGTCAGGAAACCCAAGTCTCTCCTGAACTTGGTGGGCTATTGGGAGTAGCATGATGAAAAGTCTGGAACCCCAGGTTAGGAGTACGCTCTGCCACCACCGCCTGCACAGATAAGTGTAGAGAGATATTGAAGGTGGGGAGACTATTAGAGGAGTGAGGCCCAACCTGAGGTGATGATGGCCGTGAAGATGGAAAGTGGGGGAAGACTGTGAGAACCCATCACAGATCAGTGTATGACACGCTGAGTTCATGTGAGGCAGAAGAAATTAGAAATGCTAAAAGAATGGTGATGCCATTAGTAAAACAAGAATATGAGGCAGAAGAGTCTATTTTTGCAGAAATTTTGCTAAGACATACTCTTGGTTGGGCAAGCAAAGGAAGACATCAGGCAGGCAGCTGAAGGGGAGAGGTCAGACTTAAGAGAGGGATCGGAGCTAGAGGTCTAGAGAGGGGGCCTCTACAATAAGCTTGTAGTTGGAATCATGAAAATTGCAAGATCTATGTGTGCAGAGGTGAGTGGTCAAAAGACAGAGCCCCAGGGAATTGTGAGTTAAGCAACAGAGAAGGAAAAGGAACGAAGGATGGTGACGGAGGAGCAACCAGACGCTGGGCGGAGAAAGTCAGACCTACTTAAGTCAAATAGGAGAAAAGTTCCAGTATCAAAAAGAAAAAGAAATAGATCCACATGTTCAACAATATTTCCAATATTGGTTCTATACTCATATTTTCCTCATTCCTTTTCATAAGTGAACTCACAATCAAACTAAGTCCAACGAGCAGCTATTGAGGCTACAAGATTTACTGCTTTCTGAATACCAGTGGCTTCCATCCTAAGTTGTATTCATCTGAGACCTGAGTTGCTTATCATTAGTAACAACATATTCATTTTGGGGTCTTCTCTCATTTTTTTTAGAACAAGGACCAGGTATTAAAACAGCTGCCCAAGTACCAAGGTGCAAAGATGGCACTGCTGCAGATAGCTAAGCTGCTAAGCAGGCAGCATCATTATGTTGACTTGGGGGCAGATGTATAAAATCTAATCCTGGCAGATGAAAGTCAGGTTGGAAGTCTCAGTGTATGAAATACAAAAATGGGAGCTATATGACCATCAACCTGTTTGAGAACTGACTGTCCCTGGAGTCAAGGCAGAAGATATTTCAGTATTTCACCTTTAAGTGTTCTGTTTTTTTCCAATAATTCCTTGAATTTTGGTACTTCCCAGGGCCTTAACCTGGGCTTTCCCCCAATCTATACATTTGGGGTGATCTATAAGACCTCAACTTGGCTGGGCACGGTGGCTCACGTCTGTAATCCCAGCACTTTGAGAGGCTGAGGCAGGTGGATGGCCTGAGGTCAGGAGTTCGAGACCAGCCCGGACAACATGGCGAAACCCCGTCTCTACTAAAAATACAAAAATTAGCCGGGTGTGGTGGCACGCGCCTGTAATCCCAGCTACTCAGGAGGGTGAGGCAGGAGAATCGCTTGAATCTGGGAGACAGAGGTTGCAGTAAGCCAAGATAGCACCACTGCACTCCAGCCTGGGCTACAGAATGAGACTCTGTCTTGCCAAAAAAAAAAAAAAAAAAAAAGAAAAGACATCATCTTTCTCAGTCCACCCTCTCTTCTGCCCCCAAACCTATATACGGTCATCCCTCAGTATCCATGGGGAATTGATTCCAGGACCACCCACAGATATCAAAATCCACAGATGTTCAAGTCCTTTGTATAAAATAGTGTAGTATTTGCATATAACCTATACACATCCTCCCATATAGCTTATTACTTTTTTATTGGACTGAATTTATTTTTTTATCTTCAGCTTTTAAATTCAGGGGTACATGTGCAGGATGTGCAGGTTTGTTGCATAGGTAAACGTGTGTCATGGTGGTTTGCTGCACAGATCATCCCATCACCTAGGTATTAAGCCCAGCATCCATTTGCTATGTGTTTGCCCTCCACACCCACCCCCTACCCCCATATAGTTTAAATCATCTCTAGACTACTTATAATACCTAATACAATGTAAATGTTATGTAAATAGTTGTTATACTGTCTTGTATAGGGAATAATGACAAGAAAAACTCCGTCTGTACATGTTCAGTACAGACACAACCATCTATTTTTTTTCCCGAATATTTTCAACCTGTGTTTGGTTGAAACCCATGGAACTCACATATACAGAGGACCGCTTGTGTTTAGCTGCCTATTACATACATGTAACCAGGGTCACAGTGTGTGGCCACTCAGGCTGGGTACAGCAAAGAGCAACATTGGAAGGGGACACCATTCACACTGTAGACATCATTATTGTTTTGAAGTTAAAACCAAAAATTAAAACAGTTGATTCCAAACTTACATGATTTATATACAGGACAATTTTCTGGCAAAGGACAGTAAAGTCTCTAGTTCTAATAAAATTAATGTTATTACAATTCTTTTCAAAATAAAAGTGTTTTAAAGAAAAGGGACTCTGACCTGCAGAAGGGCAGCATGAGGACCGTGGAGGCCTTGACCCCATCAGGATGCACCGCGGGCCCCTACACAACTTACTGTATCTGCCTTAGTCTAGCTCCACAGCAGTTCTCAGATCCCGTCCTCTTCATTCCTACTGCTACTACCAGAGTTCAGACCCCACTCCTCAACATCTCTTACCTGTTCATTCTTCCTTCCTGATCTCTTTGCCTCATGTCTTGCCCCTCTCCTGCCCACTCTCCAAATTTGCTGTCAGAATAATCTTTCTAAAATGATTTGGCCAAGTGGCTACCCTACTTAAAGTATTGAAATATCCTCTCATTGCCTCCAGAATCCATCTGCACTCCTGAATACGCCACATGGACTCTGCACGTCCTTGCCCTGCCCTCCTGCCTACCCATTAGTCATCTCCTACACATGCCCTATGCTCGAGCCACATCAAAACCACATTTGATGCTGTTGCATGTGTTTGCCTAGAATACCTGACAAGCTGTCCAGTGGCTTTCCATTCATCCTTCAAAAATCAGCTTAATGGTCCCTTCATGAAATCTTCCCTGACCAACTAAGGCAGAGGTGACCACACCCTCCTTTGCACTGCCGCTGTACCTAGCTTATGCCTTTATGATTGCATTTCTCTGAGTTGCAATTATGTTTTGCATATGCCTCTCATTACAGATGTGAGAGCTGCTTACGGGTATGGAATGCATCTTATTATTTGTCCCTAATATTTAAAAGAGTACTGATGGGTACCTCTGATACCTAGCACAGTGCCTGTCTGCTGAATTGAAGGAGTAAATAAATGTGTTGAATGTTGAGAAGAGTCATTGAGGGTAGATTTGAAAATGAGAGAAGGGAAGAGAAGTAAAATGTCTTGAGGATTTTAAGTTCCGGGATACATGTACGGGATGTGCAGGTTTGTTACATAGGTAAACATGTGTCATGGTGGTTTGCTGCACCCATCAACCCATCACCTAGGTATTAAGTCCAGCATGCATTAAGCTATTTATCCTGATGCTCTCCCTCCCCACTGTTGAGGATCTTTTATGTCAGGCGTTGTTCCAGACTCTTTACACATAGGTCCTCAGTTTTGGGTTAACTGTGGAGAAACTCTAACAGCAACAAGCCATATTTCATTTGCTGTCCACTTTACAGTATTTTGCAGAGTCTCAGTGAACTTCTTTGCTAAGTTCTGTTCCTGCCCTCTGTGGCCTGCACTAGTCTGCTGCTTTGGGACTTTCGTGTTTTTGAAAGGGGACTATTTCTTTGTTTTTGCTTTTGGTATTGCATTCTGCTGGGAAGTATCAAACCAGTGATGCCCCATGCCTCATTAAAGCCTTACGGGACTTTTTTTTTTTTTTTTTTTTTTGATAAGAGTAACCTCTCAATTATTTTCCCCTATGGCCTCTCTCTTCCTATGACAAAGGTAGGGTCTAAAAGACATGGTGAAGATGTCTGGTTGGAACGTAACGGTAAACAACAGGCACACTGCTAAACTTGGAATCCTTCCTAACAACTGAGGATTGTTTTTCCTGGACCACTTATGTGTCATTTACTTGGGATGGTTTCTTGTACACCTCTCTAGTTTGCAAGAGTTTACCAGTCTGGATTCTCAGAACAAACAGTTTTGGCTTAAGCTGAGGAGACTGCTTTCTTAAGTATGGTCTCCATACATTATCTAGTTTAACCATCACCACAATGTTAGCCAGTAGATATTCTCATTTTACAGAAAGGGAAAGTAACATGCAGAGTTTAACTTGCCCAAGGACATACAGGTAGATTAGGTGGTAATCAAGTGAGCTGTTTTCTCATAAAGCTTGGGAGCATAAAGGGAAGGCGATTGGATTTAGAACTGAACTGGAACTGTCTTCCAGGGCTAACTGGGAATATTGTTCCTACCAGCCAAACTATGCCTCTCCTGTTCTTTGGACTCTCAGGTTAACAAGCAGACATTTCACAGGGAACAAGAGTAACAGACTGACTGTGGGTGTCAGATACATGTTTGAGAGTGAAGAGTTTTGAACAACAGAATTTTTTAAAATATCCATCCACTGCAGTGGCTCACAGCTGTAATCCTGGCACTTTGAGAGGCCGAGGTAAGATGACTGCTTGAGCCCAGGAGTTCAAAACCAGCCTGGGCAACACAGTGAGACCCTGTCTCTACAAAAAGAAATATTTTTTTAATTAGCCAGGCATAGTGGTATGTTGCCTGTAGTCCCAGCTACTGGGAGGCTGAGGCAGGAGGACCACTTGAGCCCAGGAGGTCGAGACTGTAGTGAGCTATGATCATGCCACTGCACTCTAGCCTGGGCAACAGAGTGAAACACACTCTCAAAAAAAAAAAAAAAATCCTTGTAACAAGATTTAGAAAGAAAATAGTTATTTTAAAAGCACATTACTGTACCTACATTCATAAATGTCACTGAAATCCAAAGATATTCTCTGGTTAAACATTTATTATTTGTGGGAGTGTGAAACTTGTTTTTCCTGTTTTTAAGTTTTAAGAAGCCAGTCCTTTGTTCCATGTGAATTATATGCCATGAGATTATTTACACTCATTCTAAACACAAGTGTAAAGCTTCTCATCTAAGCTTCGTATAAAAAAAAACAGTAATTTGTGGCTGGGCGCGGTGGCTCATGCCTGTAATCCCGGCACTTTGGGAGGCCGAGGCGGGCGGATCACCTGAGGTTGGGAGATTGAGACCAGCCTGACCAACATGGAGAAACCCTGTCTCTACTAAAAATACAAAATTAGCTGGGAGTGGTGGCACATGCCTGTAATCCCAGCTACTAGGGAGGCTGAGGCAGGAGAATCACTTGAACCTGGGAGGCGGAGGTTGCGGTAAGCCAAGATTGCGCCATTGCACTCCAGCCTGGGCAACAAGAGCGAAACTCCATCTCAAAAAAAAAAAGAAAATAGTAATTTGTATATGTAGCACCTCAGTACATTGCTGTACTGTGCATGAAGCACAAGCAGGTTATCAGGACACATTCCTTAAAAGAACAAGGTTGAGTACTGAATGTAGATACATGAGATTGTTTGTACTGTATACCTAAAACTCTGGCAATGATTTGTCAAACAATCATGAACCAACACAAGCACCTGGAACTCACATCGTTAATGCCTGGACTTCAGCAGATTAACAAATCTGAGTTAAAGGTAACTTTTAAAAAAACTACTCAAGGCCAGGTGTGGTAGCTCATCCCTGCAATTTGGGAGGCCAAAGCAGGCAGATTGCTTGAGCTCAGGAGTTTGAGATCAGCCTAGGCAACATGGCCAAACCCCATCACTACAAAAAATATAAAACTGAGCCGGTCATGGTGGCTCGTGCCCGTAATCCCAGCTACTCAGGAGGCTGAAGTAGGAAGATTGCTTAAACCTGGGAGGTGGAGGTTGCTGTGAGCCAAGATTGCACCAACTACACTCCAGCCTGGGTGACAAGAGTGAGACTCTGTCTCAAACAAACAACAACAAAAAACCCAAAAGCATTTAACAGCACTGACCCATCAAAAAGCTGTCAGTGGTACCTCATTAGAACTAATAACCTGAAAGGAATTTGTTAACTACTCAAACGTTTAAGCCTATAAAAACTGCATCTAGGCCAGATCTTTTACAAACATTTTAATTTTGCTTTGCAAGGAAGAAATATCCTTGTTTTCAACCTGTGAAAATTAAAAAATGTGAATTAATTCAACAAAATAAGTTACTGTATTATAGGTAATGTATAAAGGTTTCTAAAAATGAAGACCACCTATTGAGTATTCATGACAATATTTTCCATTAATTGCAAACAGAAAGGCCTTGCAAGTTTAATATAACGCAGAAGCAGAAAGCAAGTTTGTCCAGCCCACTGCTCATGGGCCGCATATGGCCCAGGACATCTTTGAACGTGGACTAACACAAATTCGTAAACCCTCTTAAAACATTATAAGATTTTTTTGCAATTTTTTAAAAACTCATCAGCTATCACTAGTGTATTTTACGCATGGCCCAAAGGCAATTCTTCTCCTTCCAGTGTGGCCCAGGGAAGATTGCACACCCCTTCTGAAGTAAAGCCTATGTGCCACTTTACACTGGCTGATGGAGAAACAGACACAATCCAAGGTTTTGTCATTCTTGTCTGTTAGTAAAAGACATGGTCAGTTAGCCTGAGGAATTAGTTAAGTCCTGCATCCCACACACGCACTCATTACACAGTGAAAGATTATTTAGGCAAGAAACAACTGCTACAAACATATTTTAAAGTCACATTGCTCTTTTAGAGTTAATAAATATAAACTCTGAAAATATTGTTATGCAGATAGATCAAGTCTCAGACTTCAGAAAAATGACTTTCTGCTGTACTTTAATGGCCTGCTACCCATCTGGTCTCAGGTTTAGCAAAGAACCGTGGAAGGAGGAATTGAGTAAGGGTCCAGGGCGGTGGAATGTTAATCCTGGAGCTCCAGCCAGCAAACCCAGGCTCCCATATTTAGAAACGAGGATTTGCTCTGTCCCTATTGGCCTTCGAATGCTCGTGGCAGTTGCTTTCAAACTGTAAAAATGAACAGTGAACAAAAATTTTCTTCCCCGTATCTTCTTTATTTTTCTAAGATTGTTATTTGTTTAAATAACAGTACATGTTGTGTAACAATGTTCTCAACTTCCTCCCATCCCAGCTGCCATTCCCACCGTGACTGGGCAGCAATGTTTACATGCATCCTATACTCTCAAAAAGGTGCCCAGATTTCACACTGCAACAGATAAAACTGACTTGCATTATGCATATTTTCCAAGTGCCCACCTGTAATTCCACCCCAACTACGGTCACATTTATTGAACACTTACTATGTGCCTAGTACCTAAGTACATTACATGTATTTGACTAATTTAATCTCCACAGCAACCTATAAGATATTATGATCTTTACCTTACATATGAGGAAACTGAGGCACACAGAGTTTAAGTAACTTCAAGGTCACACAGCTAGTAAGTGGCAGCACTGGGATTCAAACCCAGATAATCTGGTCTCAGAGCCTCTGTGCTGACACTGTTTTCAGAATGCACGTGAGCAAAATATTATCATGGAGATAATCTGCTGTACCATATTTTAGGTTTATCATTTGCAAATGATAGCATCTTGTCATTAATAATCAATGACTTAGAATGTATCTCACAGTTGATAGGGACTCACTAGATATTCACAGAACTTCACCAACACATAAGAACTTCAATGTCTTGAACAACCCCAAATATCTAATGGTTTAAACTTTAACTGGTGAAAATGCCTTGAGAATTTATTGCTTTCCTACCCAATATTATGGAAAGTAAAAACTTAGCTTTTCCATTAATTTTCAGTAAGATATCGTTGCAACAGTTTTCTTTTTCTGTATTTCTATTAGAGTGAAGGTCTTTATGGTATGAAAACTGAATATTCTCCTCTAACAATGTTTGTTATCAATGAATCAAAACTCTTTCAAATCCTGATGTTTCCTAAGAAAAAAGAAAACCCAGAAGTCAAATACCTGGCCTGTGCCTACAGGACTGTGGGAACCAAAGACACAGCTTCAGCCTTCAGAAGTAAGAACTACCACTTACTCTATTGAAAAAAAAAAAAAAAACTGCTTTGAAAAACTAATTAAAATGAGAAGTTTTAAGTGTCTCAGATGTAAAATCATGATTATGTGAAAGGTACTTTCAAGGTGAATTTTAATTTTCAGAACGTCACTTGAATTAATTTAGCCTCTTAAATATCTGTCTTCTTTTCACAGAAGATATCAATAGCAGAGAAAACATTTTATGAATTGTAGTAACGTAGCTTTTTGAATGATATTCAAAAGGCATATCAGAAAGAAACAGAAAGATAAACCAAATACAATTTTACAAGAAAAAAACTTGTTTTACTTACCCTGTGTTATCTTCTGAAAGTAACTCAAAAGGTAGGCTTTTTTTTTTAATCTAATTTCGTTCACCTTTAAAATGTGATTGCATTTCAAAGTAGATTCTATTTTAACAACTTCCTTTCTAGAAAACATTTAAAGACAAAGTCAAGCAATGCCATCTACAGGTGGCCTTTAGAACAACAGATGTTTCTATAACCCATACTCTTCTTTAAAATACCTATAATCTGTCATATCATATTTTGCATCATTTAACAAGGAAATTTTCAAGAAAGGTAAGAAAAAATTAAAAGATATGCTGTGTATAAAAAAATTCCCACTAACATTCTGGATTAATAGTTCTTACTTTAAAATAACCTAGGCCAGGTGCAGTGGCTCACGCACATAATCCCAACACTTTGGGAGGCTGAGGAGGGTGGATTGCTTGAGGTCAGGAGCTCCAGACCAGCTTGACCAACATGGTGAAACCCCATCTCTACTAAAAATACAAAAATTAGCTGGGTGTGGTGGCAGGTGCCTGTAATCCCAACTATTTCAGAGGCTGAGGCAGGAGAATCGCTTGAACCTGGGAGGCGGAGGTTGCAGTGAGCCAAGATCACACCATTGCACTCCAGCCTGGGTGACAGAGTGAGAGTCCGTCTCGAAACAAAACAAAACAACAAAAAACTAATTTCATTTCCAACTTCACCAAACATATGATCCATGGACCCTTGGTTATAAACTGTGGCAGATTAAAATGCAAAGTTATGCAACCTCAAAGATGTTTAAAGTTATAACTGGTGTACAGAAGAGACTCAAGTCATTGGAGACTGGACCTGCAACAATTTTTAACTGTTGAATCCCCCTTCCTTCTTGAGTAGCATCACCTTTGCCTTCTTGGCCAGATTCTCTAATTTTCAGATTATATTTATAGTCTATTTCCATTTCCAAAGTTCAGTCCTGTTTATTTTAAAACCTCCTATTTCATACAAGGTTCCACATCGGATTCCAAGTGGTTTTTTGTCCGTATGTACTAGGGGCCCACTCTATTCACAGATGGTTTGCTTTTTATATACTTTCTTCTTTCTTTGCTCTCTTCTCCTTGGGAAGTAGATGCTAAACGGATAAAAGAGGTTTCCTTGTTGCAGTGGTTCTCAATTTAAGGCAAACATTAAGACCATCTGGAACCCCTTAACAAAACTACTATGCCTCTGATTAAACTGGACTGGGATAGGGCCTGAACATGGGTTTTGTGTGCTTTTAATTTTCCACGTGCAGCCTGGTTTGAGAAACACTGCCTTACTATGGGGTTGCAACCCTTTCCCTAATTGGCTATAACTGCATTCTGATAAGTAGTTTCCGAGCTCCATTGTGCAGAGGCAACCCACACTTGCCCACAGGCCAAGGCATTGGCAGTCCCTTGGGATTTGGGAATTAGCTGTGTCCTGGCTGAGCCCCAGCTAGTGGCATCACCTTATCCATTGCACTTGCCTTTTAAACCACGTCGTCCCCTCCTTCATGTTGTTGCAGAAGTCTTCTAACCCTCAATTCATGCATCATTTCTCAGGCTGGCAGAGTGCATCTTCAATACCCCTCAGCCTTACAGTTCCCACATCACTCCTCTAATTCTGTCTCCATGCTTCGGAATCTGCTGCTGGTGGGTAAACACAAATCCAGCCAGAAAGAGAAATACTGGTCTCCCATACTTGCAAACATCTTGAATCTCTAGTTACTTCCTCAGGCCTTCCTCCTGCGGTTTTGTTTTTTTGAGATAGGGTCTCACTGTCACCCAGGCTGGAGTGCAGTGGTGCAATCATGGCTCACTGCAGTCTCAACCTCCCTGGGCTCAGATGAACCTCCCACATCAGCCTCCCTAGTATGGATGGGACTACAGGTGTACACCACCACACCCAAGTAATTTTTTGTATGTTTTGTAGAAACAGGGTCTTGCTATGTTGCCCAGCCTGGTCTCAAGCTCCTGGGCTCAAGTGATCTGCCTGCCTTGGCCTCCCAAAGTGCTGGGATTACAGGCATGAGCCACCTCACCCAGCCTCCTCCTGTGGTTTGTGAGTGCAGGTACAACTTGTTATCTCTCCACATTCGAAAGCCCAAAAGACTAAATTACATTCCCTAACAATGGACTCCTCCGAAAGGAGACCTCTTCCAGAGCTCCCCAGCTGTCTGTGGAATAGTAGTTGGTGATGGAGCATGTTCTCTGAACTGGCCACCTTCAGTAAGCCCTGTAGCATTCACTGGTCCTAACCATCAGTGGTCGAATCTTAGAATGTGAGGATTGGCACCCTGACTTCAGTTTTGGCCTTATTCCAGAACAAGAAAGATATCCTATTTGACTTTTTTTTTTTTTGAGACGGAGTCTTGCTCTGTCACCCAGGCTGGAGTGCAGTGGCTCCATCTCAGCTCACTGTAGCCTCCACCTCCAGGGTTCAAGCTATTCTCCTGCCTCAGCCTCCCAAGTAGCTGGGATTACAGTGCACGCCACCATGCCAGGCTAATTTTTGTATTTTTAGTAGAGACAGGGTTTCACCATGTTGGCCAGGCTGGTCTCCAACTCCCGACCTCAGGAGATCCGTCTGCCTCGGCATACAGGCGTGAGCCACCGCGCGTGGGGCCTATTTGACTTTGAATTACAAATTTCCTCTACAGTCAGTACTTAGGTGAGTTCTCCAGAAGCAGAGAGGAATGTATGCAAATGATTTATCAAGGTTAAGTAAAGGAATGGGAATAGCCGAACAGGAAGGGGGAGGAAGTCAAGCAAGAGTGTGATTTTGGCAAAGCTGCACAGAGGCCGACTTCAGCCCGACTCCTCCAGGAAATTAGTGAAGTTTCATTTTTCTGAACTAAAAGAGCTGGGTTTTCATACAGTAAAATCAAGGGGGACTTCAGGCCAAAGACCCACAGATAGTGTGTGTTAAAAGAGGGCCAGGTGCAGTGGCTCATGGCTAGTAATCCCAGCACTTTCCGGGGCTAAGGAGGGTGGATCACTTGGCTCCAGGAATTTGAGACCAGTCTGGGCAACATGGTGAAACCCTGACTCTACAAAAAATACAACAAAGCTAGCCAGCTGTGGTGGCGCACCTGTAGTTCCAGCTACTAAGGAGGGTGAGGTAGGAGGATCACCCAAGCCTGGGAAGAGTAGGTTGCAGTGAGCCAAGATTGTGCCACTACTGCACTCCAGCCTGGGCAACAGAACAAAACCCTGTCTCAAAAAAAAAAAAAAAAAAAGAGAAAGCAGGAGGGCATAAAAACTGGAGGGTGAAAAGACATTTAAGGAACCTGGGTGGACTATTATAGTCAAGGTCAAACTTATTTTTACAAATTTCATGTTATAAAACAAGCTAAAAAGTGGTCATTTGTCCTAAGACATCATTAATAACAGCTAGCACTATCTGTACCTCACAAAGCACCACAGATTTAGGTTACACTGCCTTGCAAACTGCTTAATGAAATGCTAAGGACAGTATGAACAAAGTATCTTGGCGGGGGGGAAACCAGCAAAGGAAACTTTTAAGACTGAAATAAACCTGAAAGGAATGAACTGATTTCTTGACTTGTATCCTTAATGTCTCTAAATAGGGCTGCTTTTGCTCCTGTTAACTGTTTAGATGTTCACTTTCTTCAAAGGTATTTCTGAAATTCACAGTCACAAGGTCTCAAAAACAATGTTTATTTTAACACATAAAATGTACCATCTAGCACCAATGCCTATAAATACCAGAATTCCATCCGGTTACTACTCTTTGGAACAAGTATGATTAAAGTCCTTGACAGATTATTGTATATGAGCGAATGGCTTCATAACATAAAACAGAGAGACACAGAACAGAAATTCATTTGGTATATACATATAGAACTACATTTGTAGTTATTCAAAAACCTTTCACTGCTTCATGTAAACAATACCAGTATTTTTAAGCCAGATTTTCCTGGAACATATACATAAAGTGCATGAGCCACGTAAGTGCATAAGCCTGAAACTGGTCTTTCTATTCTCACTCCATGCTCAAATGAAAAATCTGTAAAGATATCTTTTGTTCCTCCAATCTTCTGATTTGTCTTCTTAGCAACTCATTACAGTACAATTTACTGATTAAATCACATAGATATGTATGGTGGAGGAAAAGAAAACTTTGGCTAATATAAGTATACAAGACAATATCTCAGTTCTTTTTAAAATTAAAAGAACATTTCAGTATTAAAGATATTTTAAAAGAAATGAAGTGGAAAATACAAATGATAAATATTGTATAATTATGTACAAAATGAAAACCTTTTAAACTCTGAAGACAAACTAAAATTTACTAGTTTGAATTTAAAACATTATTATATAATAGCAGATAGTTCTCTTCAGAAATTTATCTCTAGCTTCCTGTAAAAGGTCCAGTCAAATCATGTTGGCTGTTTTTGGCAGATTTCAGCCTCGCCTCAATACCAATTTTTATTTGAATAACTGATTCCCAACATTTAAGAAGAACTTGATGCTGAACTAAGTAACCTAAGCTGGATTCAGGGCCATTGGCAGGCAGGCAGGCAAGCAGGAATTTTTCGTATTGCAGACAGCCCCTGGTGGTCATCATCTATACATCGGATCTCTAAGGACGTGCCGGAAAAAAAAATCTGTGAACACAATCTTCCCATGCTGTATTCACATGCTCTATTCACATCTTTAGTTTACCCAGGTTGTTAGAGCCTTGGGTAAGATGATTAAAGGCTTCACGATGGAAATTTCTATAACAAAAAAAAAGGAAACTTAAAAGATTGATTTACCACAAACTATTTACTGGGTATTTAATAATGCCTAATATGCCTCATAATGCCTAGTATGCCTAGTATAACAGTGGCTACATGCAATTCAAGTGAACAACCATGCATGTTTATAGATGGTTCTTTGCTGACACCTAACAAGCAACTGAAGAAAGAACAGATGCATTGGACATTATCAAAATTAAAATATATGTGCTTCAAAAGACACAACATAGGCCGGGTGTGGTGGCTCACACCTGTAATCCCAGCACTTTGGGAGGCTGAGGTGGCAGAGCACTTGAGGCCAGGAGTTCGACACAAGCCTGGCCAACCTAGTGAAACCCAATCTCTACTAAAAATACAAAAAAATTAGCTGGGCGTCGTGGCACATGCCTTTAGTCCTAGCTACTTGGGAGGCTCACACAGGAGAATCACTTGAACCTGGGAGGCAGAGGTTGCACTGAGCCAAGATCATGCCACTGCACTCCAGACTGGGTGACAGTGCGAGACTCTGTCTCAAAAGAAAAATAAGAAAATAATAAATTAAGAAAATACAAGACACACTATTGAGAAAATGAAAAGACAACCCACAGAATGGGAGAAAATATTCACAAATAATGCATCTGTAAGTGTTTAGTATTCAGAATGTATAAGGAACTCTCACAACTCAAAGTAAAAAGACAAATAAGTCAATCTGAAAATGGGCCAAGCATTTCTTCTAAATACAGAAAAGATACCCAACATCATTAGTCATTAGAGAAATGAAAACCACAGTTTAGAGACTATCTCATACCCAGTGAGATGGGTATAATTAACAAATGTTGGTAAAAATGTGGAGAAAACTGGAACCCTTATACACTGCTAGTGAGAACGTATAATGGTATGGTAGATTAGGAACACAGTTTGGCAAGTCTTCAAAAAGTTAAACAGAGTTCCCATATAACCTTGCAGTTCTCCTCTAGGTATATACTCAAGAGGTCTGAAAACATGTTCACACAAAAATTTGTAGATGAACGTCCATAGCAGCATTATTCATCTCATCAATGGATGGATAAGGTGTGGTACAGCCACATAAAGGAATATTATTCAGCCACAAAAAGGAGTTAAGTGCTAATGTGTGCTACAATGTAGATAAGGCTCGAGAATACTGTGCTGAGTGAAAGAAGACAGTCACAAGAGGCCACACAGTATGTGACTTGTTACATATGACATGTGCAGAATAGGCAAATCCATAGAGATTAGTGGCTGCCAGCAGCTGGGGACGGGGGTAACAGGGAGTGACTGCTAATGGGTAAGAGGCTTCTCTGGGGGGTGAAATCATTAAAAATTAGAAAGTGGTAATTTACACAACTATGTGAATATACTAAAAACCACCAAATTGTACACCTTAAAAGCGTGAATTTTATGGTATGTGAGTTACATCAACTAAAAAATAAGAGTTTTTTTTTTTGGCCGAAAAAAAAAAAAAAGCCTCTATATTTAGGAAACACAAAATCTTTCTGCCTCCAAAAAATTCTACTTTTAAAACTGCACAACAGCTTCAGTTAACACTAGATCCCTTAAAGCACAAAACAGTTTTTTTTGTATCTGTGGCACCATGCCACATAAATGTTAATCTGAATAATCCCGCTGCTGCCTTTTTACTTAGATTTAGTCCTAACACCTACTTCTGTTCCCTAAGTTTTATTTGCTTTTGACTAGAATTCATATAATCAGAAAACTTTACCACAAACATAATCAAAGCAAAGATGATAGAAAAAGTGTGGGCTTATTGAATCTAGCATCCTTAATTCATAAAACTAATCATCTCCCTGCCTTACACTAGTCACATATACCAAAGGTGCTGGAAATACAAAAATAGATGAAAGGCCAGGCGCAGCAGCTCACACCTGTAATCCCAACAATTTGGGAGGCCGAGGTGGGCAGGTCACTGGAGTCCAGGAGTGCAAAATCAGCCTGGACAACATGGCAAAACCCTGTCTCAACAACAACAAAAAAAATACAAAAATTAGCTGGGCATGGTGGTGCATGCCTATGGTCCCAGGTACTCAGGAGGCTGAGGTGGGAGGATCACTTCTTGAGCCTGCAAGGCAGAGGCTGCAGCAAGCCGAGATTGCACCACTGTACTCCAGCCTGGATGACAGAGTGAGACCCTATTTCAAAAAAAAAAAAGGATGAAGTACAATTCTTCCCTCTTTCTACAGGCTCAAACCCTAGGTGTCACTGAGGCAACCTGCATAAAATGTGATTGTTATACAGGGTAAAACATGCACCAAGAAGCGGGAAAATACATAAATTCTACTTAATTGAGTGCATTTATCTTTTATGGACTCATCTGCCTTGTTGTATTTCATTTCCTGTAAACAATTTTTAATAAGGAAAAGTTCACAAAGGTAAGAGCAGGCATTTTAAAATCTCACAGAGATAAAAGAAACTTATAAATAGCTAATAACTTGTCTGAGGTAATACCCAATTATAGAGCTATACAATTTACGCCTATGGAGAAGCTGGAAAAGGCCTTTAAAAGCGAAGCCTGGCCAGGTATGGTGGCTGATGCCTGTAATCTCAGAACTTTGGGAGGCCGAAGTGGGCGGATCACTTGAGCCCAGGAGTTCGACACCAGTCTAGGCAACACGGTGAAACGTGTCTCTACTTAAAAAATACGAGAAAAAAAAAAAAAAAAAAAAAAAAAGCCTGGCTTTAGAGCAAAAACCCAAGGCAAGATAGATTAAATTATCTTGACAATGAAGTTACTGCCTGAGTCCAGTGAATCATTAGAGCTGTTTCTCCACATCAAAATCAACGCCCATACCACACATATGCCCTGAAATAGTGTCCAGCTGATGAAACCTCCTTGGAGAATGAAGAACTGAGAATGTTATTTACCGATTTTTTCTTTCTGATGTATATAATATGAATATCTTCACTTCGATACTCTTCATCATGTTTTTCCAAAGGAATTTTTTCAAAGTCAAAATCTAGCTGAAGGAGCTATAAATTTAAAAGAGACATACTTCAAATTCAATAATATGAACTGACCTGTGGGTGACAGAAGTCAGAATGCTGGTTACTTTTTTTTTGAGAGTCTCACTCTGTCACCCAGGCTGGAGTGCAGTGGTGCGATCTTGGCTCACTGCAACCTCCACCTCCCTGGGTTCAAGTGATTCTCCTGCCTCAGCCTCCTGAGTAGCTGGGATTACAGGCAAACGACACCACACCCAGCTAATTTTTGTATTTTTAGTAAAGAAAGGGTTTCACCATGTTGACCAGGCTGGTCTCGAACTCCTGACCTCATGATCTGCCCATCTCGGCCTCCCAAAGTGCTGGGATTACAGGCGTGAGCCACCGCGCCTGGTCAGTGGTTACCTTTTGAGTATTGCCTGGGAAAGGGCAGTGTGCAAACCTTCCAAGATCCTGAAAATGTCCTCTATCTTTATGTTGGTAAGTAGTTACTTGGGTGTATACATATGAAAAATTAAGCTCAGCACTTGACTGATACATATGCATTTTACATATGCTTTACCCCAATAAAAGCTGTTTAACAGTACGAAATTTTCATTATGCATCATTTCAAAAGTTCATGAACATTTTTCATATTCAAGAAAAACATGAAAATAAACAAACATTTTAGTATTTGTTACCTGAGGCAGTCATATACCTGCTTTCTCATTAAACCAAAGTAGTCCTTCCAGCAGACAAAACTGCAGGCCTATATAGATGTACCCTCAAAAGGAGTCACTCACAATGTGATAGATTTGTGCCCATATAAGGGTTTGGGTGATCACTAGGGGAAGAAGAGTGACAGATACATAAAACCCTATATACTATATTTTGCAACTTCCTGTAAGTCTTTTCTAACTATTTCAGACAAAAAGTTTAAAAAACAAAAAAAAAGACCCTAAAAATAGACAGGTATCTAGGTTGGAGGTTTCATAAATATGTAGAGAAAAACACAGAAGTAAAAACTTATCACTTGGCAACATGGGAAAACCCCATCTCTACAAAAAAATACAAAAAGTTAGCCGGGTGTGGTGGTACATGCCTATAGTCCCACTTACTTGGGGGCGGGGGGGGGGGGGGGTGACACTGAGGCAGGAGGATCACTTGAGCCCAGGAGGTTGAGGATGCAGTGAGCCCTGACTGTGCCACTGCACTCCGGCATGGGCTACAGGGTGAAACCCTGTCTCAAAACAAAAACAACTTATCACCTGCACATTTCTATCACGTATTCTCCAAAGGTAATACATACATCATTGAGATGTTCCCCAAAGGCAGCATCATGTTTAATAAACACTGAAAACTGTTCTTAAAAAGGAGTGGCACCCGTATTAACATTCTTCTGTAGCCATAGATCAACTAATTAGAAATGAAATAAAGTATCAGAAAAGATGAAAAAGGGGAGCTTCGTAGAATCATGGGCTGTGAAGATCCTTTCCTCAGCTTCACACAAACAGCATGTTTTCCCCACCCAAAATTACCATAATATACTTGAAGAGTCACATACAGCCCCCCTGAAGGGAAATCACTACAAAGATAATAGAGTACTTAATACTTACCTCAAAATATTTTTTCTCAATTTCTGGATTTTTCCCCATTGTTCGTTGTTCATAACAACATATAATACAAGTTTCAAATCCGCTGATATCTTTTAGAGTTTTCAGCAATGGCTCCAAAGACTATTTAAAAAAGAATATATTTTTTGTTTTTGATTTAAAAATTTTTCTACTCTAAAAGTAGGTTGAGGAGGTACAGGGGTATTTATAGCTCCCCTACAATTTATCCATCTTTGAATCAATCCAACAAAGCACATGTAATTAAAGCTCTAGGCTAGGTGCAGTGGCTCACACCTGTAATATCAACACTTTGGAAGGCAGAGGTGGAAAGATCGCTTGAAAGCAGGAGTTGAAGACCAGCCTGGAGAATACAGCGAGAGACAAACCACCCCCCGCAACACCTTACAAAAAATTTAAAAATTAGCCAGCATGCTGGTGCACACCTATAGTCCCAGCTATTGAGGAGGCTGAATGGGAGGATTACTTGAGCCTCAGGAGCTCGAGGTTACAGTGAGCTATGATCACTCCACTGCACTACAACATGTGTGACAGAGCAAGACCCCTATCTTAAAACAAAAACAAACAAACAAAAACCCCTCTGTAACTAATGATTGGGTAAGCTCCTGTTAACTAAACCATGTACTGATTTTGGTTTCCAGAAAAAGGATTCAGATGACTGCATTTTGGAGTTCTCATGGGAAACAAATGGAATCAACCTTACTCTTAAAAGTTTAATTTTATTTAATCTAATTTGGGATTTAAATAATCAACGATTTCCCTACAAAAGTTAAATCTGACCCTAACTTGGTTCAATGCTAATTATTTTTAAAATAATCGATGCCCACAACACTATACAAACTGATGTTTTTTTTTTTTTTTTTTTTTTTTGAGACAGAGTTTTGCTCTTGTTGCCCAGGCTGGAATGCAATGGCATGATTTCGGCTCACTGCAACCTCCGCCTCCCAGGTTCAAGCGATTCTCCTGCCTCAGACTCCCAAATAGCTAGGATTACAGACATGCACCACCACGCCTGGCTAATTTTGTATTTTTAGTAGAGACAGGGTTTTGCCATGTAGGTCAGGCTGGTCTCGAACTCCCGACCTCAGGTGAGCCACCTGCCTTGACCTCCCAAGTGTTGGGATTACAGGCGTGAGCCACCGCGCCCGGCCCAAACTGGTATTTAAAGAAAAGAACAATGAATTATTTATAACTTAATTCTCAATGTCATGGTTAACATGTTCCGTGGGAACAACCAAGGGAAAAAGAGAGGATTTTGGCTTTTCATAACATCCAATTGGCAAAATCCTTTAAAATTTTTACAGAAGCCTCTAGTAAAATGCATATAACACTTTTCTCAACATGCTTCACCAGGTCGGTATGATAATGATGAGCGTATATACATATGGTCCCTGGTGACTTTTATCTTCTCTTTACTGCATCAACTATAAGGCAAATCCCGGATTCAAAGATGTTAAAATGTGAAGAAACGTGTGCTTTAGAATTCATGGAATAAGGTTCATCTTCTAAGTGAAGAGACTTCGCTCACTGGATACTTACCTCTTCATAGTATATGCAGTCGGCCATCAGTATGAAGTCGGGTGGAGAAGGAAAGCCTTCTATTTCTTCCCCCCTTAAAAATGCCAAACAAATATTTCAATTGTTTTAATAATTCAAAATACTCTTGTTTTATAAAGAACCGGAAAGTCCCCTTCCATCCTTTTAATGAAACGCAATTCAAAACAAACTACAAATCAATATCTTAAAACAAGCTGAAAGGCCATACAAACCATTTCAGTACCTTGGCTTGAACAGAACCAGTGACAAGATGCTTGTTCATATTAATATTCATCTTCAGCAAGTCTTGCAATTCCTCAAGATCGGTGACTACAACATCAGCCCTATAAAATAACGTCGACTGAGGTGTAGGCACAGGGGGGAAAGCCTGTAATCCGGATTTCCCCAGCAAGAAGGCGCCCCCACATCCCGCCCGCCCGCCAGCTCTTACCCGAGGGTAGCAGCCATGAGCCCCACGGCCCCGGTGCCCGAACCCAGCTCCAGCACCGACCGCCGGCTCAGCGCGTGGGCCCCGTCGCCAGAAAACTCGGGCGTTTCCAGGTATTTAGAAAGGACAATGGCAGCGTCCCACACAACGCAACCCACGCCACCGGAGCTATACTGCTGTAGTCGTAGCACTGTACCATCCCGCTTCTCCAAAACTCGCACAAAGCTCCGCAGTGGGTCCTCCAGCGAGGACTCCAGCGTATCCGCCATTGCGCCCGGCAACAGAAAGCGGCGCGCGCAGGGACGTCACATCAACGCGCACCGCCCCGCCCTGCGGCTCCGCCCCCTGCCCGCCGCTGAGTTGGCGACGCAGCGCGCGCGAGTTAACAAAGCCCGGAAGGCAGCGTTACCTGGGCGGGGCCGAGCGTGGGGCCCCTGCTTACCCGACGCGCTTGGCAGCCTCCCTCTACCCTAAATCACACGTTTGGCTTAACGAAGAGGCCGTTTAAATCACTTTCCCAGACAAAACTATTATAATCTGCTCTTTAAAAAACAAAGCCAACCTCAGAGTTTACCAAGTTGGACACTTGATTTACATAGTAGTTACAAGGCTTAAATGCAATCAGCTTCCAAGATCCTACCAAAGATGGCTATAATCTTACAATCTTCCTTTTCAAGTTCCTAGTATGCTCCTAGTTTTTTGTATGAATTCATAAAAGTGGTTGCTAGAAGCCTGCAGCTCACATTTAACAGTGAAGAAAAAATTGTGTGTGTGTGTGTGTGTGTCTATAGGACTCAACAATCTCCCCCTTTGTTCCTTATAATGAAAACACATATTTTAAAAGTCTTTTAAAAATTAAGACTGGGGTGATTTATTAATCTTGTTAAGAACTCTGATACAAAGCACAGTAAAAGGCCACAAACCAGTAAATAAACAACGTGGCTTTTGGCTACTTTACAACTGCTGCTACAGCACTATCAGCAAAACACTCTATCACTTTGAACGAAGGCATCCAAATGGCAAATAAAAGCTTTACTCACTTATCTGATTAAAATGTTTAATAAAGCTTTAAGTATTTGCTGGTTTAAATATTACCAATCTAAAAAATATATTTAAAAAAAATTTCAGTTAACACGAGATTTATAGAGAAAGTTACTAGGTCTTGAAGGCAAGGCAGTTGGTTCCTATGCCATAGAATTTTTTTTGAATTTATGAATTAGTAAAGTAGCAGATTGTATTATAGGCCTCAAGTCACTTAAATTTATATAGGTTATTAGCAGTATCTTTAAATATACAATATAAACAAAACTGTACATACATGGCATATTAACTGTTTTCCATAACAATAGGCAATTCATTAGCTAAAGACGTCATAGTCTGCAAAAACAAAAGGCACATCTGAATGAGATACATGCCCTTTTTCCCTCCATCATTGGGTTATGTAGTCTTTGTTTACATTTTGACAAAATAATAAACACTTACAGTGCCATTCTATTATTTTCATCCTACTTTTCATTTTTGTCTTCAGCAGCAAATACCGGCATTTAAGACATGGCATTAAAGAGTTTAAGAACAGTTGGTGTTATTCACAATTCTCCTAGATGTAAAAACTAGAAGTAAAAACTAGAAGATGGTCAAAGAGGTTTAAAAATCAGTAACACCATATACCCCTCCCATATTTGTGTAAATTCACTGCCTTAAAAAGGCATCTATTACTCAAATTTGAAAAATTTCACAAAAGCACTATCCCTTTTCAGTGCAATCATGTCACTTTAAACCATATTTTTGCAGAGTTTACAGTGCAAATATAAATTCTTTATACTGGCCTTTTGGCAGCACTGAGGATCCAAGACAAGGCAATGCTACTGATCACCTGAGGATAATGGTGAAGGACTTTTGTATTTTTATTTTTCCAATTCTTAAAAGCTTATTTGATCAGTAGCATTTTTGTAAGAGCATTATTTGTAAAAAGTACTAAAATACTATGTCTTTTTTTGAATAAATTAAAAAAAAAACTTTACAAATACCATTCCAGTGTCAATGACTACATATGGCTAAGGTCATTGGGGAGTTTCTGCATTTTCTAGCAAAGGCAGTCTGTACAATGGGGGGTGCGAAAGCTCCCGTTTGTAAGTCTTTGGTGGCAGTTTTGGCAGATGAGGGCTTGAATTCTGCCTTGGTGGAACAGGGGGAGCTGGAGGATGAGCAAGATTATTCTGACTAGAACTGAGCACATAGCATCGACGCGGTACCCTTGGAGAGGGTGTGCTAGGAGGAGTGCTTGGCGAATTTGGACACGTACTAATGTCTCTGAGCCAGTCTGAATCTCTGTGAAGATGCCCCAGTGGAGGTGGCTGAAGATTAAATGGACAGTTTATAAAGTGTTCTGGAGGCCGAAGGGGAACTGGTGGAGGGGTATCAGGAAGAGGATCTCTTGGTGGTGGCGGAGGTGGACTATGCAGAGGCCCATCAAATGCACCAGTAGGAACAGGAACTCTGGGTTTTACCTTTGGAGGAGGAGGCTGTCTCGGTGGAATAGCAGGAGGATCATCATCAGATTTCATATTTCCCTCAAAAAAAAAAGTAATTAAATTATACCTCTATTCTGAAAAATTAAAAAAAAAAATTTTTAAGTCTGAAAAATTCTTACTTGTCAAGTTAAATTCAGAGGCTCAAAATAAACTAATCTGGGTTAATTATCAGATTATGAGTACTCCTAGATTAATTCAGGGCTGGGTTTAATATTTTTATATATGAGATGTTTTAATTTAAGTCTTAGGTCCTAACTCTTTATCTTGCTTTGTGTATACATTTCAGAAATTTATGTATTTTAATTATAATAGTAGGTAAGTGACAATAATTTATTGCTTTATAGACATGAAAGGACATGATGTCTAGAGGACTTTAATGTCTAGCTTCTGCTTACTGGGCATCTACTGCTACTTTCTCCAGTGAGGCTTAGAGCAGTAGATCTCAAAGTGTGATCCAGAGACCAACAACATCAGCATCAGTAGGGAACTTGTTAGAAAAGCAAATTCTTGGGCCCCATCCTAGACTACTGAATCAGAAACTCTGGAGGTGTGGCTCCACAGTCTGATTTTACCAAGCCTTTCAGGTAATTCTGATGCACCCTTAAAATTTTGAGAAGCATTAGTTGAAAGTTTGAAGAATACTTGGAATACTACTGAAGTTTTTTTCCACCTGTACCAGAAAGAAAATGTACTTCCAGCCTCTTTTTTATTTTTTTATTTTTATTTTTAGTTTTTGAGACAGAGTCTTGCTCTGTCGCCCAGGCTGGAGTGCAATGGTGCGATCTTGGCTCACTGCAACCTACCTTCACCTCCCAGGTTCAAGTGATTCTCCTGCCTTAGCCTCTTGAGTAGCTGGGATTACAGGTGCCCGCCACCATGCCCGGCTAATTTTTGTATTTTTAGTAGAGACAGGGTTTCACCATATTGGCCAGGCTGGTCTTGAACTCCTGACTTCAGATGATCTGCCTGCCTCAGCCTCCCAACCAGCCTTTTTTTTTTTTTTTTTTTTTTTTGAGACAAGAGTTTTGCAATTGTTGCCCAGACTGGAGTGCAGTGGCACGATCCTGGCTCACTGCAACCTCCAACTCCCAGGTTCAAGCGCTTCTCCTGCCTCAGCCTCCCCAGTAGCTGGAATCACAGGCACCCGCCACCACACCCAGCTAATTTTTTGTATTTTTAGTAGAGATGGGGTTTCATCATGTTGACCAGGCTGGTCTCGAACTCCTGATCTCAGGTGATCTACCCGCCTGGCATGAGCCACTGCGCCCGGCCCAGCCTCTTATTTAGAAAAGGTTTTTATAAGGATTAAACAACTAAAAGTATTTTTCAAATATAACAACCCAAATGCTGAAAAACCATAAATGGTAGCCAAAGTATAATTCACAGACTCTTTATAACACTAGGCATTATTTTGAAGATTCACAACTTTGAATAAGTTGGAGTAAAGTCCTGTTGATTACCTTGGAATTTGAAGCATCATGATCAAACTTTTTTCGAGGAGGAAGAGGAGGAGGAATCAGGGGCTCTTCACTTAGTTTATGTAAACTACCACATGAACTAAAGAAAGACTCTGGGGGAGAAAAAGACTAGTTTAACCACAATTCACAGTATAAGATAAACCTTTATCACAATTTGTGATCGATACTTCTACCATGGCATTTGTCAGACTGTATCAACTATTGGTTTATCTATCTTCCCCCATTAAATTGTAAGCTTTCTGCAGGGAGTGTGTATTTATTTCTGTGTCTCTAGCACCAACCATAGTGCCTGGGGCATGATGGGTACTTCAGCTAAATGAAGGTGTACTATTTAATTATGATTAATGAGATTCTGCTCCCTGAAAAGCCTTTCACAAATCAAAACAAAACATGTCTAAATACACTGTAGTAACTTCCAAAGAAAGACCATCCTAATCAGAGACCTTTTTTTTTTTTTTTTTTTTTGAGACGGAGTCCCACTCTGTCGCCTAGGCTGGAGTGCAATGGCACGATCTCGGCTCACTGCAACCTCCGCCTCCCGGGTTCAAGCAATTCTCCTGCCTCAGCCTCCTGAGTAGCTGGGATTACAGGTACCCACTACCACCCCCAGCTAATTTTTGTATTTTTAGTAGAGACAGGGTTTCACCATGTTGGTCAGGCTGGTCTCAAACTCCTGACCTTGTGATCCGCCCACCTCGGCCTCCCAAAGTGCTAGGATTACAGGCATGAACCACCGTGCCCTGCGAGACCGTATATTTTTGAAGCAGCTATGATTGGGCACATCACCACACAGGTAATAAAACCCTCCATATAGGAACCCATAAGGTAGTGTTATATCACATAACTCTTTGTCTTTGCAAGTCTCTCACTGATAATGTACACGTTATATAACTACATTAAAGGAAATTTACAAAATGATAAATGACAGGAAAATACCCCTAAACAGATCAACCAGACATATAATAATTACTATCTTCATTTTAATTTTTTCTATAGTTCAACTTCCCATTTGATCTCTCTATATTCACACAGTTGTTACAAAGGCAGCAACTATGTCTTATTTGTCATTATACTGAGATTGGGAACACAGGCGCTAACTGGGAAAGAAGTTGATAAGTTTAACTTTAAACACTCTAACTGAACTGCTTATGAGACATCCAAGTAGATATGTCAAACTAATTATTCTATGTCAAAAATTGCTATCCCGATCATGTGGCTCTGCAGTTACTTCCTGGGGGAGGGGGGGGAGTCCTGTTGACTCAGGGGGAAATAGCTGATACAAAAGGTACGCCTATGAGGTTGGCAGATGGTGTGGGGAGGTTAGGCAGAGGATGTTCCTAAACACTCTGAACTGAACTGCTTATGAGACATCCAAGTAGATATGTCAAACTAATTATTCTATGTCAAAAATTGCTATCTCAGTCATGTGGCTCTGCAGTTACTTCTGCGGGGGTGTCCTGTTGGCTCAGGGGGAAATAGCTGATACAAAAGGTATGCCTATGAGGTTGGCAGATGGTGTGGGGAGGTTAGGCAGAGGATGTTCCTCAGACCTGCCAGCATTGTTTGTCCCGTCTTTGGGAGAACTCCTTTCGGTGGTGGTAAATCTGTCCCATTTGGTTTAGTTGGCCAATCCTGCCCAGGACACCCCAATTCAAGGCAAGGAATAGGCATGGGACTCACTTTCTTAACATGATCAGATTTTTATCTACCTCTCTTTCATGCAAGTAGCCATTTTTTTAGGGAAAGTGAACCTGACCCCTTAGCTCCAGGGATGGGGCCTAATTGGTATAAATCAATCAGAGTAATCCCATTCCTTTAGCCAGAGTGATGAGTTTAACTGTAGGCATGTAACCTAATTCAGACCAGTGAAATTTAAAAGGAGATATTCTGGGGGCTAATGGAAAGGAAGTTCCTTGCTCTTTTTTGGAAACGCATTCTGTCATACTGTCTTGTCTGTACTTCTCTCTATATATAATTTGACTGAACAAAGAAGCACACAACCTTTACTGCTCTTGCCAGTTATGATTTTGAGGGAAAACAGCTTTAAATCAAGCTGATAATCTGGACAAAACAATGAAGAGTGAAAAAGAACCCTGGGCTTTTTTTTTTTTTTTTTTTTTTGAGACGGTGTCTCGCTCTGTCGCCCAGGCTGGAGTCCAGGAACCCTGGTCTTTAATTACATCATCGAGTCACTGAATCAACCAGTCTTAAAGCAGCCTTCCTCTAGGCTTCCAAGTATGTCTGAGTGTTTTCTTATTGATTAAGCCAGTCTTAGGTGGTAACAGACACGCACACTCATGGAAGCAGATGATATGTGAATGATGGGAAAGCTATGAGAGCTCTGAATCTGGGTCTGACTCTACAGTCACCACTTAACCAGTATATTTCTCCACGGTAGGCAATCAATAACCCTTGCTGAAGTCTGAATGCAATTTAATTGTCTATCAAGAGCATTTCCCTACAAGACTACAGTCTTTATGAACTTTTTTAGTGCCTGCATTTATTCCAAACTGGTGAATATAGCAGAATTTACTAAACAATTTCTGTAATGTTAGTTAGCTATCTAAGTTACTTCTAATTTTCTGCCATTCATTCATTCATTCAACAGTTATTGGGCACCTGCTAATACTGTCAGGCACTGTCTGAAGCACTAGCAATATAACCGTGAACAAAACTCAAAAATTCACGTCCTTATGGAACTTATAATCTAGGTTAGGGAAAGATAAGTAAAAGTATGATGCCTATAAATTATGACAAGAAATATTTGGTTGGAAAGGGGTATAGAAAGAGGTGGGAGGGGAGCAACATAAATAGGGTGATTAGGGAAGGCTTCACTAAGGTAACAGCCTGAAGGAGGTAAGGGAGCAGGCTGTGAGGCTAAATGGCTGAAAAGTATTATAAACAGCAGGAATGGCAAGAGCAAAGCACTGATGCAATAATGTGTCTATTATGTTGAGGCAGACTGAGTGAAGGGGGAGAATAAGTGATGAGGTCTGACAGATCAAACAAGCCCAAACTGTGTAGGGCCTGTGCGTTCTTTAAAGGAACCGGCTTTCACTGTGAGTGAGATGGAAAGCCACCAGAGGGCTTTTTTTTTTTTTTTTTTGAGATGGAGTTTCACTCTTGTCGCCCAGGCTGGAGAGCAGTGGTGTGATCTCAGCTCACTGCAACCTCCGCCTCCCGGATTCAAGCAATTCTCCTGCTTCAGCCTCCTGAGTATGCTGGGATTACAGGTGCCTGCAACCAGGCCCAGCTAATTTTTGTATTTTTAGTAGAGACGGGGTTTCACCATGTTGGCCAGGCTGGTCTCCAACTCCTGACCTCAGGTGATCCGCCTGCCTTGGCCTCCCAAAGTGCTGGGATTACAGGGGTGAGCCACCGTACCCGGCCCACCAGAGGGCTTTAAGCACAAGTAAAACAAGGTCTAACTCAGATTCTAAAAGGATCATTCTGGCTGCTCTACTAAAAACATACTGAAGTGGAGAAGATAATAAGTCAGGATGCTTACTGTAATAAACAAGGTAAAAGTTATGGTGGCTTGGACCAGGGTGGCAGCAGTGGAGATGGCAAAAAATTGTTAGATTCTGGATATATTTTGAGAGTAGTCAAGATTTGTTGATAGGTCACATTTGGCGTGTGAGAAAGGGAGAGAAGTAAAAGATACTTCTATTACACTATTTTTAGCCTAAGTAACTGGATGCTTGTAATTAGAATGGAGATGAGGAGGCAGTGAGAGGAACAACTTTGGAGGGGATAATAAGAAGCTCAGTTTCAGACAGGTAAGGTTTGAGATTCCTATTAGATATCCAACTGGAGATGTTAAATGGGTAATTAAATATATGAGTCTAGAAGTCAGAAGAGAGGTTCTGGCTAGATATAAACTTGGGAATTATCATCATGTAAACGATACAAGACTGAACAACCAAGTGAGTGAGAAGAGGTCCAGAAACTGAGTCCTAAGGCCTTCCAATGTCAATAGTTTGGGAAGGTGAGGAGGAACCAGCAAGAGAGACCAAGCAGTGACAAGTGAAGTGGAAGAAAAGACGAGACAGTAGGATGAATCTTCATGCATGTAACTTTTTCCAAACATTTATTGGGTATTTTGTATAAATAAAAGGCAGAGGCGTTGTCTTTCTTGTTTGCCACTGAATCTCTTGTGCTTAGCAGGGTAACTGGTACAAACTAAGTATTCAATTATCTACTGAATCAGTAACATCAAAGGGTGTGAACATTTTTATGGTTTGATATGTTGTATTCAGATTCCAAAAGGGTTATACTAATATACCAATTTACATGGGGATAAGTAATGTGCCTTTTACCATAGGCTTGCTCGTACTAAAACAAAAAAAAATACATTAATTCAAAAGACTAAAATGGCAACTCACTATTGTGTAAAATTCCTCAGATTTCTAATGATGCTGAACTATCTATAATTATCTATGTTTCTTTACAAGGTATACTTCCTTTGATGTGAAGTACCCATGTTCATTGTGAATGGAGTCTTGCCATTTTTCTCATTTCATCTGAGTACTTTTCATACTTGCTATGAATATTTTATTTTCTTTGGGGATTTATTTTAGAATATTCAGAATTTAATGCAGTTATTCTCAATTTTCTATTAAATTTCAAAATGTAAAATTTTCTTATATGGAAAATGTATTTTACTACCATTCAAAATAATGTCTAGAATTCCTACTTCTACGATGGCACAGTGTTATGGGTTGAATTGTGTTCCCCCAAAGATATGATGAAGTCCCATAACCTAGTACCTATAATTGTGACCTTATTTGGAATATAGTCTTTGCAGATGTAATGAAGTTAGGATGAGGTCATTAAAATGGATCCAAATCCAATATGACATGACCAGTGTCTTTATAAGAAGAGGAGAAGAAATAAAGAAACATACCGCGAGAAGACAGCCATATGACAATGGAGGCAAAGACTGAAGTGAGGCATCTACAAATCAGGAGATGCCAAGGATTGCCAGCAAATGCCAGAAGGTAGAAGAAGCAAGGAAGGATTCTCTTCTCCAAGTTTCAGAGTAAACATGGCCCTGCCAACATCTCGATTTTGGATTTCTGGCCTTCAGAACTGTGGGACAATACATTTTTGCTCTTTTAAGCTACTCAGTTTGTGGTGCTTTGTTATGGCAGTACTAAGAAACTAATAGTGTAATGACATTTCCACCACAGAACAACAAGAAAAATAAGAAATATCAACAAACTTCAATAAAGCCAGGAAATATATGAAGCTGAAGCTTTAATTCATGAAGGTAGATTATAATGTATATGGAGACAGATGGAGGAAGATGAAACCCTACAGAGAGTAATACTGACAAGCAGCAGCAAATCTGCCCCACAGAACCAAATAAGGATTCAGGAGCTAAAGGCATTTGGTACAAAGGAAGGCATGGACATGAAAACAGAAGACTTGGTTAAGTCTGGATAAGGGAGAGTTAGAACCCCATTCTCCTCTCCCCTACTTAGTGAGGCCAGGCAATGACCTCATTCCCACCTCTGTAGGAGACTGGCAGTTTTATTCTCCGGAAAATCTAAACCCCAGACTTGGGATACTAGTCTGAGCTGAAAACACAGATATCCATACTACATGGCGAGATTGCCCCAGGCAGAAGATTCAAAGATCCTTCTTTAGAGAAACTAAACATTCTTAGAGAAAATGCCTACAGATTCTAACATTTGGGGATTTCCTAAGTAAAAAATTATCATTCCATCACTCTACAGTGAAACCCACAAGTCAATAAGTGCCATGGATATAGATACAGCACTTCCCATCAGTTTCCCCCTCATTCTAAAATATGAACAGAAATACTACTGGACAAGAAAGGAAAGCCTCCAATATGAAAGACAAGAGACTACAACTAATACAAGAAAGGAGGTCAGAAAAGAGACAACACTAGAAACAAAACAAATTTTTTTTCAAAAATACTGTAATTATTCATCATCTCAAATATTCATCATTTCTTTGTGGTGAGAACATTTAAAATCTTCTCTTTTATCTATCCAGAGATATACATTATTATTAACTATAGTCACTGAAACTTTGCATCCATTGACTAAAGTCTCCCCTTTCCTGGTCCAACCCTGCCCAGCCACTGGATATGCAACTTAGCTGATTTGATCATTCCACAATGTATCAAAACATCAGATTGTACCCCATAAACATATACAATTATCTGTCGATTAAAAATAAAATTTAAAAATACTATAATTATTATCCTAAGAGAGATAAGACAGTGCATCCATGAAATTAGAATAGGATGCTATTAAAAAAAGGCACAATCAGAGGTAACTGAAAAGAATTCTTAGAAATTTAAAATTATGACAGATGAAGAAAATAAATAGAAGAGCTGAAAGATAAAGTGAGGAAATCTTCCAGGAAAACAGAACAAGAAGACAAAGAGATGGACAAGAGGTGATAAAAGACAAGAAAATTGGAGGATCAATCTAGGATGTATGAGAATAAGAAAAAGGAGCTCCACAAAAGGAGTCAGAGAACATGCTGGGGGAAAAATTATTACCAAAGCAACAGGAAGCATTTTCTGGAAATCGAACACTCGAATCTCTAAATTTAAAGGGCTCATTAAGTAGATGACAAAATGAAAAAAAAAAATACCCACATCAATGCAGTTCATTGTGAAGCTGTAGATTATTAAGAATAAAGAGAATGCCTTAAAAGTTTCTTCAACATATTGTGGCAGAGCCTGCTGCTTCCCAGTACACCTTTCCCTTTTTCCTTTTAGTAATAGGATCCCATGAATTTTGGTAAGGCAAATGGCTACCTAGTTAGAGACGTTTCTTAGCTTCCTTTGTAACTAAGAAGGTCTCCTTTTTTTTTTTTTTTTTTTTGAGACAGAGTCTCACTCTGTCGCCCCAGGCTGGAGTGCAATGACACGATCTTGGATCACTGCAACCTCCACCTCCCGGGTTCAAGCAATTCTCCTGTCTCAGCCTCCCAAATAGCTGGGACTACAGGCACACGCCACTATGCCCAGCTAATTTTTGTATTTTTAGTAGAGATGGGGTTTCACCATGTTGGTCAGTCTGGTCTCAAACTCCTGACCTCAGGTGATCTGTCTGCCTCGGTCTCCCAAAGTGCTGGGATTACAGTCGTGAGCCACCGCGCCCGGCCCAGATCATGTTTTTATAACAAAGCTCCTTGCCCTCCATCTTCCTGCTAGCCAGAAAATGGTAACAACTACAGCAGGTACTCAAGACAGAGATGGAAGTCACATCTTGAGAATTCTGAATTGCCCTGCTTAGCTGGAAAACCCAGTGGAGCAGAGTTGCTTACTTGCTCTGGCTATTGTGAGGAATAAACTTCTATTTCATTTAAGGCTCTGTATATTTGGGTCCCTCTGTATGACATTGGGTCCTCTGCTACTGTTAAGTATGCTCTAAGTTTAAAAAAAGATTGAAACTGTAGGATCATTGAGAGAAAGATATTTGTCTATTTCATTCACTGCTATCACTCTCACATCTAGAATAGTGCCTGCACATTATCAGGCATTTAAAAATTATGTACTGAGTAAGTAAATGAATGGTATTAGACTTTTCAGCAGGAATTATGAAAGGCAGAAGACCGTGGAGGAAAATGAGTTCAAAATTCTGAGTCAAATTATTTTTTACATTCTATTTCCAGCTAAACTATTAACAATTAAATGTATAATAGGCTTCCACAAAATAAACAAAAAAAGGTATAATAGGTTTCCATATATGCAATAACTTAAAAAGTTTAAGTCATATGTATTATCTTTTCTCACGTAGCTACTAAAGGAGCTACTCCTATTAAAATCAGGGAGCATATCAAGAAAGAAGATGAGGAATCCAAAAACAAGGATCCAACACAGGAGGGAGGCAAAGGGAATTTCTAGGATGACAATGAAAGAAAGTTCTAGGATGACAGCAGGGTCAATACCTGAATATCAACCAGTCCAAACTGGAACGGGGGACAAAAAGGCACCAGGAAGGAAGATTCTAGGAAAGAAAGAAGGGAAAGGGAAAGGGAAACGAAAAGAAAAGAAAAAGGAAAACCCTGCTAGGTTCCCTGATTTGCCTGACTTTATGGAAAACTGCTATGAAAGGGCATGGAAAGGTGCTAAACAAACATACAAACAAACCTAAACAAACAAACAAATCTAAACATTAATGAGGCAATTATGAACTCCAGGAAACAGAGCTATACAAGAAAGGAAGCATAGCAGTGAATAATATTTGCCCCAAATGTGGTTAAGTATAGGCAGGGTAGACATGAAATTCTCATCCACCATAAGAGGAGATCAGTAAACATTGTCTAAAATTAATGACTCAAGAGAGACTACAAAAACATCATTTAGAAATGTGGAAGTGTCCTTGGAGAACAAGAAAAGGAGTGGGGAGACTTGAGGTAGAGAACCACTGTTAATTTCATTTTAAGTGTCTTAGCACTATTTCCCTTTTAAATTCTATTAATATGTCACTTTGATAAATTTTTTTTTGGTAGGGAGGACAGGGTCTTGCTATGTTGCCCAGGCTAGTCTTGAACTGCTATGTTGCCCTGACCTCAAGTGATACTCCTGCCTCAGCCTCCCAAAGTGGTAGGATTACAGGTATGAGCCACTGTGCCTGGCCAGATAAAAATTTTTTAACCTAAAATATAAAATTAAACATTTAAAAGACTAAGCTTATTTTTCTCATAAGATAGGGAAACTTGCTACTATATATTTTACTATGCTCGAAGCAGATGTTCTCCAGATTGAGAGAATTATACCCAAAGGTGCTGTGTTCATTTTTGAGTTATTTTGTTTTAAACAAATGACCACAGAAAGAAAGTTTACAGCATTAAAAGTTATAAATTATGAAATAATTAGGAATGATAGAATAGTGCTTTACTTAAAATTTACTGCTTTAATTAAATAAGATGATGTAAAAAAAAATAAGTGACTGAGGATATCCCGGGAACCTGATAAACATTTACTATATTATTGCCATGGGAAAATGATTTGAAAAGGGTAAGGAAGAAAGACAACTGACATGAAATTACTATTCATTCTATGCCAAGCAATATTTTAGATGGTGTTTTTTTGTTTGTTTGTTTTGTTGTTTTCTTTTTTTGAGATGGAGTCTCACTCCGTTGCCCAGGCTGGAGTGTGGTGGCCTGATCTCAGCTCACCACAACCTCTGCTTCCTGGGTTCAAGTGATTCTCCTGCCTCAGCCTCCTGAGTAGCTGGGACTACAGGCGTGCACCACCATATCCGGCTAATTTTTGTAATTTTTTAGTAGAGACAGAGTTTCACTATGTTGGCCAGGCTGGTCTTGAACTCCTGACCTCGTGATCCACCTGCCTTGGCCTCCCAAAGTGCTGGGATTACAGGCGTGAGCCACCACACCCGGCTAGGTGTTCTATACAGTTATTTCATTTAATCCTTAACAAGTGTGGGGAAGGTAAGTAATTTCTTCAAGGCCATACAGCCCTTAGAACAGATCATAAAAAATGATGAAAATAAACTATAGTGAAGCTTAAGTAGTACACAGTTGTAAGCAAATAATTAAATTTATTTATAACTTTTCTTGTTCTTTAATATTGCCAAAACTCAAAATACTCAAATATAATCAACCAGATTATTATCTTTACAGTCATTTCATTAAGAATCAACTTAAATTATACTTACTTGAATGTGGCAAAAGCACTGGAGCAAAGATGCTATTGCTGCCTATTGGAATAAGAAAAATTAATTTGAAAAGGAAGGTAACATGTAGGTATTATTTTTTAAATGTTTCCATAAATAATACGTAATACACAGTGCAGAATTTTATCATCATCTTTTGCCATGTTAGTTTTTTAAAAAATTAACTCAGAACCTTCTGTATCTAGAATGGTTTTCCTTCTTAGCATTAAGTGGTTCCCCCTCTATCACAGAACTTATCTATTTGTTTTCTTATTCATCATCTATTGCTCCCTTTAGACTGGTAGTGGGACCCAAAAGGTACTAAACAAATCTTTGTTGAATGAGTAAATTAGAAGATAATATGCATCAACAATGCACAAATTATGCTCTACTTCTTGTATTAATCATTATTTTCACATTTAGATATCACTTTTCACACTAATATAGTTTGCAAAGGATTCTATAGTTCCCTAATTAAAATGATAAGAATTATCTGAGACACAGGATTCCTTTTTTACCAAGCGGTTTACATCAAATACTTACCACAGGAGCTGTTGAGATCCACATCTAAAAATACACTAAGGTCTGAAGAAGCAGATACTGGTGGAGTAGATGGTGTATTTGGAGAGGTTGGTGCTGACACTGTTGATTCCAGCTCAGTTTCAGCAATCCGACTAAAGCTTATTTTACATGGTTCTCTTTCTAATGGTGTTGGGTGACCTCGTAAAGTACCTGAGGTAGAGCCATGTCGGCCTGTGTTAGGCCTTATTCCAGGAGATTTTAAGGAAAAAGTTGATTTCCTAGGCTGAGAAAAGCAAACATAATTAATGTCACAAATTTGCATAGACAACAATTTGTTTCTGTGACTTAGAGCTACCTTATTAGTCTTATTAGTTCTTAAGCATACAGTTCTTAAGCGTGCAGTCCTTCAGTCTGCAATGACAGCCTGTATCATTCTAGTAGAATCTTCTGGATTTGACTGGCTTAATTTTAAAATGAATTGGAATATAAGTAAGTCTCTTTTCAGCACTGCAGAAATAAAATTCTTGAAATTTTATGTGAAAATCACATTTTACTCCTAAAACATATGAACCTAAACTTCTCTTTGAAAATATCTATATAGATTTTACAAACATTTACTGGGAACATAATTTATGAAACATATTATGCTATATGCTTCAGAAAAAAAAAAGATCATTTTTTCCCCTTCCTATACTAAATGATCAACCTCTACATTGATGCTTTAAAAATCTTTGGAGAAAATTCCTATCATTGTCTCCCACCATCACCTCTGTCCCATTTTTCAAGTTCTGGCAGGAGTAATCAAATAAAAAACACAGAACTCAGATCAGAAAACTTGAGTTAAGATCTCAACTGTGCCAATATCTAGCTATGCAGCCTTGAAAAACTTATTTAACCCCTTGGAATCTCACTATTTTCCTTTGTAAAATGAGAATAAGATCTATGAGGGGTTTTCAAAAAGTGCATGGCAAATGTCTATTATGAAATAACTATGCATGACTTTCATTTTTTTCCATCAAAATAAACTCATACTAACTTATTATAACATGTCTGAACAGTTTGAGATGCTCAAACATATCTAGTTTGAGATACTCAAACATATCTAGTTTGAGATACTAAGAAGGATAACACATCGGTTTGTAAAGAATCCCTATCAGAGGAACACGAATTCTGCTAAAATTGAAGCAAGAACAAATATCAAATCCATGATGATGCTTGGGTAGAAGAATGGTGAGATCACTAATACTTTATGAAAAGTTTATGGGGACAATGCCCCAAAGAAATCAGCTGTTTACAAATTGATAACTCATTTTTAACAAGGGATCAGATGATATGGAAGGTAAAGCCAATGGCGGCAGATCATCAACATCAATTTCTGAGGAAAAAATCTCATTCCTGCTCTAATTGAAGAGGACCTATGATTAACAACAGAAATGATAGCCAACACCACAGATATCTCAACTGGTTCAGCTTATACAATTCTGACTGAAAAATTAAAGTTGAGCAAACTTTCCACTAGATGGATGGCAAAACCACTGCACCCAGATCAGCTGCAGACAAGAGCAAAACTTTCAATGAAATGTTAAATAAGTGGGATCAAGACCCTGAAGCATTTGTTTGAAAAACTGTTAATAGGAAATGAAACACGGTTTCCCAGTATCATCCTGAAGACAAAGCACAATCAAAGCAATGGCTACCAAGAGGTGGAAGTGTGGTCCAGTCAAAGCAAAACCAAATCAGTCAAGAGCAAAGGTTGGCCAAGCACAGTGGCTCATGCCTGTAATCCTAGCACCTTGGGAGGCTGAGGCAGGAGGATCATTTAAGGCCAGGGGTTTGAGACCAGCCTGGGCAATATAGCAAGACTCTATTGCCATTAAAAAAAAAAAAAAAAAAAAAAAAGGCTGGGCATGGTGGCTCACACCTGTAATCCCATCACTTTGGGAGGTCGAGGCAGGTGGATCACTTGAGGTCAGGAGTACAAGACATGCCTGGCCAACATGGTGAAACCTCATCTCTATTAAAAATACAAAAATTAGCCGGGCGTAGTGGCACACACCTGTTATCCCAGTTACGTGGGAGGCTGAGGCAGTAGAATTGCTTGAACCTGGGAGGTGGAGGTTACAGTGAGTTGAGATTGCACCACTGTACTCCAGCCTGGGTGACAGAGCGAGACTCTGTCTCAAAAAAAACAAAACAAAAACAAAAAGAAAGGTCATGGCAACAGTTTTTTAGGACGCTCAAGGCATTTTTCTTGTTGAGTTTGTAGAGGGTCAAAGAACAATAACATCTGCTTACTATGGGACTGTTTTGAGAAAGTTAGCCAAAGCTTTTGCAGAAAAACAACCAGGAAAGCTTCACCAAGGAGACCTTCTCCACCACAACAATGCTCCTGCTCATCCCTCTCATTAAACCAGAGCAATTCTTTGAGAGTTTTGATGGCAGATCATTAGGCATCCACTTACAGTCTTGACTTGGCTCCTTCTGACTTTTTTTGTTTCCTAATTATAAAAAAAAAAATTAAAGGGCAACCATTTTTCTTCAGTTAATAATGTAAAAGAGACTGCAATGATATGGTTAAATTCCCAGGATCTTTAGTTTTTTAGGGATGGACAAAATGGTTGGTATTAGCGCTTACAAAAGTGTCCTGAACTTGAGGAAGCTTATGTTGGGAAATAAAGTTTATGTTTTTATGTTTATCTTTTAATTCCATCAAAAAAATTTATCTTTTCATTCCATTTTTCCATGAACTTTTTTTCTTTTTTCTTTTTTCTTTTTTTTTTTTTTTGAGACGGGGTCTTGCTCTGTCACCCAGGTTGGAGTGAAGTGGAGTGATCTTGGCTCACTGCAACCTCCGCCCCCAGGCGTGCACCACCATGCCTGGCTAATTTTTTTGTATTTTTGGTAGAGACAGGGTTTTGCCATGTTGCCCAAGCTGGTCTCAAACTCTTGAACTGAAGCAATCTGCCTGCCTTGGTCTCCCAATGTGCTGGGATTACAGGTGTGAGCCACCATGCCCGGTCTCTATGAACTTTTTGAAGTCCCCTCATATATCACACAATTGTGAAGATGAGATAGCATGAAACTACCTGACTTCCTGCTTCACCTAAAGTTGGTTTGTGTTTTTACTTCCTTCTATATCTTGCTTCACTTTTAGCTACTTAGAGTTCATCTTCTACTACTTCTGTTGCCACTGCAAACTCCTGCAGTAACTGGAAATTGTAGCATCAAATTCTAGTGACAGAGATGGGTTCCAGAGGCAACTATGGACCATGGAGCCCTAATGGCAGAAGTCATATCAAGTCACAAGAACCAAAATACATTTGCTTACTCCTTCCCAGGTCTTTTCTTTTTTTTTCTGTTCCATTCAGCTACCTATTAAGTTCTCACTTTCTCACACCTTTTTGTATTATTCTAGGAGGGATCAAAAGTAGACACATAAATAAGTAGTACCAAGATAAGGCATAAACCAGATTTTATCAAAAGGCTGACATTTCCCCCCCCAGTTTTAGAAATAGTATATTACTGCAAACAAAACACCTAGGAACAGCCATTCAATTACATTTTTAAGATAACAGGTTGTTAAACATTGAAAATAATATTTTAAAAAACAGAACACTTGTTCCCGAAATTATAAAAGACTTACAAATCGAGGTGGCTGTTTGCAGTTTCGAGGTTCAATTTCTAGTGACTTGTTGAACAAATAATCTGTAAACTCTTTTTCAGATGCACTTCCCATGGGGTTAAGGTTTTCAAAGAATCTCTGGAATTAAACAAATAACACAAGTGCATATATAGTAAGTATATATTTTAGATCTTATTAAAATAAGATCTCATTAAAATTTTTTGCTGAAAATTACTTATTTAATGCTAAAAAATAACACATTAAGAGCCCACAATATGTGAAAAGTTCACAAGTGTTGCTTATTCCAATCTCTTTACTTCTGAATAAGATTATATAATTTCTGTGGAAGTTATATTCTAGTCTTAAAGTTCTATTAAGAATATGAGTTTTCATTTATTATCATTTTAATGGCTCAGCAGTAGCACTACTTATTCCTTAGGAAACTTTACTCCTACTCATTGTAACAAATGATCATCACTAGTAAGCTACCAAAAGTGTTTAGAACAAAGCTATGGTTATAATCCACAATGAAGTTTTGATAATCAGAAAAAAAGTGGAGATAAATTAGATTAAGGTCTGTTAATCCAATTTATAGATCATTCTTGATCATTTATAATTACTCTGGAAATTCCTTTTACTTTAAAAGTAGTCATTTAAATTACTTTAAAAGTAATGTCAAGAATGATTATAGGCCGAGCACGGTGGCTCACGCCTGTAATCCCACCACTTTGGGAGGCTGAGGTGGGTGGATCACCTGAGGTCGGGAGTTTGAGACCAGCCTGACCAACATGAAGAAACCCCATCTCTACTAAAAATACAAAATTAGCTGGGCGTGGTGGCGCATGCCTGTAATCCCAGCTACTCAGGAGGCTGAGACAGGAGAATCAATTGAACCTGGCAGGCGGAGGTTGAGGTGAACCGAGATCACACCATTGCACTCCAGCCTGGGCAACAAGAGCGAGACTGTCTCAAAAAAAAAAAAAAAAAAAAAGAAAGAAAGAAAGAAAGAAAGAAAGAATGATTATAAAGTTAAACCTATCTGTGCTAACTTCTAGTATAAAAAATGTTTTTATCTGAGCCAAGCCATGATGGCTCACACCTGTAATCCTAGCAGTTTGGGAGGCTGAGGCCGGGGGACTGCTTAAGCCCAGGAATTTGACACCAGCCAGGGCAATATGGTGAGACCTCTCCTCTTAAAAAAAGCCTAATAAATAAAATGTTTAAAATTTTTGTCTTTATCAAAAAATATTTTAAGCTTAAATTTAAGTTTTAACGTAGAAAATTCAGGTGATTTAGCACTGCCAAAAAAAGAGAAAAAAAGAAAAAGAAACAGTAATCTTACAAACCAGAAATATCATTGTTTACATTTAAATATTAGACTATCTTCCAATGATTTTACTGTGCATGTAAATATATGCATGTATATATGTATTTATATATAATTATTAATAATTTATATATATATTTTCCTGAAAAACTGGGATATCAATTTTAATCTTTCTGAAGTTTATATTCAATTAACTTTTTTCAATGTGGTTTGCTTTTTTTTTTTTTTTTTTTTTTGAGATGGAGTCTCACTCAGCCTTCCAAAGTGCTGGGATTACAGGTATGAGCCACCTCACCCAGCCAGTTTGCTTATTTTACAAAATACAAATTTTAACTCTATAGTATTTCATCAGATGGATATTTCAGAATGTAATAATCTCCATATAGCTAGTTATCCATATAGGTACTTTCTAATTTTTTGCTATTATAATAATTATTTTTATTAACTCCTATATATAAATTTTTCTGTACATTTTTTATGATTTCCTTAGAAAAATTCCTTAGCAGCAAATTACTGGATTTAGCTTTATTTAATTTTGAAGTGGTTTAGAAGCATATATAAAAATGGTACTAGGTTTTAGCTTTAGCAGTAGGCAAAATGAGCTTTAAAATTTCTAGTATAAAATTCTTCCCATTTTTAAGGCATTCTGCCAATTTCAAGAAAATTGTATTACTCTTTTAACAATACTGAAACAATGTGTTCTTATGTTCAGGTTAGCTAAATTAAATATTAGCCACTAGTAATTAAAGGCTTTCAGAAAGCTATAACAGCAGTATTCTTGATTTCCTCATCCTTTGCTCTATTTTAAATACTATTTATTTAAGTATGATTTGAAAAGTGAATAGCTACTTTGTCTACATTTTAAATTTATTTTGTTTGACTCAATCATATAGAAGACACTTCCTCCCAAAAATGCTTTAAATGGTGGTAGGAACCCTAGACCACACCACAAACACCAATTAGCAGGTATGGTTCTGAGATATAAATACTAAAAGTACTATTTCAAGCATACCGAATTAAAGTGTAACATTATTCCTGTGGGGACCATATTTCCTTAGCTCTCCGAAGCCCCACATCACAGAGGGCGGGTTCAATGGTGAGAGGGGATGAAATAGGTCACCATCAGTAGGTTACCACCTTTATTTTTTTTAAGAGCAAGTATCTTTTTTTTTTTTTTTTGAGATGCAGTCTCGCTCTGTCACCTAGGCTAGAGTGCAGTGGCTCTATCTCAGTTCTCTGCAACATTTGCCTTCTGGGTCCAAGCGATCCTCCCACCTCAGCCTCCTGAGTAGCTGGGATTACAAGCACGTGCCACCACACCCAGCGAATTTTTGTATTTTTAGTGGAGACAGAGTTTCACCACGTTGGCCAGGCTGGTCTTGAACTCCTGACCTCAGGTGATCCACCCACCTCAGCCTCTCAAAGTGCTGGATTTACAGGCATTAGCCACTGTGCCCGACCTATCATTTTTATAAATGGTATGCTTTAGGTGGTCTTTTTCTTAGGACTTTAGGGTACTTTGTTTTGAACCGGGAACAAAGAAGTTTCTATCTCATAATTTAGGAGGGTGGAAGTAATGGTGGATATTTTCACTCAATATGCCCAATTTGCATGCAGATTATGTCTAAAAAGTTTAGCGCAGTTTTTAATATGACACGTAAACTTATTCTGGTTGATAGTTATAATATGTTCCCAAGTTCAAGTATAATATAATAACATTCATTTAGCATAAACATAATATCATAGTTTAATTTAGAAGGTTGTTTCATATTTTATAGTACTATAGTATCAATATTACACACTATTGCTCAAAATAGAACATCAATCGACAGGATGTTAGAAAAATCATCTTCTGCCAGGCATACATATACCACTTTGCTGACCCTTTTCCTATTTAAACACACTGTTCTTATGAATTATATAACGTTATTTTGCTACATGTAACATTATCTAAAATGGCTATCAAATCTAGAAATGAATTTTCTTTTTACTGCATGGACATCATTCTACTTTGTCATTCACTTTTTATGGTGTAGCTTGAACCAACTACACAAAGAAGCAATACTTTCAAAAGAAAGTACTTAGTAACAATATTAACAACTGCAGATAGTGTAGAATGTCTAATGTTTAACATGCTATCTACTGATTAATTTTTTTCTATTATTTTCATAGCAAGACAAATAATTATGATATTTCTTACAGGTCACACAAGATCTAAAATTTTTTTTTAATTTTTAAAATTTTTAATTTTCATGGGTACATAATAGGTGTATATATTTGTAGGGTATAAGAGATGTTTTGATACAGGCATGTAATGTAGAATAATCCCATCATGGAGAGTGGGGTATCCATTCCCTCAAGCATTTATCCTTTGTATTATGAATAATCCAATTATACTCTTATAGTTAATATTTTTTATTTTATTTTTTGAGACGGAGTCTCCCTCTGTCACCCAGGCTGGAAGGCAGTGGCATGATCTCGGCTCACTGCAGCCTCCACCTCCTGGGTTCAAATGATTCTCCTGCTTCAGTCTCCCAAGTAGCTGGGATTACAGGCACCCGCCACCATGCCCGGCTAATTTTTTGTATTTTTAGTAGAGACAGGGTTTCACCATGTTGGTCAGGCTGGTCTCAAATTCTTGACCTCAAGTGGTCCTCCCGCCTCAGCCTCCCAAAGTGCTGTGATTACAGGCGTGAGCCACCATGCCCAGCCGATACTTATAGTTATTACTACTATTATTATTTTGAGACAGAAGTCTTACTGTGTCACCCAGGCTGGAGTGCAGTGGCGCTATCTCGGCTCACTGCAACCTACCCCTCCTAGGCTCAAGTGATTCTCCCACCTCAGACTCCTGAGTAGCTGGGACTGCAGGCACCCAGCACCATGCCCAGCTAATTTTTTTTTATATTTTTAGTAGAGACGGGGTTTCGCCATGCTGCCCAGGCTGGTCTCCAACTCCTGATCTCAAGCGATCCGCCCGCCTTGGCCTCCCAAAGTGCTGGGATTACAGGCGTGAGCCACAGTGCCTGGCCTCTTACAGTTACTTTTAAATCTGCAATTAAATTATTATGGACTGTAGTCACCCTGTTGTGCGATCCAATAGTATGTCTTATTCATTCTATTTTTTTTTTTTGGTACCCATTAACACGTTCTCTTCTAAAGATATGCAAAGAAAATATTTACCCTCATATCTGGTTCTATCCGTAAACAGTAAGGCTGATTCTGATACTGCTGAATTTCTCCAGTAATTTCAGCTACTTTCCTCCTCTTACTGAAATTGATTAAATCTTTCCCTTTCTTTTTTAAAAAATCATTATTCCCTTCTTCGGTCTTCAGAATATTTGTTAAATATATTCCTAGTAAAAAAAAAAAAAGAATTTAAAGAAAAGTTATTTTAAATTTTGTTATTTAATCAATTATTTGGGAAAACAACTGATCTAGTAAAGTTGAAAGACATCCTATACTATTCAGCAACTCTACTACTAAAATGTTAAGTCTCTGATAAACAATCATTAACTCTCCATTAAGCATTTTTTAAAGAGAAAGAATTTAAAATAAAAAGAAAATAAAAGCTACTGGCTTGTACAAAAATAAAGGCTGCTAATCTAAGAAATGGCAAATTAAGCTTTTCTAAACTCTAATTTCACCAAGTGCAAATTGTGTTAAATCTATTCTGACCAAATATTTTAATATTTGATTATAAATATTTAATGCCAAGTATCTTAGGTGATTATTAATAAATTAATTTTAAGCCAATTTTGGTTAATAAGTCTATAGGCTTATAAACTAATTCTGTTTTTTCAGAGACTGTAATTTAGATAGAAAAATAATTACTTCTCATTCATGAACAATAAAAAAGTTTTTAGTCCCTTTTTCATGCGTAATTGCTGATTCATTTAAATTGGTGGTTCTCAGCTGGGGACAATTTAGTCCCCCAGGGGATATTTAGGAATGTCTAGAGACATTTTTGGTTACCACAACTCCAGGGTGCTATTGGAGTGTAATGAATAGAGGCCAGGATGCTGCTACAGATCCTATTACGCACACGACAGCCCATCACAACAAAGAATTATTTGGCCCAAAATACCAAAATTGTTGAAGTTGACAAAACTTGATTTAAATCATTCAATTTCAATCATACACAACAATATTTTAATTCTAAATTTAAAAATCACATAGAAGCTTTTAATAAATTAAAGAGAAAGCAAACACTGTAGATGTGACATAGATAGTTATGATAAAAATAACAGTTACCATTTCATGAGTGCGTCCTATGTGCTAGACTTATTAGGTAGTACAGACAAAATATTTTTAATCCTTATTTATAACAACCCTATGAGATATTATAGTCTTCATTTTATAGAAAATAGAGAGTTTTATTATTTATTAATACAGAGAGCTAATAAAAGTAGATGAGCTCAGATATAAAATAAAGATAACATGCCTCTGAAGACTGCTCTCTTTTGGCTATCACACGCTCACCCTCAAAATATATCCATATTTAGTAACTTACCAAAAAAAGGCACACAAGGTGGATTGATTGACTTAAGTTTTACTAGGTATTTTTTAAAGTGATCTTGACTTAATTCCACAGCTTCGTCCAAAATTTTCCTTTTCCTTTCCTGCAGTGCCTTAAAGTATACATAAATTGAGTATAAATTTTTTACAATTCAATCATATTTTATAAATGCAAACCTTTAAATTTTATAAAATTTTGCAAATTATCTGGAAAACAATTTTTTTACATTAAAAGATGAGTGGTATTCCTTTGTACACTTACCTGAAGTGATTTCTCCTCTCTTTATCTATAAATATAAAACCCATAATTTACTCATATAAATTAGAAGATCAAGCAATACAAAAAATTCTACGTCATGCCTTGTGCGTTATTTTGACTAGCCAGGGTTTCAAGTCATAGCTGTAGAAGATGAAAATTATAACCCCTGAACATTCAAATATTTTTCCACTGAAAGATCTTTTGGGGCTAAAGGTTGGGGTTTTGTTAAGGAGAAGACAACTATCAGAAGACAAGAAGACTTGAACAAAAATTTAGTGAATGAAGTAAACTAGCATTTCTTTTATACTTCATTACTAGATCTTCTTATTGAAAATTAATTTTTACTTCAGAAAGAATATACACACACACGTAAACCCCAGAGCGAACACTATGCTTGATGGAGAACCATTCAGTCAATTTCCTTTAAATCAAGGAAAAAGCCAAGGGTATAACATTGTAGCTTTTATTCAATACTATACAGAAGTCCTAGCTAGCATGGACAAGTATAAGAAATAAAGAGCTAGAGATTGGAAAGAAAAAAAAATGTCACTATTCACACAGAGGATATGACTGCCCATGAGGAAACTCCAATAAATCTACATATAGAATGTTAATGAGAGAATCAGCAATGCTGCTATATATAAAACCAATAGACAAAAATCAACTGCATTTCTAGATATCATCAATAAAGAAATCAGGATTTAAAAAAAATTCTGAGGCCAGGTGCAGTGGCTCACGCCTGTAATCCCAGCACTTTGGGAGGCTGAGGCGGGCGGATCATGAGGTCAGGGGATCAAGACCATCCTGGCTAACACGGTGAAACCCCGTCTCTACTAAAAATGCAAAAAATTAGCCGGGCGTGGTGGCGGGTGCCTGTAGTCCCAGCTACTCGGGAGGCTGAGGCAGGAGAATGCCATGAACCTGGGAGGTGGAGCTTGCCGTGAGCCGAGATTGTGCCACTGCACTCCAGCCTGGGTGACAGAGCGAGACTCTGTCTCAAAAAAAAAAAAAAAAAAAAAAAAAAAAAATTCTGGTCAAGTGCAGTGGCTCACACCTGTAATCCCAGCACTTTGAGATGTTGGGGTGGGAGAATAGTTTGAGGCCAGGAGTTCGAAACCAGTCTGCGCAACATAGCAACGCCCAATCTCCACATAAAATTTAAAAAATTAGCTGAGCAGGGTGGCACGTGCCTATAGTCCCCACTACTCAGGAGACTAAGGTAGGAAGACTGTTTGAGCCTGGGAATAGGAGGCTGCAGTAAGCTATGATCATGCCACTGTACTCCAGCCTGGGTGACAGAGCATGACCCTGTCTCTAAGGGTCACTGAAAACAAAATAATTCTAATATACATCTAGCAAAAGAGGTATGCGATCTCTGTCAAAACAAAAAAAACCCCACAAAACTTTATTAACTGAGTAAATAAAGAGATAAACGATGTTCACAGTTGAAAAGACTTGTTACTATAAAAATGTCAGTTCTTCACTAATCTGTAATTGGATTTAGAGAGCCAATGCAACTCCTATCAAAATGCCAATTTAAAAAAATGGAGCTTAAATTGATTCTAAAATGTATATAGGAGAACAAAGAACCAAGAATACGTTCCTCCTGAAAAAGAGTAAGATTGGCGAGGATTTGCCCTACTCTTCTCTATCAAGGACTACTATAAAGTTATGATAGTTTAGACTAGTGGCACTGGCACAAGAGTGATCAAATAGATCAAAGGAACAGAACAGAGAGACCAACAAAAGGCCTACAGATATAGGCATTCAATTTATGACACATTTATTAAATACATTAATATTTCTTTTTTTTTTTTTTTGAGATGGAATCTTGCTCTGTCGCACAGGCTGGAGTGCAGTGGTGCGATCTCGGCTCACTGGAACCTCTGCCTCCCGGGTTCAAGTGATTCTCCTGCCTCAGCCTCCCAAGTAGCTGGGATTACAGGCGCCCGCCAGCATGCCTGGGTAATTTTTATATTTTTAGTAAAGACGGGGTTTCATCATGTTGGCCAGGCTGGTCTCAAACTCCTGGCCTCATGTGATCCACCCACCTCAGCCTCCCAAAGTGTTGGGATTACAGGCATGAGCCACTGCCCCCGGCCTATTTCATAATATTTGACTAAGTATTAATATCTTTAACATATAAAGTTCATACAAATCAATAAAATGCAAACACCCAAACAGAAAAATATATGTATAAAGCAGTTTTTCCTCTATTCCCCTCTAATAACAACCCACTAAAAAAAATAAATAAATAATGTTAAAAGAGGAGTATGTAACCTCCCACATTATTCTCAATACTTATCCAGTTCCACTTAGAGGTTTGGGGTTTGCTCTGCTTTGTGATACTAAAATGGAATAATATTATAGTCATTCTGAAGCTTTTCCCCTGCTGAAATATCACAAATGTTCTTCCACAACAATACACATAGATCCCATTCACTTTGTTGTATAGCTGAACAATATTCTACAATAGAGGTATAAGAGGATGTATTTAATCATTCTCTTACTGATAGACATTCAGGTTGTTTCCTGTTTTCTGCTACTACAACTAATGCTGCAGTAACTATATCTTTGTACATATAACTTTATACTCTGGTGTGTTTATTTCTTTGCAATTCTGGGTCCTAAGAGTATGCACATTTTTAATTTTAACATATATTGTTAGACTGCTTTCCAGAAAGATTGTAAAAACGCACATTCCCAAAAGCAGTATTTATATGGCTGAGTTTCTAACTTGTTATCCTTTACTTAAAAAAAGTCTTTCCAGGTACAAAAGCAAAGGAAGAAACCATAAGTGAAGAGACTGATATGTGCAACTAAATAAAAATGATAAAACGTCCTTATGTCAAAGCATTATACATTTTTTAAATTAAAAAGCAGATAAAAGACAAACAGAAATGAGAATATATGTACAGTCTAAGTTTTAATATCTTTAATATATGAAAAATCCATATAAATGAATAAAATGCAGCTGGACATGCTGACTAATGCCTGTAATCGCAGCTACTCAAGAGGCTGGGACAGGACGATCCCTTGAGCCCAGGAGTTCGAGACTGCAGTGGGCTATGATCATGCCACTGGCACTCCAGCCTGGGTGACAGAGCAAGCTTGACTCTTTAGGAAAAAAAAAAAAAAAAAATCAACAAAATGAAAACACCCTCCCCCAAAAATGAGAGAGGCAATGAATACATAAATCATAAAGTACCCAATAAATACATATTCAACCTCACTAGTTATTATTTATTTTGAGAACAAGTTTCACTCTGTTGCCCAGGCTAGAGTGCAGTGGGGCAATCTTGGCTCACTGCAACCTCCACCAGGCAGGTTCAAGCGATACCCCTGCCTCAGCCTCCTGAGTAGCTGGGATTGCAAACCAGCACATACCACCATGCCTGACTAATTTTTGTACTTTTAGTAGAGATGGGGTTTCATCATGTTAGCCAGGCTGGTATCGAACTCCTGACCTCAGGTGATCCACCCGCCTCGGCCTCCCAAAGTGCTAGGATTACAGGTGAGCCACTGAGCCCAGCCTCACTAGTTATTTTTTAACATACAATTTAAAAATGCAGTGCGATTTCTGCCCCCGCCAGAGGCATGCAACACCATGCCTGGCTATTTTTTTTTTTTTTTTGTAGAGATGTGGTCTCCCTATGTTGCCCAGGCTGGTCTCAAACTCCTGGGCTCAAGTGATCCTCCTGTCTCTGCCTCCCAAAGTGTTGGGATTACAGGTGAGAGCCCCCACACCTGGCCAAAAGCTTTTAATATAATACATAATACCAAGGGGCATTTATCGTATCCTGCTACGAAACACCTTGGCAAAAGTATTTAAAGTCTTAAAGTATATAAATACTCAGACCCAGGATTTCCACCCCTAGATTATTTCTAGGGAAATAATCAAGCTCTTAAAAAGACTTCTACATATGAATATTCCATGATAAATTATCACAGAAAAAAATCAGAAATAACTTAATTGTCCCACAATCTACTGTTGGAATAAATTATGATTTATCCATGATAGAAAACCTTGATGCCATTAAAATCTTGTTTTTGAAGATAAGCTAATAAAAAAATAGAAAACTGTTTATGAGAAAAGGGCCATAAAAATCTATGCACAATGTAATCTCAATTTTGTTATTAAAATATATATGCAAAATATCTTCCTATTTTCTATATCTCCTGAATTTTCAATAGTACATGTTAAACACATATTTTATAATTTAAAAAATATATATATTTTTTAATTTTTTGAGACTGAGTCTCACTGTGTCGCCCAGCCTGGAGTGCAGTGGTGTGATCTCAGCTCACTGCAAATGCTGCCTCCTGAGTTCAAGCAATTCTCCTGTCTCAGCCTCCGAAGTAGCTGGGATAACAGGCGTGCGCCACCATGCCCAGCTAATTTTTGTATTTTTAGTAGAGATGGGGTTTCGCCGCGTTGTCCAGGTTGGTTTCGAACTCCTGAGCTCAGGTGATCGACCCGCCTCAGCCTCCTAAAGTGCTGGGATTACAGGCGTGAGCCACCACGCCTGGCCAAATTTAAGTTTTTGAAATAGTTCTTCCCGTGTTATACTATTGTTGACTACCTAAAGGTAATTAAGACATTACTTGTATTTTTATATTTAAAATCCTTTGTCATTTGAGACTATCAATCAATGTGTTATTGAATAAATCCACTTGGAACTTCATTACATTTAGGTTAAGTACATTACACGGCAGTGCAAGTCTCATATTGTTTATTGAATATTGATATATTTTCTAATATAAGCCTAGGATTCACATATTATATATCATATTCATATATTAACTAATATATCAACATATTTTCTAATATATTTATATCATATTTATGAAGCAAGGATGAATTTACAAAGAATTTAATTAAAAAGACAGATGATAGATGAAATTTCTTTTATGCTAATTTCATCATCCCCGAGAAAAATGAAAAAGTTAAGCCTAAAACTTACCTCAAAGGTATGGTCTAGTCTGTATACTGACACTGAATTTACTGCACTGACTATCTCCAATACGCCATTGAAATTATTCAAATCTTGAAAAACTTGCAGAATTTCTATAATTCTACTTAGTACTGCCACCCGTTCTTCAAAATTTTCTGCTTCCACAATGCATCTAACAACAACAAAAATTCATGGCTTAGAAAAGTTTCTTCACCTCACTTAGAAAACAAGATAATTATGAGTAGCCAGAATTTTAGCTTAAATATGACTTAATATTATGGCTATTAGGAGGTAGTAAGAGTAAATTAAAACTTACTTTTCAAACCAGAGGGTGAGATTTGTGGTATGGCGAATCATTTTTAATAAATTTGGAGAATTTATTTCTTTATCTTCTTTGGTCCACACACTCCCTACAAGTTCAGACGGTTGAACTTTCCTATGGAATTGAAAATCAGTGCAACTTAACCTATAAAGGATTTGTATTACTTAAAGATCTTCTAAAACTTAATAAGAAAAAGACAATTAACCCAAAAGACAGATGAACACATATATGAACAAGTAATTCAGAGAGGAATAGACCCAAATAGCTACAAACACGAAAACACACTTTATCCCTTACTCAGGGAAAATAACATAAAACTACAATGAAATCCCATTTTACTCATTAGATGAACAAAAGTCTGATAACTCAAGGCCAGGCGTGGTGGCTCATGCCTGTAATCCCAGCGCTTTGGGAGGCCGAGGCAGATGGATCACCTGAGGTCAGGAGTTCGAGACCAGCCTGACCATCATGGAAAAACCCCGTCTCTACTAAAATACAAAATTAGCCGGGCATGGTGGCACCTGCCTGTAATCCCAGCTACTTGGGAGGCTGAGGCAGGAGAATCGCTTGAACCCGGGAGATGGAGGTTGTGGTGAGCCGAGATCGCACCACTGCACTCCAGCCTGGGCAACAAGAGCAAAGCTCTGTCTCCAAAAAAAAAAAAAAAAAAAAAGAAACGAAAAAAAAGTCTGATAATTCCAAATGGATAAAAATATAATAAAACAGGAACACCAATAGGGAAGTAAAAATTGATACAACCATTTTGTAAAACAATTTGGCAAGATCTCATAGTACTGAAGAGATACATATCGGATGACTCAGCAATTTGACTCTTAAGTATGCATATACCCTAGATAAACTCTTACACAAATTTATAAGAGCCAGGTGCAGCAGCTCATGCCTGTAATCCCAGCACTTTGGGAGGCTGAGGCGGGCAGATCACTTGAGGTCAGGAGTTTAAGAACAGCCTGGCCAACAAGGCGAAACCCCATCTCTACTAAAAATACAAAGAAATTAGCCGGGCGTAGTAGTGCGTGCCTGTAGTCCCAGCTACTTGGGAGGCTGAGGCAGGAGAATCGCTTGAACCCAGGAAGCAGAGGGTTGCAGTGAGCTGAGATCATGCCACTGCACTCCAGCCTGGGCAACAGAGTGAGACTCTGTCTCAAAACAAACAAACAAAAAACAAAGTTATAAGAAAACGTTTACAAGAATATTCAGTGAAGCATTATTTGCAAGAGTGAATAGAGGCTCATCATCCAGAGACTGGATAAATTGTGGAGTATAAATATAACGGAACACTACACAGCATCTAAAATAAGCTAACTAGAACTGTATTCATTGACTTGAACAAATGCCAAAAATGATTTAAGTAAAAAGCATGTTGCAGAATGATACATAAGTATATGCAGTTTAAAAAAAGTGCAAAACAAGCTGAGGTGCAGTGGTGCGCACCTATAATCCCAGCTACTTGGGAGGATGAAGTGGAAGGATTGATTGAGGCAAAGGGTTTGAGACTATCCTGGGCAATCATAATGAGATCCTATCTCAAAAAAATAAAACAAAAAAAAAAACAGGCACAGTAGTTCCTCCCTGCAGTTCCTGCTACTGAGAGACTGAGGTGGGAAGACTGCTTGAGCCTAGAGTCTGGGGCTGCAATGAGCTATGATCATGCCACTGCATCCCAGCCTGGGTGACAGAGTGAGACCCCATCTTAAACAAACAAACAACAACAACAACAAAAAACCAGTTGGGCACTGTAGCTCACACCTGTAATCCTGGCGTTTTGGGAGGTTGAGGTGGGAGGACAACTTGAGGCCAAGATCAAGACCATCCTGGGCAACATAGCAAGACCTCATCTCTATGAAATTTTTTTAAAAAAATTAGCCAGGTATGGTGGTGCGTGCCTGTAGTTCTAGCTACTCGAGAGGCTGAGGCAGGAGGATTGCTTGAGCCCAGGAGTTCAAGGCTACAGTGAGCTATGATTGTGCCACTGCACTCCAGCCTGGGCAACAGAGTGAGACCCTGTTTCTAAAAAAAAAAAAAAAAAAAAAAAGTGTACAACAATGCTATACGTTGTTTATGAATCTCCGTGTATGTTTATAAATTTTAAAAATATAAAGAGAAATAGTAAACATCAAATTCAGGGTGGTAGTGCTTTCTTAGGGGAAAGAGAGCAATAAGATTTGGGAGAATTACACAAAGGATTTCAATTTTATCTAAAATGTTTTTGTTGTTCATGAATATTCATTATATTATTTCCTATATTTTTTGAATGCCTGAGTATTTAATTAAAATTCAGACAGAAGAGCAGATTAAAACATTGTATACAGTGAGTCAGAATACACAATTTAAAAATTGGCCAAGTACAGTGGCTCACACCTGTAATCCCAGCACCTGGGAGGCCAAGGCAGGAGGACTGCCTGAGGCCAGGAGTTCAAGGCCAGCCTGGGCAACACAGTGAGACCCTATCTCTTTTTTTTCTTTTTAATTGACTGGTGGCATTGCCATCAATGGCCTACAGACTTGGTTATTCATTAAAAAAATATTTTTTAATCAGTAGATTTGTGTATAAATAAGTACTTGCTAACAGTTTCTGAAATGTTTTCTTAAAGTGGCTCTATTATTTCACCAGAAATTTAGTTTACAAAGCTGGGTGCAGTGGCTCATGCCTGTAATCCCAGCACTTTGGGAGGCTGAGGTGGGTGGATCACTGGAGGTAAGGAGTTCGTGACCACTGTGGCCAACATGGTGAAACCCCATCTCTACTAAAAATATAAAAAAGCCGGGCATGGTGGCACACACCTGTAATCCCAGCTACTCGGGAGGTTGAGGCATGAGAATCACTTGAACTTGGGAGGCACAGGTTGCAGTGAGCCGAGATTGCACAACTGCACTCCAGCCTGGGTGACAGAGCAAGACACCATCTCAAAAAAAAAAAAAAAAAAAAATTTAGTTTACAAATGAAGTCAGTATTAGGTATTTTTCTATGTCCTGAAAGTAGGTCCACATGAAGTGAAGTGCTTTTTTTCTGATGTCCATTCATGTAAAACAATTACATTGTGAGAAAAAACATGATGCAGTACTATTTGCTTTTTTTACCTCAAGTAACAAGTCCCTTCATTTCTACGTATCACAAATCCCACAACATAAACAAAGCTACCTGGATTCTAAATTACTTAAAATATAACATAACATTTTGAGTCAGATGTTGACAACTTCTGGTGGGTGCGCTAAAAGTCTGGTTCTGAATGGCATGGCCAGTGCAAACTAGGCAAATTCTAAAGAACATAAAGTAAACATAATGTAGTAAAGGTACCTTACTATATTACCTATTAGCACTAAATTTTATATATTCTTGCTTTTCCCTGTGTAATCTTTATTTAAAAATTGGCTGCTAATCAGGATAACTCCATGAAAATATTTTTATTTTAGAGATAGGGTCTCACTCTGTCACTCAAGCTGGAGTGCAGTGGCACAATCTTGGCTCACTGCAGCCTCGACCTTAAGTGACCTTCCCACCTCAGCCTCCTGGGCAACTGGGACTACAGGGGCACTACAGGCACGAGCCACCATGCCTGGCTATTTTTTGTAGTTTTTGTATGACGGAGTTTGCCATGTTGCTCAGGCTGGTCTTGAACTCCTGGTCTCAAGCGATCTGCCCACCTTGGCCTCCTAAGTGCTGGGATTACAGGCATGAGCCATCATACCCAGCCAAGCACATTTATATTTTAAATTGAGGCTTCTATACTACTCACAATAGCTATGATATGGAATCAACAGATTAATGAATAAAGAAAATGTGGTATATATACACAGTGGAACACTATTCGGCCATAAAAAAAGAATGAAAGCCTGTCGTTCAAGGCAACATGGATGAGCCCGGAGGACCTTATGTTAAGCAAAATAAATCAGACACAGAAAGAAAAATATAACATGTTCCCACTCATATATGAAAACTAAAAAAAAAATGAACTCATGGAAGTAGAGAGTAGAACTGCAGGTATTAGTGGCTGGGAAGGATTGGGAGGAGGGGAAAACAGAGAGGTTGGTGTAGAAAAAGTTTTTGATGGAATGATAATGATAGTGACATTTTTCGACAGAGAGCTGTTACATGCAAGGCCTGTACCCTTCGCAACAGCCTGAGCTGTAAATGAGAAAAGAAAACCCATCTCACACAATATTCTATTCACTTAGCTGCTAAGGGCCTAGCATCCATACTAACTGACTTGACTGACTGACCTCAAACTAAACCAAGGTGAGAAGGTATTAGGAGTTGAAGAGGGGTGGTGGACTTGAAAATCTTCCTGCCATTCCTCTTGTAATGGATTGCTAGTCCCCAGTCTAGACATAAGACTTTTACTTGCAGGGCAGACTAGTTAAAAACTGTGCTATGACCTTTCCTCTAAGCCCATGAGAGTAGATGAGGTATTTTTAAGCACTCATGAATAATGTGCAAAATGTTTTGAAAATAGGTAATGTTCAAGATTCTTAAAAATAAAGCAAGACATTAACATTAATTGTCTACCTGTAAAGATCAGACTCCAAAAGTGTCAGCTGACGTGCAATTTCTATTGGATGAAGTGTCATGAGATCAAATGTTTCAAACTGTCCTGGTTTGCTGATATGCCATTCAATTGGTGGAGGTGGACTTTCAAAGGTAATATTATGGCTTACTCCGTTTGCCTGAGCTTGCTTCTTCCTCCTGATGATCTTAGCAATTGACTCTACCCATTTTTTCATAGCTTTCCCTGGAAAAAGAACACATAAAGAAAAATGTCTTTTACTTGACAGACATGACTGCAAATCTTCATTTAATCCTTAACTTTCACCCAGCCTCAACAGTTACCAACTCATGGCCAATTTTTATTTTCTCTAACCCTACTCATGCCATCCCGTCACTTCCTAGGTTATTCTGAAACAAATCCGAGACATCGTATTTCATTCATATTTAAGCACCTTTAAAACACTCTTTAAAGTAATAACCACAACACCATTATCACACATAAAACTGACAACTTCTTAATACATTGTTATCTTGAAGTATTTTGTCACTGTTCACATTTCTCTCTCTGATTATTTTCCTTTTTTTTTTTTTTTGAGACAGGGTCTTGCTCTGTGGCCCAGGTTGGAGTGCAGTGGCGCAATCTCAACTTATTGCAACTTCCATGTTGCGGGCTCAAGTGATCCTCCCACCTCAGCCTCCCAAGTAGCTGGGACTGCACATATCACCACGCCTGGCTAATTTTTGTATTTTTTTTGAAATGGAGTCCCACTTTGTCACCCAGGCTGGAGAATAATGGCGTGATCTCGGCTCACTGCAACCTCCACCTCCCGGGTTCAAGCGATTCTCCTGCCTCAGCCTCCTGAGTAGCTAGGATTATAGGTGCACACTACCATGCTTGGCTAATTTTGTTGTATTTTTAGTACAGACAGGGTTTCACCATGTTGGCCAGGCTGGTCTCGAACTCCTGACCTCGTGATCTGCCTGCCTTGGCCTCTCAAAGTGCTGGGATTACAGGCGTGAGCCACCGCGCCTGGCCTAATTTTTGTATTTTTAGTAGAAATAGGGTTTATCCATGTTGCCCAAGCTGGTCTTGAACTCCTGGGCTCAAGTGATCTGCCTGCCTTGGCCTCCCAAAGTGTTGGGATTACAGGCATGAGCCACTGTGCCTGGCCATATTTTCTTATATTTAGTTTGAAAAGGGATCTGAACAAGATTGCACATATTGCACTGAGTCAATGTGTCTCAAGTCTCCTTTAATCTACAGGTTACTGCTTTATTGCATATTTTTGCTTGCACTTTGTGGAAGAAATTGTCATTTGCCATGTTTTTCTGTCCTCTATATTTTCTGTAAAGCAGAGATATAGTGACTTGGTCTGATTCAGGATTAATTTTATGACACAAATACTTGCCAAGAATACTTCTAACAGGAGGCATATAATGTCTAGTTAACTTTTTGTGATAGTACCCATCCAGTCATGATAATTCCCTAGGTTTATTATTTTACTAGGACCTGAGAAATGTGATATTCTACCATTCCTTCTTCACTTACTAGCTGAAATACTTCCACAAAAATAAACTTTTCCTCATGAACTATTTGGTTATTCTGAAGTATAACTAGTATAGAAAAGAACTTTGGACATTAACATAACCATTTACTTAATTTATTCTAATGTGTGTGTGTATTTTAGAAGCTTCTTAGATTGTGTCTAATCCAGTATTCTCATTTAGAATATAAATTTTTGTTTTTTGTTTATTTTGAGACAGGGTCTCACTCTGCCCAGGCTTGTGTGCAGTGTTGCAATTTCGGGTCACTGCAGCCTCGAGCTCTGGGCTTAAAAGTGATCGCTTCACCTCAGCCTCCCGAGTAGCTGGGACTACAGGCACATGCCACCATGCTTGGCTAATTTTCATATTTTTTGTAGAGACTGGGTTTTGCCATTTTGCCCAGACTGGTCTCAAACTTCTGGGCTCAAGCAATCAGCCCGCCTCTGCCTCCCAAAGTGCTGGGATATTCTAGGTGTGAGCCATTGCACTGGCCTAGAATACAACTTGAAAATGTAGTATTATGACAATTTCAAGGCACACATAAAAATGTATCATAAACATCTCAAAGTAGAAACAAAGGAATAACATTCTTAACTTTAAATAATATTCCCCTTAAAGAACAAGTAGAACACGAAATAAGTTACACTTGTTATAGTATTTGTAATGCCCTATAATGTCAGATAAAACATAAATGTTCTTGATTCAATAATATACATTTGATGACACATTTGTTTAAATGTTCATGGCCTAGGGTTTCATTTCTTGGGCTATGATTCTGAAACTTAAAATAGAAAACTCCTCTCTTTCAGATTTCAGAAATATACCAAAAACATTTCCAGAAGATGTAAATATTATAAGAAAGCTGTTAATCATTAAAAGAATAAGATTAAAGAAAGAAAACATAAAATTACACATATTTTTATTCAGTTGAAGAAATGGCAACCTTGCAATGAGATAAAATTAAATAGCTTAAATTTATTAAAAAGAACTTTCGACTTCTTTAAAAGAAATATTCTCCTCAAAAACTTGAAAAGGCAAAGTTCTGAGACCTCAGATGATTGGTCTAAACATATGTGAGTTTCTTGCTGTCTATAAAAAACATTCCAAATGTTATTTCAGCTTTTTAAAAATGAAAAATGCTGGCCAGGCATGGTGGCTCATGCCTGTAATCCCAGCACTTTGGGAAGCTGAGGCAGGTGGATCATCTGAGGTCAGGAGTTCAAGACACCAGGCTGGTCTTGTGGTGAATGTGGTGAAATACCATCTCTACTAAAAATACAAAAATTAGCCAGGCGTGATGTCATGTGCCTGTAGTCCCAGCTACTTGGGAGGCTGAGGCAGAAGAATCACTTGAACCTGGGAGGCGGAGGTTGCAGTGAGCTGAGATGGCACCACTGCACTCCAGCCTGGACAACAAAGCAAAGCTCTGTTTCAAAAAAAAAAAAGAGAGAGAAATGTTTTAGTTTCTTAAAGTCACACAAATTTGAACATAAACTCATGTTCAATATAAGATTCAATCAAACCTTTATATAATATACCTCTTACACTTGAAATGAAGGATTCTAGTCTTTCAAGCAATTCCAAGTCTCTTTCAAAGTCATAAAAATGATGTTCAACCCAATGCCGAAATACATTTAAGATCCTGATAAAATGGAAAGAAACACATTTTAGTGAAACATAAGTGTTCAATTACACTTCTTCCTTCTCTAATGCCACGATAATAGCTTTACATACAAGGGTCAACATAATACTCAAAGACTCTCTAATCTGTATTTAATTAATACTTTAAATGCTTCAATGACAAGAGGAGAGTAGGTCTCCAAACGGTGTATTATTTATTAATAAAATGTATACTTTTAAAATATTTATAAGCATAAAAATAGTGGTTTCTGTGCTTCCCATTTATGTTAAGGAAAAGTACCCTTTATTCATATGTAGAAAACTTATGCTCTATATTACAAAAGCTATTTTAAGTTCATAAAAAGCATTTTTAAGATTTAAATTTTGGTACTTTTTCACTTAAAATGGAAAACCAACTAAGATGTACTGTATCTGGTTCTAAATGCAAGTGCTATCATCAAATTTCTTTCTTTTTTTTGAGATGGAATTTTGCTCTTGTTGCCCAGGCTGGAGTGCAATGGTGCGATCTCAGCTCACTACAACCTCCAACTCCCAGGTTCAAGTGACTCTCCTACTTCAGCCTCCCAAGTAGCTGGGATTATAGACGCCCGCCACCATGCTGGGCTAATTTTTGTACTTTTAGTAGAGACGACGTTTTACCATGTTGGCCAGGCTGGTCTCGAACTCCTGATCTCAGGTGATCCGCCCACCTCAGCCTCCCAAAGTGCTGGGATTATAGGCGTGAGCCACTGCACCCAGCCTATCATCAAATTTCTATGTAATCTACACATATACTACAGTCTCTTATTTCATTTCAAAAGACAAAAATAGAACTGTTTTGTTTTACAGTATCACAAAAATGATTACCTATAACCTTGCAAAGAGAGATTTAATCAACTATGCAAATGGAAAGGAAAGGAAAGACAAGGGGAGAGGGAAGAGGAGGGAAATGGAAGAGGAAGAAGGGAAAAGGAAAGGGAAGGAAGGAAACTAGTAGGCAAGCCATGGAAAGAAAATATTTGCAAAATGTTTATCTGACAAAGGACTGGCATTCAGTCCTACCCAATTTACTCCTACAACTCAGTAATAAAGAGACAAGTATCTCAACAAAAATTAGAGGATTTGAACAGATTCTCCACAAAATAAGTATGAATGAAATACCACTACATCCAGCAGTATGGCTAAGGCACAAAGACTGACATTACTAAACACTGGTGAGAATATGAAGCAACTTGAACATTGTTGGTGAGAATGTTTTGGAAGTTTTGGCAGTTTCTTTCAAAACTAAACATACACATACCTTCTGACCCAGCCACTCCACTCTGAGTTGTTTACCCAAGAAAAGTGAAAAATATTCACAGTAAGACAGGTAAGATAAAGTTCATAGCGGCTTTATTCATAATAATAAAAAACGAGAAAAAGCCCATGTATCTTTCAATGGGAAAAATGAATAAACTGGTATATTCATATAATAAAACACAACCTCGCAATAAAATAAGCCATTGATACAAATTCAAAAGCATGTTGAGTGAAAGAAGACACAAAATTGAGTTTTTAAGAATGCATTTATTAAGACTCTAAAACAGGTAAAACTAATCTATGGAGGGAGAAATTGGAACACTGCCTTTGGGCAGTGGGAACAAAAACTGATGAGAAGGAACATAAGGGAACTTTCTGGGGTGTAGTAACATTTGATATCTTGAAAGGCGTTTGGATTATGGAGATACATGTATTTGTTAAAACTCAACAAAAGTACACTTAAGATGTGTGTATCTTCTGTCTTCAGTGGCAGCAAGAAAAAAATGTATTTAATTATATGCACATTTTAGAACAAAAGAAAAACAAACACTGAACTGTTAATGACATACAAGTTGAAGTATTTAAGGAGTGTACTTCAAAATTCATACAAAAAAATGAACTGATAGATGAATGATAAATGAACACATAAATGAATAGATATGAATAGATGAATACATATCTAGGTGGTGGGTTTATGGGTGTTCATTGTAAAATTCTCAGTTTTGCTGTATGTTAAAATTTTTCATAATAAAATGTTAGAAAAATTACTACCACCCATTTTACTAGAAATCTTTCAATATTTATATAAACAGGTTTAATAACTTGGCTTGGATTTCACAGTTTTCCACTCCATCCAATTCCATACAGGTAATCTCATCTACTACTTGCAATACAATGCCTACATTCCTCTCAGGTCAATGTCCTTATCTGTGTCCTCAGCACACCATTCTCATTTCTGCCTTCTTGTCTTTGTTCATACTATTTCTCATGACCCTGAATACCTACAGTCACCTTTCTACCTATCTAAAGCCTATACATCCTTTAGGGGCAGTCTCAGATTTTACCTTCTCCAAGATGCCTTCCCTAATTACTCTGGCCTAATCTTTGCTATTCCTGAAATTGTATAGGGATGTATTTTTCTAAGTCACTTAAGCACTCCAAGTAGAACAATATATAACTGTTTCATGTGTCTTTTTCCCCCAGTAAAGTCCCCAAGAAAGCCACAATATCATGACAGTCTATGTTATTTTTGTACTTAGCATAGTTATAAGTACAGGACTGAGAACACAGCAAATGCTTAGAAATACATAAAGAGCTTATATGACTGAGAAACGAAGATTATACTCCCACCCCCTACCCCACCCAATAGCAACCTCATAAATGTATGTGTCATATCAAGGGATTTAATGTGATTGTAGATAAGTACAAATGCATCACAGCTAGTAGAAAAGAATTACTTATTTATTGCTGATACATAAATAATCTCATCTTCTTATACAAAGAATGACGTTAAAAGTTTTAGTGAAAGACATATAGCTGGGAGCACTATCATTCTTCTAAAACTGCATTTGTTTGTGGCAATTATCCTGGGAAATAAATAACTAATATACTCAGTTCCAAAATTACAATTTATTGGTCAACAGTAATCAAGGAAACTTGAAATTTAGAGAGAAAAAAAATTTAAATTACATATAATTAATAAGATAACTTGGTTTCCAATGGAAGGAGGAAGATAATACTTTGGTTACTTGGACAGTAAAGAGGGCTAAGAGAAGGCGCTTCCAATTTTCAATGCTTAGTGGTACGTACACACACACACACACACACACACGCAAAGAAAGTCAGACATGAGTCTGAATCTTGTCCTGCCACTCCCTTTACATAACTTAGCTCAAATTACTTCACCTTGCTAGGTTTCAATTTCCTTATATATAAAGTAGGAATAGTAATCATGTTGTAAGAATGAGATAAAAAAGATAAAGCATTTAGGGTAATCCCCGGCACACAGTAGTATTTATTAACTGGAAGCTTCTACAATCAAACACATTTTTAGAAATTATTGCAATTAAACTAACAAATGTCTATATATTTTGTGAGAGATAAGTGGGAAAAGGGCTAGAACTTCCACAAATATTATAAATTGTAAAAAAAGCCAGGATTACTGTATGATCGCAAAGGGAAATGAAGGAAAAAAGTGTGAAAAAAGGTTGACAGCAGGAAAGCTCACATGAAATTTTATAATTTTTACTTACAATAAAAAATAGGTATCCTGATACGTAAGCATAACATATCACATGCCAGAGATATGTGATGCAAACATAGGATATTTAAATATTTGAATTTCTTCAGGGTATTTAAGAATAGCTTCACTGAGAAAGAACTCTTTTAGTTTAACTTAACTGCTGTGAAGTTAAAAATATTCCCTATATTTGAATTAAAAGCTGAGAGCTTTTGTGTTAACTATATATTGAAAACTGACACATAAAATGTGTGTGTGTGTGTATATATATGTGTATATATATATATATAAAAAATATTCAAGCCAAACCTAAGTTGTACTGGTTGGACATATTCCTTGCGAAATCTTTTAAGGTCTGCACTGATTGGCTGCTCGCCTTTCTCTATTGCCAATTTGTCTGCGTCAGTAGGTTCTGGCTCTGGAATTTCAAACCTAAGAAGAAAAGCAAAAGGAGAAAAATCCGTTCATACATAATGAAAATACAAGGAGGAAAACAGCAAGCAACCTTCTTTCCTACCACTTCCACGAAAAGTGGATTACTGTTAAACTTCCCTTGAGGTATGATATACTACAAAAAACTGTCCTTTGGCTATACAAAACTGACGTTTTGTATTCTTACTTTTATAAAAACTAAAGTTTTGTCTTTTAGCACTGATAATACAGAAAAGGTCCAGGGAAAAGAGCCAAGGAAAGAATTCATAAGGAATTTAAAGAACATGACAGAAATTGCTTATCTAACAATGTCTTTAATATTTATATTATTAAAATGAAAGTAGGCTAATAAATTTATTTAAATGAGTACAAATTCAAAGAGAGGGCCAAAACCGAATATTTAACAATATTTAAATAATTTACCTAAGTGGATAAGATAAAGATAAAAAACCTTGCTCAAACATAGGAAATACAGCTAAACTATAAGTCTAACGTGTGCTTTCCTTATTCTGGACATGGAAACAACTAAGTAGATCCTCATAGCACATTACACTGACTCAGTCTGGTAAATTTAGTTTGATAAAACAACATAGTGATAGAGATCTAGAATTATATCTTGATAATACAGTTAATAAGCTTTGGTATAATAATAAGTTTTAGTAAGTTTTAAAACGTAAAACTAAAAATCATTCTGGAGTCCAGATTCTACATTTTAAACTATAAAACATTTAAAATGCCACTATAATACTAGGTAAAACAAATTCAACCCAACACTAATTTTTAAAAGTTAATCATAATAAAGGAATTGCTGATTTTTTAGGTTTAATAATGATATCTGATTATTAAAAATGATCCCGTATTTTCTAGAGATACATAGAAAAATATTTATAGATGAATTATGTTGTCTAGGATCTACTTCAAAATAATCATGGGGTGGGGTGTTTAAATTTGTAGGGAAACAGATGAAACAATGAGTTGATAATTACTGAAGGTGGTTGATGAATAAATGGGTTTATTATATTCTTGTATCTGCTCTTGTATGTGTTTTGAAAGTTTTCATAACAAGTTTGTTTTAAAAGTGGAAAGTATTTGGCAAAGTAGTCTACGGTCCAAAAAAAAAAATAGTGGTAAGTAGAAAAGTCTCTTTTAAGAAAATATCATTTTATTACACAGAACAATATTCATTAAAATATAGTGCTTTCATCCTCTAAATTAGTCTTTCTGATTACCACTTGAAATATTTCTAAGAGCTGAAAAGATCTGTGTTTATAAACAGATTTTAGGGAGTACTCCATTTGAAGAGAATAGTAATACTGCCAATTTAATGCCAAATAAAATATGTTCAATAATTAACTTGAGTATTTATTAGGTACTAGGCACTTTACAAAATACAGTTAATTTTTCACAAAATGTCAATATAACTGAAATACATATTTTTCTTACCGTTCAATCAGTAAGCTCAGCAATTCCTGTGGTTTACAAAATGAACGATATGTGGTAAGAAAAGTACGAACAAAATTGGGATCTGAAAAGGCAGAGCATAAAATAGGTTTCATGTTTAATGTATTCAGTTTAATTAACTCAAAGTACCATATTTGGAGGCCTTCCTCCCTTTTTCTTTTTACTTTGGCTCCTCAGATTGTGGCTTTTCCTAACAATCATGGTACTGGCAGGATACCATGGTATCCCTGCCATACATAGAGAAATACTGACATAGAGAATATACTATGGTATATCCTTAATAAGCGAGGATTGTTTTCAAATTTGAAATTCATGAATATGGCTGGGTGAGGTGGCTCACGCCTATAATCTCAGCACTTTGGGAGGCCGAGGTGGGCGGATCACGAGGTCAGGAGATCGAAACCATCCTGGCTAACACGGTGAAACCCCATCTCTACTAAAAATAAAGAAAAAAAAAATTAGCCGGGCATTGTTGCGGGCGCCTATAGTCCCAGCTACTCGGGAGGCTGAGGCAGGAGAATGGCGTGAACCCAGGAGGTGGAGCTTGCAGTGAGCAGAGATAGCGCCACTGCACTCCAGCCTGGGCAACAGAGCAAGACTCTGTCTCAAAAAAAAAAAATTCATGAATATGCATATTTTATGAATATTTATTCAATAATTAATGAAGTTAACAATATTACATTTTTAGACCTTTAATTCCTTCTCTTATTTATTCCTTTTGTTTTTGCAGTATTTTTATATTTTGGAGGCAATCCATTTTTTCCCCAAGCCTCAAATATTTTTGAGCATCCTTAAAAAGCTTTTGGGTCCCAGGCCCTAGGTCAGCAGTTGTAATGAGTTTCACATACCTGCATACATATGATATGTTAACCTTTCAATTAATTTCACTACAGTTCCTCCTTTAATAATGGGGATGCCACTTCTACTTTGCAAGTTGTCTTCAAAAACAATGTTTTCCTCAGAGTCTTTTACTACAAAACGATATACTTCAGGACTTGGTAATCTCAGTGGTTGCTCATTTTCTTCTTTCAATAATACTGAATCTAACATTCGATCTAGAGTACTACGATAATGAAGAGAAATAAGGGCTGCCATCCAGTTGTTTTTTTCTTCAGCAGACTTAGCAGCAAATATTATGCTGTTCTCATCTTTGGATACTAATTCAAATGCATGCTTGTGCTCACAAGTATCTTCTTTATCACAAATTTGTATTTTCCTCATGACAAATTTTTCTTTTAACCTGTATTCTGCACTACTGTAACCTGGAAGCCGAGTCTGGCCATGATTAGGTTTACAACTGATCATTAAGCCATCAAACAGAAAAATATGCCGTTCATGTTTGGCACCGATTCTTGTCAATGGTCCCTCCATAATGAATTCATTACAACACTGTCCAATATCTTTGCCTTCCCATCCATCGATATTTTTCTGAATTTCATTCATTTTTTTGATAGCCAGGTGTTTGCTTCTTAATTGGTGACTATAAAAAGGGCAAACAGGATCTCTAGAAAAAACAAACAATATAGCTTATTCAACAGCTAGCAACCCAAATGGTTTCAAGCATAAACCATCTCAAATCAAGTGAGTAAAATATTAAATAACCAAACAGTAGCTTTTACGCACAGCATTTAGTTCTAACTTTGCCACTAAATAATACAGCCCTCAATTTCATTATTATGAAAGAGAAGTACTACTGGCTCTATAAGAACTAAAATTACAAAAAATCCTAAATTTCTTTCATAGATTATATTTTTAAACATTTATTAAGTCTATCCTAATAATATAACAATGCTAATCTTTTTTTTTTTTTTTTTTTTTTTTTTTTTTTTTTGGAGCTCTTGTCCCCCAGGCTGGAATGCAATGGCACGATCTTGGCTCACTGCAACCTCCCCCTCCCAGGTTTAAGTGATTCTCCTGCCTCAGCCTCCCGAGTAGCTGGGATTACAGGTGCCTGCCACCACGCCTGGCTAATTTTTGTATTTTTAGTAGAGATGGGGTTTCACCATGTTGGCCAGGCTGGTCTCAAACTCCTGACCTCAGGCGATCTGCCCACCTTGGACTCCCGAAGTGCTGGGATTATAGGCGTGAGCCACCGTGCCCAGCCAACAATGCTAATCTTAAGACTAGGCTGGGTTGGCCAGGTGCAGTGGCTCAGACCTGCAATCTCAACACTCTGGGAGGCCAAAGCAGGCAGATCACCTGAGCCCAGGAGTTCAAGACCAGCCTGGGCAACATAGCAAAACCCTATTTCAACAAAAAATACAAAAATTAGGCAGGTGTGTTGGCATGTGCCACCCAGCTACTCGAGTCCCAGCTACTCCAGAGGGTTGAGGCAGGAGGACTGCTTGAGCCCAGGAGGTTGAGGCTGCTGTGAGCTGAGATCACATCACTGCACTCCAGCCTGGGCAACAGAGTGAGACCCTGTCTCTTAAAAAAAAGAAAAAAAGGCTGGGCGCAGCGGCTCACACCTGTAATCCGAGCACTTTGGGAGGCTGAGGTCAGGAGTTTGAGACCAGTCTGGCCGACGCGGTAAAACCCCGTCTCTACTAAAAATACAAAAATTAGCTGGGCATGGTGGTGGGCTCCTGTAGTTCCAGTTACTTGGGAGGCGAAGGCAGGAGAATCATTGGAACGCAGGAGGCTAAGGCTGCAGGTTGCAGTGAGCTGAGATTACACCACTGCACTCCAGCCTGGGCAAGAGAGACTCCTTCTCAAAAAAAAAAAAAGGAAAGGAAAAGGAAAAAAGAGAGTAAAAGACCAACATAAAAGTATATAAAAGTATGACAAGCACAACTTTCAATAATGTAACTATCACAATAAATCACACTTCTTTGAAAACCAGGCATCAGAGACAGCGAAGTAAGCAGAGGCATTCACGTTTTCAACACTTTGGAATTACCCAGGTCGACGTCTAGGTGAATACTGCTTGTAAATTCGGTCCATGCTACCTTGGAGATTCATGAGAGCAGTAATAGCTTGGTTCAAACATTCTCTGTCTTCTTGTTCTTCACTACATGCTTTCAATTGCTAAGAAAAAACAGAAAGAAAAATCAAAACTGCATTGTTTGATTCTTCCCCCAACTTTCTAGTAATAGAAAAAGCAGCAACAAATATTATCAACTCTAAGTTAATTTTATATATACTTAATAAAAACAGCTATAATTTTATATATACCTACTGCCCTCTCAAACCAACCCTTTTTCTTTCTTTTTTTTTTTTTTTTTTGAAACAGGATCTCACTCACTGTGGCCTTGAGCTCCTGGGTTCTAATGATCCTCCACTCTCAGCCTCTCAAGTAGCTGAGACCACAGGCGAATGCCACCACACCCAGCTAATTTTTAAAATTTCTGTAGAGACAGGGTCTCGCTATGTCTCCCAGGCTGGTCTTGAACACCTGCTCAAGCTATCCTTCTGCCTCTGCCTCCCAAAGTGCTGGGATTACAGGTATGAGCCACCAGTCCTGGCCCAACCTTCTTTCTATAAACATAAACACAATACAGATATAAACTAACATGAGCATAGTAATCAGGAAAAAAAAAAGCAACTGTAAAAACCATTCGGACATTTTATTTTTATTTTTTATTTTTTTGAGACAGGGTCTTACTCACTCCGTCACCAAGGGTGGAATACAGTGGCAGGGCTAACTGCAGCCTCGATCTCCTGGGCATAAGGCTTCCCGAGTAGCTGGGACCACAGTTGCATGCCACCACATCCAGCTAATTTTTTTATTTTTATTTTTTGTAGAGATAGGGTCTCACTAGGCTGGTCCCAAACTCCTGGACTCAAGCTATCCTCCCATCTCTGCCTCCCAAAGTGTTGAAATTACAAGTGTGAGCCACTGTGCCAGGCCACATTTTCCAAACATATTTAAAAAGTTTAAAACACCTAAAGCATGAAGCTTACAACTTACTTTTATTCATTAGCAACTATGAATAGAGAAAATAAGTAACTATAAACTATTTCATATTCTCTAATGATTACTTTGTTTTAGCAATTTCAAGTTTACAAATCTTTGTTATATAACATAATCAAGGGTACTAACTTTTAACACTTCAATCTATCATAAACTTTTCCGTAAACAGCATCTCTCAAAGGATTCCACTGCTATTTTTTACAATATGAAATGTCAAGAAACCATGAAAATTAATTCTATCTCAATCTTTAGAAGATTTAGAAACTGACTTATTAATCTCTAAAACTCTGGTTCTATTTCATTTGCCCCAAAATGTTCTCTTGTATTTCACTCTCAGAAAGAAAGCAAATTTACTTATAATAAATAATTCAGATTGTATTGTATTGTGCTCCAATGTTTTGATTTTTTTTTTTTTTTTTGAGACAGGGTCTCACTCTGTCACCCAAACTGGAATACGGTGAGGTGATCATGGCTCACTGCAGCCTTGCCTCAACCTCCTGGACTCAAGTGATCCTTCCATCTCAGCCTCCCAAGTAGCTAGAACTACAGATGTGTGCCACCATGCTTGGCTAATTTTTTTTTTTAATTTTTCTGTAGAGATGGGGTCTCACTATGCTGCCCAGGCTGCCCTCAAACTGTTTTAATCTTTTGAAAGAAGAGTTCAAAGTGGAACATCATATAGATATTATATATATTATGTATTTATAAATATATATTTATGCAAGGATATGGGGAATTATGATCACTTCAGAAAATTTTTAAAAACTTAAATCTATTTTGTGATCTTTAACTTATTAGAGATTTTGTGATAAATTAAAATTTTCCTTATATTCCAAGAGCAATCTCAAAAGCATTCAGCAATGGTTCCCTTTCCTCAGCAAAGAACTAACTGGCTATTGTTTGACAACTTTGTCCATTACCTTTTATTTATGTCTTAGAAATTAGTCTCTATATGAAGCACAGAGCCATTTGATTTTATTTCAAGACACATGTAGAGGTCTTGTCATCAAGAGATTAGCAACATAAATAATGTAAATGACTATTATTAGAAGTAATACCTTAATCTCTAGACTAAGCAATAGAAAGGATGGAAGCAAAGTCAAAATATCATAGAAAGTTTGAAAAAAGATCTGTGCTTGGTTATTCTGACTTCTACAGGTGAAAGTTACTGGCAAAATCACTTATTTTGCTGCTTTAAAGATTTCTTACAGAAAGTCTTCTCAGCTCCACTCTAAAATATTTCTTTAATAAATATGAATGTTGATGACATCAAACACTTAATTAGAACTGTTTTATTCTTGTTTTTGTTTATCCAAATATCTAAATTATCACCAGTAGTGATATCCTACCAAAAAGGTATGATTTTCATTGTCTACTTGGTCTTAAGGCTGCTCAAACTCTTCCACGTGTCATTTTTAAATAACCATGTAATAATTATAAGCTGTAAAGGAGAACAAAATTGAGGATATTTAGAGTGGGATTTCCTGGTAATGGAAGTATATTAAACAACGGCTCTGTTTGGCATAATAATCTGATAATTTGCTAAATATTTCTTGAATTTTCAGCAGTGAGATTTGATAAACATCATATTAATGAATATCCAACTAATATTCTACAGATACTTAAAAGAATGTGTTCCAAACATCTTACACAGAAATTACTGGGCCAGGCAAGGTGGCTCACACTTGTAATCCCAACATACTGGGAGGCCAAGGCGGGCAGATCACTTGAGCCCAGGAGTTCAAGACCAGCCTGACCACACGGAGAAACCTTGTCTCTACAAAAAATACAAAAATTAGCCGGGCGTGGTGATGTGCACATGTAGTCCCAGCTATTTGGGAGGCTGAGGTGAGAGGATGACCTAAGCATGGGAGGTAGAGAATACAGTGAGCTGAGATTGTGCCATTACACTCCAGTCTGGGTGACAGAGTGAGACTCTGTCCCCCGCAAAAAAATGAAAATAAAAATAAAAAATACAAAAAAAAATTAGCTGGACGTGGTGGTGCATGCCTGTAATCCCAGCTACTCAGGAGGCTGAGGCATGAGAATCACTTGAACCTAGGAGGTGGAGATTGCAGTAAGCCAAGATAGCACCACTGCACTCCAGCCTGGGTGATAAGGCGAGATTCTGTCTCCAAAAAAAAAAAAGAAAGAAAAAGAAAAGAAAAATTACTGTACTGAACTATGTGCAAACAAGTAATGTACTTTCATGCCCCCATTCGCTTTCTACACAACAGTCTCTGACCTCCTTATCCACCCGGTGAATTTAGCCACTAGGATACAGTTGAAATGCTTCCTCTTGAAGATGCCTTCTGATTATGCCTTTTCCCTCTTAAATTTTTTCTTTTGAAATATCAAATTTATAGAAAAGTTGTAAAAGTAACACAAATAACTCCTGTAATACTCTGAATCACCAATTTTTAACATTTTGTCACATGCTTCATCATTCTGTGTGCCAGTGTGTGCAGATCGTTTTTTTAGTAGTTGTGATACTATCCACTCAGTTCCTTCCAGAGGAAGGGGGACTACGGCTGAATGGTTTTGCAGTAGTTTTTGGAATATAAGGAAAAGTCAAATGTATCACAAATTACTCTCAAATAGTATCATTCTCCTTTACTCCTTTAATATTTCTCATAGCTCATCTTACAACAAGGATTTTCTTTTACAGAATCACAGTATAGTGATCAACTTCAGGAAATTTAACACCGAGTAATCTACTGCATAATCTAATCTATAGTGTATATTCCAATTTTGCCAACTGTTTTAATAACATCCTTTAAGGTAATATTTTCCCCCAAAACAGGAACTGGTCAGTGAAGCACTAAATTGTCATGTTTCTATTGTCTCTTTTATTCTGGAGAGTTCCTAAGCATTTGTCTTTCATGACTCCCGCAAATAAATAAGGACACACACACCCGCGCACACACTGTTCTCTCTCTCAGTAGGACGAATACCCAAAACCATTATGTATTTTTTTTTACTCCACTGAACAAAGGAAAAATCAATAGGAATTTTTTTCTGCCTTCCCTAAGCAGAGCTAGTAACTCCTGCTTCATTGATCTCATAGTACTACCTCTATTAGGCTCTTATAATATTGTAATTATTTGTTTGACATCTATTTTCTTCACTAAATTGTAAACATCTTAATGCCTAGGGACACGTTTTATTCCTTTTCAGTTTACCTGCATGTGGTAGGTATCCACTAGGTGGTTGTCAGAAGTAACTGGAATAAATGACTACTGTATGATTTTGTTAAGTATTTAGACCAATAATGAATGTTTTTTGAGCTCTGCTCTGTGCACGCTCTTTTATGCATTAGCTTATTTAATTTTTATTACAACTCTGTAACACGAGGTACTATAATCATATGTTACAGATGAAGGAAATGAGGCACAGAGAAATTAAGTAATTTGCCCAATATAAATAGGAGAGTTTATATCCAAACCCAGGAGCTCTGACCCCAAAGTCTCTGCTTTTTTGCTACACTAATACCCCGTGGCTCTACCATGACACCAGACACAGCTACGCAAAACACTGGTCTGTGTCTAAATCTGATGACCACTGAGTTGAAAGGGATTCTTTCTATGTTGAAAACAAACTGGATAACTACTGAGTTTAAGAAATAAAATGAAATGAGTGTACTCTGGAAAAGAGGTCAAAGAGAAAAGATACCCTTGCTACATATGCTTAAAATTAAAAATAAAAGTGATTGTTTATTAATGGGTAATATCTTTTCTTTTTCTTTGAGATAAAGTCTCACTTTGTCAACTAGGCTGGAATGCAGTGGCACGATCTCGGCTCACTGCATCCTCGATGTCCCGGGTTCAAGCGATCCTCCTGCCTTAACCCCCCAACCCCTGAGTAGCTTGGACTACAGGCATTGCCACCACATCCAGCTAATTTTTGAATTTTTTGTAGAGATGGGGTTTGGCCATGTTGCCCAGGCTGGTCTCAAATTCCTGAGCTCCAGCAATCCACCTTCCTTGGCCTCCTAAAGTGCTAGGATTACAAGCATGACCCACCGCGCCTAGCTTTAATGGGTAATATCTTATGAACCTAGCTGAAGAATATATTCCTTGCTACCTGATACTCATCATTATCCTTAGTTGTCTATAAGTGTATCCTGTCTAAGATTTTATATTTCATGTAAGTTTTTTCTTAACTCTGTATGAGAATTCACTGAAATATTTACCCTGCTTTTCTTGAAACTCCTACCAAATGCTACATCTACTATGGACATATGTGCCCACAGCAAGGGGAATTTCAATAAATTATGAATTTGTCTCTAATTCACTGTACTAGGAGTTCAGTCTAGGTGTGAAATAAAACATGTAATCAATTCTTTTTTATTAGTAATAAACTCTCTAGATTTTCATAAGAGTGGAGTTGGTAATTTGGTGGGAAATTAAATCCATTAAAACCTATGACTAGGCTGGGCACACGGGCTCATGCCTGTAATCTCTCCACTTTGGAAGGTCAAGGCAGGAGGATCACTTGAGGCCAGAAGTTTGAGATCAGCTTGGGCAACATAGCGAGACTCCCTCTCTAAAAAGAAATAACCTAAAAACCCCAAAACAAACAAAAAACCCGTGATCATATTTCTTTACGTGCTTTTTTAAAAAAAACACTAACTTTAAAAAAAAACACATAAGAAAGTTAACTGTTATTAACTTTCTTTCATATGTACCTGAATCATATGTCAGTACTGAAAAAGTAAATATGTAGTAAAATCCTCTTTATGGTCTTTTTTAAGAGTTGAGAGATTTCTTTCAATAGAGATTGCAAGCTCTTTATGTTATGAATATACTCACACACACACAAAAAGAATGACAAAGCAAGCCTGGGCAACATGACAAAACCCCTTCTCTACAAAAAATAAAAAAACAAAAATTAGCTGGGTATGGTGGCATGCTCTTGTAGTTCTAGCTACTCGGGAAGCTGAGATGGGAGGATTGATTGAGCCTGGGAAGTCAAGGCTGCAGTAAGCCATGAATGGGCCACTGCACTCCAGCCTGGGCGACAAGAGTGAGACTCTGTCTAAAAAAAACAGGAATGATAACAAGCAAATGTTGCATAATGTTAACAACTGGTAGCCAGGCGCAATGACTCACACCTGTAATCCCAGCACTTTGGGAGGCTGAGGCAGGAGGATCACCTGAAATCAGGAGTTTGAGACCAGCCTGGCCAACATGATGAAACCCAGTCTCTATCAAACAATACAAAAATTAGAATGGCGTGGTGGTGTGCACCTGTAATCCCAGCTACTTGGGAGGCTGATGTGGGAGAATTGCTTGAACCCAGGAGGTGGGGGTTGTAGTGAGCCGAGATCACCACTGCACTCCAGCCTGGGCGATACAGTGAGACTCTGTCTCAAAAAAAAAAAAGAAAAAAAAAGTGAGTCCAGGTGAAGGGTGCTCACCACTATTTCTGTAACTTTTTTCTGTTTTTCAAAGTAAAAGGTAAAAAAATATTACCTATAAACTCAATTGTTTCATATTGAAATACTGGTTGATCTTCCTCAATGAACCTCATTGAAGTTATTACTAAGTTTTCCTGTTAAGCTTTAAACTAAATTAATTCCTCTTGAGAGAGAATAATTTTTATTCTTTCCATTACTAAATTTCCAAGGAATGACCAGGGAGTTAGGAGAGTAAGAGAACATTACTTGCCTTTGAATAAACCAGTTCTAAAATGAGAGAGTTAACATGTCCTTAGTAAAAAAGGACAGACATAGATTATTTTCTGAGATAAGGTCTTGCTCTCTTGCCCAGGCTGGAGTGCCGTGGTGTGATCTCAGTTTATTACAGCCTCTAATTCCTGGGCTCAAGTGATCCTCTCATCTCAGTCTCACAAGTAGCTGTGACTACTGGCATGCATTACCACGCTCAGCTAATTTTAAAAATTTTTGTAGAGATGAGGTCTCACTATATTGCCCAGGCTGGTCTCAAACTCCTGGGTTCACGCCATCCTTTCACCTCAGCCTCCCAAAGTGCTGGGATTACAGACATGAGCCACTGTGCCTCGCCTATATACCTTCTTAGAGAAATGTCTAAATCCTTTGCTCATTTTTTTAGTCAGCTTGTTTTTTGTTGTTGAGTTGTAGGAGTTCTTTATGTATTCTGGATAAGAATCTTTTATCAGATATATAATTTACAAATATTTTCCCATTCTATAGAATGCCGTTTCGTGATACTGTTTTGGCTCAGTACTCATCCAAAATAAATTCTGTCTCATGTTAAGCCTACTTTGGGATGAGAATCATAAGAAAGAAGGCTGGACTAGTGTGACTCAAAGGTTATTACATCCCTTTAGTAGTAGAAAACACAATCCTGGAACAGTTTTAACCCACTGTTTTAAAGTATCTGCTTTGGTGATCTACCAAGAGAGATTTATTCTTGGATTTAGTGTTTAAATATTATTTTTTATTTTCCAAAATCAGATTTATGATAAAACAAGATGGAAAAACAACTATATGACAAGAAATTAGAGGATACCATATATAGTTACCTAAAATTATTTCAAAGTACATTGTTAGGCCTGGTGCAGTGGCTCACGCCTGTAATCCCAGCAGTTTGGGAGGCCAAGGCAGGCGGATCATTTGAGGTCAGGAGTTTGAGACTAGCCTGACCAACATGGTGAAACCCCGTCTCTACTAAAAATATTAAAAAAAATTAGCCAGGCATGGTAGCACGCATCTGTAATCTCAGCTACTCAGGAGGCTGAAGCAAGAGAATCGTTTAAACCTGGGAGGTGGAGGTTGCAGTAAGCCGAGCCTGCACCATTGCACTCCAGCCTGGGCGACAGAGTGGGACTCCATCTCAAAAAAAATAAAAATAAAAATAAAAAACAAACAAACAGGCCAGGCACAGTGGCTCACACCTGCAATCCCAGCACTTTGGGAGGCCGAAGGCAGGTGGATCACTTGAGGTCAGGAGTTTGAGACCAGCCTGGCCAACATGGTGAAACCCCATCTCTACTAAAAAAAAATAGAAAAATCAGCTGGGTGTGGTGGCGGTCACCTGTAATCTCAGCTACTTGGGAGGCTGAGGCAGGAGAATCACTTGAACCTGGGAGGCAGAGGTTGCAGTGAGCCAAGATTGCACCACTGCACTCCAGCCTGGGTGACAGAGTGAGACCGTGCCTCAAAAAACAAACAAAGTACATTGTTGGTTTATTGTTACTCATGGCAATATATATTGTTATATACATTGTTGGAATAATGTTATATTATTGTTGCCATGCAACAATTTATATTGCATGGCAATATATATTGTTACATATATATAGTTAACTCATGGCAGATATATAGAATATATATCTATAATATATTCACTTTATAGATAATACTTTTTTGTTCTTTTCAAATTTAAGCCCCATAAGGTTGATCACAAACTACTGTTTTCATTTTTCTTCTCAGATAAATTTTGTTTATTTATTAATTTACTTTTAAGACAGAGTTTCACTCTGTCATCTAGGCTGGAGTGTACTGACGTAAACATGGCTCACTGCAGCCTTGACCTCCTGGACTCAAGCAATCCTCCTGCCTCAGCCTCCCTAGTAGCCGGGACCACAGGCATGCACCACTATGTCCAGCTAATCTGATTTTTTTTTTTTTTTTGTAGAGACAAGGTCTCACTTTGTTGCCCAGGCTGGTCTTGAACTCCTGGGCTCAAGTGACCTTCTCACCTTGGCCTCCCAAAGCGCTGAGATTATAAGCATGAGGCACCTTACCCCACTTTCTAAGATAAATTTTAGATAAATTTCTACAAACTGCTTTTTAAACATAATTTTAGATTATTATCTTAACATATAATTCAATCTTCATGCAAGAAGGAAAAGAAAAAAAATCACTTCTTGATTTATAAGTAACTTTATAACATAATTCTTATATCCAAAGAAAAAAAATATAGCCAGGTATGGTGGCTCATGCCTGTAATCCCAGGACTTTGGAAAACTGAGGCAGGCAGATTGCTTGAGCCTAGGAGTTCAAGACCAGCCTAGGCAACATGGTGAGACTCTATCTCTACAAAAAATTTAAAAATTAGCTGGGCATGGTAGCACACATCCGTAGTCCTAGCTACGTGGGAGGGTCGCCTGAGCCCAGGAGGTCAAGGCTGCAGTAAGCCATGATTGTATCACTGCATTCCAGCCTGGGTAACAGAGCAAGACCCTGTCCCAAAAACAACACAATAAAATAGATGATATACAAATAGTTAACAAGTATATAAAAGATACTCAACATTACTAGTCATTAGGAAAATTAAAATCAAAACCACAATGAGATACCACCTCGTATCCATTAGGATGACTATTATTAAAAAAAAAAAAAAAAACAGGCCAGGCAGGGTGGCTCACGCCTATAATCCCAGCACTTTGGGAGGATGAGGCAGGTGGATCGCTTGAGGTCAGGAATTCGAGACCAGCCTGGCCAACATAGTGAAACCCTGTCTCTACTAAAAATACAAAAAATTAGCTGGGTGTGGTGACAGGCGCCTGTAATCCCAGCTACTCGGGAAGCTGAGGCAGGAGAATCGCTTGAACCTGGGAGGCGGAGGTTGCAGTGAGCCAAGATCGTGCCATTGCACTCCAGCCAGGGCAACAAGAGTGAAACTCCATCTCAAAAAAAAAAAAGAAAAAGAAAAAGAAATTAACACGGTTTGGTAAAGATGTGGAGAAATCAGAACCCTGTGCACTGTTGGTAGGAATGTACAATGGTGCCATTACTATGAAAAACAGTGTGGTAGTTACTCAAAAAATTAAAGATAACATTACCATACGATCCATCCATTCCACTCCTGGGTATATACATAAAATAATTCAAAGCAAGGTCTCAAAGACATATTTGTACACTCACATTCACAGAAGCATTATTTATAGTAACCAAAAGGTAGAAAAAAATCCAACAGTCAGCCAGGCGCGGTGGCTCACCCCTGTAATCCCAGCATCTCGGGAGGCCAAGATGGACAGATCATGAGGTCAAGAGATTGAGTCCATCCTGGCCAACATGGTGAAACCCTGTCTATACTAAAAATACAAAAATTAGCTGGGCATGGTGACATGCACCTGTAGTCCCAGCTACTCAGGAGGCTGAGGCAGAAGAACTGCTTGAACCCAGGGGGCAGAGGTGGCAGTGAGCCGAGATCATGCCACCGCACTCCAGCCAGGCGACAGAGCAAAATTCCATCTCAAAAAAAAAAAAAAAAAAAAAAAAAAATTCAACGGTCTATCAACAGATGAATGGATAAATAAAATATGGTATAACACACCAATGAAATATTATCATCTCTCAAAGTTTATTTGTAAGCGTCATTGATGTTGTGTATTGTTCTAGTGTAAGTTTCTTTCATTATCTGAATGAACCACAATTTATTTACCCTTTTCTGGTTGGCAAACAGGATTTGCTATTACTGACACCTGCTACAGACTTTCTTGTACATTTCTCTTGGTATACATGTGCCTGCATTTTGTTTCTTTAGAGTATATATTCAAGGGTGGAATTGCCTAGTCAGACAGTATACATATTTTTTAATTTAAAAGGTAATGCCAAGCAGTTTTCCAAAGTGGGTTATACAGTTTACATTCCTAACAGAATGCAAATAGTTCATGCTGCTGTTTATGGATATTTTCAGACTTTCAAATTTCTGTAATCTGATGTGTATGTAGTGGTATCCTGTGGTTTTAACTGCATTTCCTTGACTATTAATGGTTTGAATACACATTTACTGCCATTTTGGATATCCTGTTTTGTGAAGTGATTCAAATCTTTTGCCATTTCTAATCTCTTCTAAGGCTTGTCTTTCCATTCCACATTTCTATTTGTTCTTGTTGTTGCTGTGCATTAATTAAAACTGAGTATATTCCATATTTATTCTAACGGTTACAGTTTCATTGATCAGACATGGGTAGTTTCTCTTTATTCATTCCTTTTTTTTTTTTTTCTGAGATGGAGTCTCGCTCTGTTGTCCAAGCTGTCTCCTGCCTCAGCCTCCTGAGTAGCTGGGATTACAGGCATGTGCCACCACCCCTAGCTAATTTTTGTATTTTTAGTAGAGACTAAAAACATGATTTTGCCATGTTGGCCAGACTGGTCTCAAACTCCTAGCCTCAAGTCATTCCCTCCCCCTTGGACTCCTAAAGTGCTGGGATTACAGGCATGAGCCACCGCACCTGGCTCTCTTTATTCATTCTTTGAAGCCCAAAATTACTACTACCTAGTAATAAAGAGTATCTGCTGCCTTTGGACAAGCATGAGTACTCATCAGTGAGTGTTTCTTTTCCCATTTCTAATTCCTTACACAATTTCCCTTGATCTTTTAAAGGCAGGAGTGATTACCAAAGTGAGCACGTGAAAGATGGAGATTTTCTGGTGACAATCCATTCATTTCTCTCTATTACTGCTACTGATTTTCACTGACTCTAGCTAACATCTAAGAACTTCTGTCTACTTTCAGATTATGGCCCATTTTCAACTGTAATTCCCACATATCTTGCTCAGTAAAATGTTCTTTCTCAATTTTTTTTTCTTTAACAGGGTCTTGCTATGTTGCTCAGGCTGGCCTTGAACTCCTGACCTCATGTGATCCTCCTATCTCAGCCTCCCAAGTAGGTGGGACTATAGGCTTGTGGCCACCATGCCCAGCTTCCAACTTTTTAACTGCTCTTTAGAAGCAAAGTATCTTTCTGCTTGATTATTTCGTACCTCTCCTTTAGGATACCACATCGTTGGTTTAGATAGACAGTTACGACTTTTTCCGTCTAATCCATGGTAGTAACATTAAAATAAAAGCCATAATAATTCTATGTATACCTTGTAGGCATCTAGGCAAGGAATATATATGATTATTTCTAATGAATACTTATCTCTTTTTTAAGTTCTTTTTTATGGAGTGCTACTACCCACAGCATTTGATGCTGGAGGTAGCCAGCTTTTTTTTTTATTTTTTTGAGACGGAGTCTCGCTCTGTCGCCCAGGCTGGAGTGCAGTGGCACAATCTCTGCTCACTGCAAGCTCCGTCTCCCGGGTTCACACCATTCTCCTGCCTCAGCCTCCCAAGTAGCTGGGACTACAGGCGCCTGCCATCATGCCCGGCTAATTTTTTGTACATTTAGTAGAGACGGGGTTTCACCATGTTAGCCAGGATGGTCTCAATCTCCTGACCTCATGATCCACCCGCCTCGGCCTCCCAAAGTGCTGGGATTACAGGCGTGAACCACCGCGCCCGGCAGTAGTCAGCTTTTATCCACAAATAGATGAGCAACTTCATTGTGTAAGTCTCCATGGATACTAGTGGATCCATAAAGAACTCATCAAAAGATATGCTGGCTTCATATGAATAATATATAAGCATATATTTGGATGCCTTAATTTTTAAAAATAAGGTTCATGTCTTATTAGAGGTCCTATCATTAGTCTTAGAGTTGCCCTCTAATATTGGCCAACATTTAAAAATGCTGGTTTGACCATATAATTTAAAAAAAATTTTCCCCTACCTAGATGATTGCTTTTTAAAAATCCTTGCTACTAGGTCTGCATTTAAGATCAGGTCATTGACTATAATGGCCTGACTCATCCTAAGCCACAGCTACTTTTGCCACCAATTAATCACTAGCCTCCAAACCCTCTTAGCCAATGTGACCAGGACTAGTGGTTGGCTAGTTAATTAAAATAGAGAAGAGAGTCATTTTTTTTAAGTTATATATATATTTTTAATGTGTTGCTTGGGTCCCAGCTAAGAGAGGAAGAATACAACACTGCACAGAAAAAAATATTAACTTCAAAAGTTATTTCCTTTATAAGATAACAAGATAGAAATTTAGAGCAATGTTACATATAAAAATTATTAAATACTTACATAAAATAAGAATTAAAAGACTGGTACTGTGTGTCTCCAAAATTAATTTTAAAAAGTAAACTCTTCTATTAGATAAGTACTTTGAGATTCTGTTATAAAACCTTACCTTTAGTAACTCAAAGTAGTGCCAACAGTGATACACTGGCACCAGCATAAGACGTGGAAGGACATAACGAACTGCCTCTTTAAAACCATCAGCAATGGACTGCAAAGCAAAAAGATATCACAGTATGTATGTCTCTGACATCAAGGATATGCAACAGCAGTGCCTAACAGAAACGTCTACTAAAAATTTGAGATACAGACTTATCAAAACTACAACAGAATGCATATTCTATATTGAAACTGAAGTGCTATCAAGTTGTTCTTTTCTCCCTTTCCTCCTTTAAGTTATTAGAGAAATATATACATTAATTTTCTTTTATGTGGCTAAAATAGCTTTCACAATAATCCTCTACAGCTTATGTTCTGGCTTCCATATACCCTAAAGGAATTCTGAAAAGCTATGTACTCTCCTGCACAATTTTAAAATGTTTTAAATTTAAATAGTTACAAAAGATGCATTTCAGGGAATGCTGTATACTGTAAATGTGATTTATAACTATTTCACTAAACAATAATTGAATAACTTTCAGATTTAGCTCATTTATGAAAAACGTCTGTCATACAACTTAATTGACAAAGTCGATCTTCACTGTCAAAATAAACAGCAACATCAGCTCAGTTTGTCAGAAGTCAAACTTTATTGTTAAATTCAAACAAACATTATTAATGTCATGGTCTCAAGGATTAGAAGCCTCTGGAGGAAACTACAACTGCTTCTGACATATTACATCAAGGTATGAGAACTTTACAAGCTTCTCCTCTTCTTTATCCCAAATGATGATGAAGTACTTACAATAAGGTTAACATAAATCTTTGTGATAACCATATCACTTCTTAATTCTTAGACAGATAGATATGACATAACATAGATAGATGACATTTTGGCTACCAAGAATTTTTACTATCATCCCCCTATAACATTCTTTTGTGAACTCTTTTGCTTGGTACTCAGTGAACTCTCCAATAGGAGTAATACTTTTTTTTTTTTTTTTTTTTTTCCTGTTTGGTGCCCTAGAGGTTTTTACATCTTGGATCAATGCATAATGGGAAATACATAACAGCAAAAGGTAACAAGTAAGAGACTTTGGAAAAGACAATGCAAAAAACATAAACAAGATCTCCGAAGACTAGAAACAGATTCCCTTAAAGCTCTCTGTGCCTTTATATATCCTGAAAAATCTTAGTGTATAGCTTGGGATAGGTATACCCCAGTTTTGGAAACTACTGTAGAATAAATGGTTTTCTAAAATTTATAATGGATTTAACTCATGTTAATTTTAAATGTCTATATAGTTCACTTACTAGTATTTCTCCCCATAAGAAAAACACCAACCACACCAATATAAAATGTGAGAAAGAATCTGATATGCTGCTTTAAAAAAATCTTCATAAATATTACCATAATTTTCACATTTTGTTAAATTATAATCTTTTCAACAGACTTATTATCCAGTAACCAAACTTCTTACTAGGATACACAAAAAGTGCCACCAATTTTCCTAAAGATTAATTCATTTTCACATTTGTTATGATCTGAATGTTTGTGTTCCCTCAAAAGTCATATATTGAAACCTAATCCCCAATGCAACAGTATTAAGAGATGGGGCCTTTAGGAGGTGATTGGATATGAGGGCAGAGCCCCTGTGAACGGGGTTAGTGCCCTTATAAAAGGGGCCTAAGGGAGCTTGTTTGTGCTATCCATCATGTGAGGACACAACAAGAAAGCACCATCTATGAACCAGAAGAGCAAACCCTCACTAGGGCACCAAACTAGACACCAAATCTGTTAGCCTCTTGATATGGGACTTCCTAAATGTGAACTGTGAGAAATAAATTTCTATTGTTTATAAGCCATCCAGTTTATGATATTTTATTAGAGCAGCCTGAATAGACTAAGACAGTATTAAACTAATTAATATAGTGAATTATTCTGGATATTTTATATACAGTGCTTGAACTGGAACCAATATGAAACTTCAAAATTAGTCTACAAGATCAACTGTTTTGCTTATTTGTACTAAAATGCCTGATAAAGTGCATTCTAAAATTTTTGTAGCATGTATTTACAGTGTAAGGAGTCCTCTGATAATAACAGGAGCTACATTTGAGTATTTAATACACATCAAACATTATGCTTATGCTTTATATATACATTACCATTTAATTTCCTAATAACTATAAGAGGTATATATTATGATGATCACCATTTTACAAATGAGCAAACTGAGTCTCAGAGATTAAGTGAATTGCTCAAGGTAACACAACCATTAACTGGGGCTGGGCGTGATGGCTCACGCCTGTAATCCCAGCACTTTGGGAGGCTGAGTCAGGAGGATTACCTGAAGTCAAGAGTTTGAGAACAGCCTGGCCAACATGGGGAAACCCCATCTCTACTAAAAATACAAAAATTAGCCAGGTGTGGTGGCATGCGCCTGTAGTCCCAGCTACTTAGGAGGCTGAGGCAGGAGGACTCCTTAAACCCAAGAGGCAGAGGTTGCAGTGAGCCAAGATCGCGCCACTGCACTCCAGCCTGGGTGAAAGAGCGAGATTCCGCCGCAAACAAACAAACAAAACTATTAATTGGCCCAAAGCCTTAAGTTCTAACTTCAAATCTTATTTTTTTAAGTCTGCTACACAGTCCAGGTATGGTGCCTCATGGTCAACAGAACAGCCTAGCCAATATGGTGAAACTCTGTCTCTACCAAAAAAATACCAAAATTAGCCAGGCGTGGTGGTCCACACTTGTAGTCTCAGTCACTCAAGAGGCTAAGGCAGGAGAATCGCTTTAACCCGGGAGGCGGAGGTTGCAATGAACTGAGACTGTGCCACTGCACTCCAGCCTGGGCAACAGAGTGAGACCCTGTCTCTAAATAAATAAATAAATAAAGTACGCTACACAGCTTCTAAAGATGCTTTTTGTTTTTAGTTTTATTAAGGAAGCATTATTTTATCTTAAACTGAATGAATTTTTTTTTAAGTTAAAACAATTGAGTTTGGCCCGAAAAAGGATTTCATCTAACTCTTCCAATTTCACTGAATATCTAGGATGACAGCTTTATTAATAACTGGGCCCTTTAACATTCAAATTCCACAGCAAAAATTCCTAATAAAATAGGACTGAAACAAGAAATGTGTTGAGTGCTTTTAATGAGTATCCAAAGTTCTTATAGACTGTGTATTTAATGCATACTTTATATGAATATATGAGTTAACTTTAAAAATATTCCTCTCTTGAAGTAATTTTGAGAATTAAGTATAATTTGTATTCCATGATAACAAATTTTTGACAATAGAGAAGTGGAAGATAATAAACAATGGGAATTTATAGTACAGAAGGCAGGGAGAAGATGGTAAGTTCAGTTTTAAACATGTCATATTTGAAGTGCGTTTAGGGTATCCAAGTGCATCAATTCAAGGCAGCTGGTTATATGAAAGTGTATAGATACATACACATATGTACACGGTACACAGTGCTTAAAAGAAAGTGATGGCCTGGAAATACAAATAAGAAGTCACCAGTATATAGACATGAAGTCACCCAAGGAGAGCACAGAACAGAAAAACAGGGGCTGATAACAGAAGTTGGATAATAGCTATAATAATTAAGAGACTTAGAAGAAGAAATCAGAGAAGACGAAAATTGGGAACATGTAGTATCACAGGAGCTGATATGGTTTGATTTTGTGTCCCCGTCCAAATCTCATGTTCAACTGTAATCCCCAATTTTGGAGGTGGGGCCTAGTGGGAGGTAACTGGATCATGGGGGTGGATTTCTTCCTTTAATGCTGTTCTTGTAATAGAGTTCTCAGGAGATCTAGTTGTTTAAAAGTGTGTGGCACCTCCCTGCTCCTTCCTCTTGCTTTGACCATGTGAAGACGTGCCTGCTTCCCTTTTGGCTTCCGCCATGATCGTAAGTTTCCTGAGGCCTCCCCAGCCGTGCTTCCTGTAGAGCCTGTGGAACTCTGAGCCAATTAAATCTCTTTTCTTTATAAATCACCCAGTCTCAGTCTTCTTTTTCTTTTTTTTGTTGAGACAGAGTCTCACTCTGTAGCCCAGGCTTGAGTGCAGTGTTGCAATCTCGGCTCACTGCAACCCCCACCTCCTGGGTTCAAGTGATCCTCCTGCCTCCAAGTGATCCTCCTGCCTCTGCCTCTGTAGTAGCTAGAACTACAGGTGTGCACCACCATGCCCGCTAGTGTGTGTGTGTGTGTGTGTGTGCATATATATATATATATATATATATATATATATATATATATACACACATATACACACACATATATATATATATATTTTTTGGAGACAGGGTCTTGCTCTGTCACCTAGGCTGGAGTGTAGTGGCACGATCTCGGCTCACTGCAACCTCCGCCTCCCGGGTTCAAGCAATTCTCCTGCCTCAGCCTCCCGAGTAGCTGGGATTACAGGTGCATGCCACCACACCCAGCTAATTTTTGCATTTTTTAGTAGAGACAGGGTTTCGCCAGGCTGGCAAGGCTGGTCTGGAACTCCTGACCTCAGGTGATCCGATCCACCCACCTCAGCCTCCCAAAGTGCTGGGATTACAGGCATGAGACATCACGCCCAGCCTTCAGGTATACAGGAACCAAGAGATAAGAGCAGTAACAAATACTACAGACATTAAGTATGAAATAAAAATATCCACTGGATTTGGCAATTAAGTTACTTGTCAAAGGCAATTTATATCCTGATTAAAACATACATGGTAGTGTTTTCATAAAGAATGGTAAAAAATAATATAAAGACAATTGGCTGCAAAGAAAAAATGAGAGAGGAAATGAAAAAACTTTCTTCACTCTAGTTAATTATTCTACTAGAGTGAAGAAAGGTTTGTTCATTTGTTTGCTTGTTTGTTTCAGGACTATAAGGATTTTTACCATATTCAAACGTCAAGGGGTAAAAGCCAGTTTATTTTTTATTTTTATTTTTTTTGAGACTGGGTCTCACTCTGTACCCAAGGCTGGAGTGCAGTGGCGTGATCATGACTCATTGCAGCCTTGACCTCCCAGGCTCAAGCAATTCTCCTGGCATGCCACAGGTGCACGCCACCACACTCGGCTAAGTTTTTATATTTTGTAGAGATGAGGTCTCCCTATTTTGCCCAGGCTGGTCTCAAACACCTGGGTCCAAGCAATCCTCTGACCTTAGCCTCCCAAAGTGCTGGGATTATAGGCAAGAGCCACCACGTCTGGCTGGAAAAGTCAGTTTAGATGTAGAAGTTTTACATATTTAGCCAAGTATTACCTATGCCAACATAACTTTTGTTGTTAGTGTTGAGATAGTAAAAATAAAATTTTATTTGTATCTCTCCACTTATTTTCATTTTATCTAAGTGTATTCCTGAACCAACTAACTTGCATACTCTCCCTCAATACAGTATTTATCTCCTTTAAATTGTAGGCCTCATAGAAAAATCAGTATGAGTACATAGGAGGTTGAGGTTATCTCAACTTTTTAAGATTTCTCCAAATCTTCCTCCTATAGGGAACATAATCCTGAAATCACACTCCAGATTCATCTTTATTTTTTATTTATTTTTCTATTTATTTTTTGAGACAGAGTCTCACTATTCCACCCAAGCTGGAGTGCAGTGGCGCGATCTCGGCTCACTGCAACCTCCGCCTTCCGGGTCAAGTGATTCTCCTGCCTTAGCCTCCTGAGTAGCTGGGATTACAGGAGCTCACCACCACGCCCAGCTAACTTGTGCAATTTTAGTCGAGACAGGGTTTCACCATGTTGGCCAGGCTGGTCTCAAACTCCTGACCTCAAGTGATCCACCTGTCTTGGCCTCCCAAAATGCTGGGATTCTAGGCATGAGTCACTGCACCCAGCCAAATTCATCTTTATACCCCAGATCTAGTATGTGCCAAATTCTTCTGGTCATTCAGTACTCATGATGTTGTACTATAAAAGATTTCTACAATAAGAACAGACAGAACTCCAGAGAGAAAACAGAAGATAATCCAAAACAGGTTTAGAATGAACAAGATTTGAAGGATTACGAGGATTCCAGAATTACAAATATTTGAAGGATAAAATAGTGAGATATTTATTTGCTTTATTAAAAAAAAAAAAAAAAAAAACCTTCAATTTAAGTTTACCTGAAAGTGTAGAGCAACTGCAGGTCTGGCCATCAATTTATTGAAATGTTCATGAAACTCTGGTGAAAGAATGTCCTGTGATAATGTTTCATAAGGATCAAATGCTTGCTCCTATTTTTTTAAAAAGAGAAAAAGCATTAGGTTTAAAAGAATATATTTTCTACCAATATGGTACAGATTATTATCACTTGATCCCAGGAGTTCGAGGTTACAGTGAGCTATGATTGTGCCACTATATTCCAGCTCGAGCAACAGAGTGAAACCCTGTCTCAAAAGAAAAGAAAGAAATGAAAAGAAAAAAGAGAAGAGAAGAAGAAAGATTTCTTTTCCCATTAGACTGGCAAAAATTAATGGGATATCTGCAGAACCGATATGAAAACAAAACAAATTTTGAAAAAAAGAATTAAAAAGAAAAAGAATAAGGTAATACCGAGTTAGTGAAGGGAAAGGGTGAAGAAAGAAGGAAGCTTACATACACTGGAACTTAGCTGGAAGTGAACGTGGCAAAGTGTTTCCAAGTTCTAAAAATGTATCTAGTCTTTAGCACTACAATTCCACTTCCAGGAATATATCCTTAAAAATGATTAGAATATATGACTGGGCGCGGTGGCTCATGCCTATAATCCCAGCACTTTGGGAGGCCGAGGCGGACGGATCATGAGGTCAGGAGTTCGAGGCCAGCCTAGCCAACAGAGAGGAACACCGTCTCTACTAAAAATACAAAAAATTAGCTGGGCGTGGTGGCAGGCGCCTGTAATCCCAGCTACTCAGGAGGCTGAGGCAGGAGAATGGCTTGAACCTGAGAGGCAGAGGTTGCAGTAAGACGAGATCGTGCCATTGCACTCTAGAATGGGTGACAGAGGGAGACTCCATGTCAAAAAAAAAAATGATTAGAATATCAAGGCATAGTGCAAATATGTTTGTTGCAGTGTTGTTTACAATAACAAAAAAAAAAAGGAAAAAACTCTACAACCTATGGATAATAGATAGTTAAAATATGTTATGGTGTCTCCATATAACATCACATTATTTATACTTAAAAATTGTGTTGAAGTATATACATTAACATGGACAATGTTTATGATATACAGAGTAAAAACAGTAAGTTATAAAATAGTGGGATCCTATTTTTGCAAACACACATACATTCGTATGTATGCACAGAAATATATAAGGATAAGTTATCTCTGGGTGTTATAAAATAAAGTGACTTTCATCTAATTTATATATCTATTTTTCTGAATATTTTTACAATGAGCTACATTATTTTTATAGTCATTTAAAAGATAAAATGATTTTTACTTTGGAAAACATTAAAATAATATAAAGCTTCTTTCCAACTTTAAGTTTAAAATCCATAGAAGGTAAAGAGCTATGGTCAATAAAATGTATCTTCCTTCATCTTGAATATACTTACCACTAAAAAAAAAAAAAAAACCTAAATGTTACTACTCTAGTTTATATACTACTCTAGTATATAAACTTTCACTATAAATATTGCCATAAACACACTATAAAGAAAGTGTCACTATATAGGCAATGTGATTTTAGTTTGTTATCAGTTAAATCTTAAATATCTTTTTATAATGGCCAGTGGTATCTTCTAATTTTCATAAAGAATATCTTACAAAAAAATTTTGTTTTTTGGAGACAGGGTCTCACTCTGTCGCCCAGGATGGAGTGCAGTGACACAATCATGGGCTTGATCTCCCAGGCTTCCTACCTCAGCCTCCTGAGTCACTGGGACCACAGATGGGCACTACCATGCCTGGATAATTATTTTACTTTTTTATGGAAACGGGGTCTCACTATGTTGCCAAGACTCATCTCTAAGTTTCTTACTACAGCATTTAGGGCTTTAATGAGAATATAAGTAGTTTTGTAAACTTACTTCTGCCAAATCTTCAAAACAGCTGCCAGCTAAGGGATGAGGACTGCTTTCATCAGTCATTTCAACTGTGTCTTCAATCAAACCTAAAAGTTTCACAGTCAATTCATGTATATCTGAAATGTTACTAAAAATCTTTTCGATATCCTGAAAAAAGAGAAGGAAGGTTAAGAAATGTGAGATTGAGAATTCTGCTAAAAAATTACTAAATATAAAGAGCAATATAGGCTACTCGAGGCAGACTGCCTATGGAATAGCCCTGCTCCACAAGAAACAGTACTTTTGCTGCTGCTGTACGCTGCCGCTTCAGCAGAGGTTCCTACCATTGTCATGCCTTTGACTTCTTTCTTAGACAAAGCCAAGAACTGTCCCGAGCTAAGCCCCAACTTTGGGGCTTACCTGCCCTGCACCAAATACATCATTTAATTTATGGGTGGTACTCGTTTTCTACATGTTTTTAAATTTATGGAATAAACTATAGAATTTCTTTAACTAGCATATCTTTTATTGGGAGCATGATTAAAGCTATTATCACTTCTGAACAATTCATATATTATATAAAGCAATATATTTCCATTAAATGTCAACAAGCTATAGCAGAATTTTTGCATTTTGCTCTTGGGAAAACTCATTCTTTGTAAAAATAAAAGTTATTACATGTGAATGCACTCCCATTATAAAAGATTCAAACACAAGACAGAGAGAGTAAAATATGAATGTTTACTTTCATGCCCCCCTTACACCCATGACCCTCAGAGGTAGAAACTATTAATAGTTTAGTATGCATTATTCCAGTATAAAATTCCAACCATTTTCAAACATGTACATCTTGATGTTAATATATTAAAAGATGGAATCATACTGTGTATTCTTTTAACTTGGGTTGGAGAGGTCAACGTACTTTGGAAATAAAGAGACTTGCTTGTACAAAAAAAAAAAGAAACAATATAAGAGTTAAGGGTATATCTTCATTGAATCTCAAATTAATATATTCCAAGACAGTAAAAATCAATCATGAACAGGAAGAGAATTTTAAAAATCTCTTGGATAACAGACAATAAAAATACTACAAAATATAGATTCTAGATAGTTTTTTTAAATCTAAAACCTCCTACTGTGGATGATTCTAAGCTACTTTTTACATAAAGAATTCTGGCATTTGAGTGTTTTAAAACTGGCTGAGATGCTAAAAGACTTGATCAAGGTCTTACAGAGCCCTAGGTTTTACTTATAGCTTAGGCTATATAGTCTTATAGATTAATGGTAAGAGCTGGGATGAGAATGAAGATAACTCCTAATCCTGTTACAATCTGGTTTCACAATTTAGGGCCCATCTCCTGGATCTGAGAAGGAATTACAGATTTCATCCAAGCTCCCGTCTGTGAATTACAGCCATTCACTGCTTAAAGACGGGTATGTTCTGAGAAATGCGCTGTTAGGCGATTTTGTCATTGTGCAAATATCACGGCTAGATGATATACTACAACATTTAGGCCATATAGGTATAGCCTGTTGCTCCTGGGCTACAAACCTGTACAGCATGTTACTGTATGGAATACTGTAGGTAACTGTAACACAATGTTAAGTATTTGTGTATCTAAACATATCTATATAGAGAAAAGGTACAGTAAAAATATAGTATAATCTTACAGGATTACTGTCATATATATGGGTATTTATAGTCTTATCACTGACTAAAACATCATATGTGGCAGATAGCCATATATCTAGGATAAGACAGGTTCAAGCCCTCTGAACACAAACACATCATATGACTGACCATCCCGGTTATGGCCAACTATTATTCACTCTGGCATCTTATAATGGAAACATCACGGGCTTTGGAACCTGACAGACCTGAGCTTGGATCCTGGCTCCACCACATGTGGTATAATATGAAACATATTTTTGGTCTTTGTCCCTGGTTCCTGTCTTAGAGCCCCTAAAACGCTAAGAATATCCTGAGTGATAATAATGTCTTTTGTTATTCATAATGAGTACCTTTGATAAATACTGAGTTTATGCTAATGAGGTTACTTACAGTAGGGCCCCTAGATAACCTCATGATAGGGCCAGTCACCAAAAAGACCAGATGATTAGAGGATTGAAGGGTTACTTGAAACCAAACTGACTCATGAGAAAAAGAAAAAGGATCAGAGGGTTGCAACTTTCAGCCCCACCCACTGACCTCTAAAAAATTGGGGAAAGAGCCTGGGAAACATGGCAAAACCCCATCTCTACAAAAAATGCAAAATTAGTCGGGTGGGGTGGTATGTGCCTGTAGTCCCAGCTACTCAGGAGGCTGAAGCTGGAGGATCTGCTTGAGCCCAGGAAGCAGAGGTTATGGTGAGCCAAGATGGTGCCACTGCACTTAAGCCTGGGCAACAGAGCCAGACCCTGTCTCCAAAAAAAAAAAAAAAAAAAAAAAAAGGGCAGGGGTGAGAGGCTAGAGATCAAGCTCCATAAAAACTCTTGATGAGCTTCCTGGTTGCAGACCTTGTGGAGGTGCTAGGAGGGTGGCTTGCCCAGAGAGGGCTTGGAAACTCTGTGCCCCTATACTTTGCCCTGTCCATCTCTTCATCTGTATCATTTTAAAGTCCTTCATAATAAACTGGTAAACGTGTTTCCCTGATTTCTGTGAGCTGTTCGACCAAATTAATGGAACCCAAGGAGGGGGTCATGGGAACTCCAATTTATAACTGATCAGTTCGGAGCACAGTTCACAACCTGGGACTTTCAATTGGCGCCTGAAGTGTGAGACAGTCGTGTTGGGACTGAGTCCTTAATCTGTGAGATCTGACACTATTTAGAGGTAAATAATGTCAAAATTGAGCTAAATTATAGGACACCTAGTTGGTGTACACAGGAGAATTACTTTGGTGTATGGGGAAAAAATCCTCACATACGTTGTCACAGAAATGTTCTGTGTTGAGTGTGAAGATTAGAGAGGGGTCAGGCGCGGTGGCTCATGCCTATAATCCCAGAACTTTGGGAAGTCAAGGTGGGTGGATCACCTAACGTCAGGATTTCGAGACCAGCCTGGCCAACATGGCGAAACCCCGTTTCTACCAAAAGTACAAAAATTAGCCAGGCGTGGTGGTGCACATCTCTAATCCTAGCTACTCGGGAGGCTGAGGCAGGAGAATCGCTTGAACCCGGGAGGTAGAGGTTGCAGTGAGCCAGGACTGCACCATTACACTCCAGCCTGGATGACAGAGCAAGACTCTGTCTCAAAAAAAAAAAAAAAAAGATTAGAGAGGAAAAACTGTTTTTCCCTTTTACAACATGCCAGATGAATGACCCTGGCTTAGGAATGAAAAGGACAATAATAACAACTAACATGTATTGGGCACATTATATTCTAGGCACTCTTCTAAGCACTTGAAATGTAATAACCTAATATCCTTATTAGATAGGTACTATCATCATCCTCATTTTACAAATGAGGAAACAGAGGCATAGAGCAGTTAAGTAATTTGCCCGTTATCACACATTTGGTCTGCTAATACCCAGCTCATCAGGGTCTTAGGGTTAAATTAGATGATTTCTGTAAAATGCTCCTGGCACATATTAGGCCTTCCAGAAATGCGAGCTTTTTGAAAACATAGGATGAGGGGCAAAAGGAGTAACTTAAGATCATTTTTAAGTCATTCACTTCTTTAATATTTGCAGAGTACTATGCTCTGATTTTAGATAGTCTTTCCCTCAAAAGTTTATATTTTACTTAATGCTAAAAAAAATTATAGTAGATACAGAGATAGATAAAAAAGGGATTCACTCTTCCATCTGACCCTTTAGTATTAAAATAGACATTTTCTGTCATATCAGCACTAATCCAGTGAAAAGAGACCCATAAAAATTAATTCCTGAGGAATGAAAACTGATGGGACACAAAAAGACAAAGATAATATTAGCTGCCAGCATTTATTAGGTTTTTATTCTTCATACCACTAGAGACAAAATCCAATTATAACGTGGTAGAAAAGAAGCCACATTCAAGATTAAGCTCTATAACTAACTTGATTAAGATGTTAATTTCCAGCTAGGCACAGTGGCTCAAGCCTGTAATCTTAGCACTTTGGGGGGCTGAGAAGGAAGACTGCTTAAGCCCAGGAGTTCAAGACCAACCTGAACAACATAGCAAGACCCCCATCTATATTTAAAAAAAAAAAAAAAAAGTCAATCTCCTTACAAGTAAAGTAGAGATGACAATATTTGCCCATTCTATCCCTCAGGATTGTTATAAGGGTCAAATAAAATAGAACAGTACTTTGAAAAACATAAAGTTCTGACTACTTATGATAGTATTCCCAGTAGGAGTTATTATAAACATTGTTAAACTAAACATATATCCAAAAGAAAAAAAGTAATTGCCAACTAAAACACTTTCGATTATCATTTAAAACTCATTCTTTTGGAATATAATGAGAAAAGCTAAATCTGTTCCTAACTTTAAATACTCAACCACCTGTGTCTGAGTGTCACTCTTATTTACTCACGATGTAGTTATTTTGTGGAGGAAGTTAGGAGGTACAAGATAAATAAGACAAAGGCTAAGTATCTTTTTTTTGAGCCGAGGTCTTGCTCTTTTGCCCAGGCTGGAGTGCAGTGGCACGATCATGGCTCACTATAGTCTCAAATTCCTGGCTCAAGCAAATCTCTCACTTCAGCCTCCCCAGCAGCTGGGATTACAGGCATGTGCCATCATGCCCAGCTAAATTTTAAATTTTTTTGTAGAGACTGGGTCTTGCTCTGTTACCCAGGCTGGTCTCAAATTCTTGGCCTCAAGCAATCCTCCTGTCTCAGGTTCCCAAAACAGCTGAGATTACAGGCATGAGCCACTGCACCTGGCCAAGACTAATTATTATTATTATTATTATTGTTACTTTTTTTTTTTTTTTTTTTTGAGAAGAAGTCTCGCTCTGTCGCCCAGGCTGGAGTGCAGTGGCGTGATCTCGGCTCACTGCAAGCTCTGCCTCCCAGGTTCACGCCATTCTCCTGCCTCAGCCTCCGGAGTAGCTGGGACTACAGGCGCCCACCACTACGCCCGGCTAACTTTTTTGTATTTTTTAGTGGAGACGGGGTTTCACCGTGTTAGCCAGGATGGTCTCGATCTCCTGACCACGTGATCTGCCTGCCTTGGCCTCCCAAAGTGCTGGGATTATAGGCGTGAGCCACTGCACCCGGTCAAGACTAATTATTTTTAAAGTGTGGGCCAAACACATAGACATGGAAAAATAAATCATGTGATAAAAGAAAGAAAAAAAACTTTTTTGTTTGTTAAACATGGCATTCTGCATAAACTTTTATTTTTAAAAGTTCCACCGTTAAAACTTTATTTTTTTTAACCCCATGGTATTCTGAGCTTCAAACTAAAACTTTAAACTACTGCCTTAAGGTACTTACCAAAAGACAGAAAAATGCAGAGGTCTTCCTTTCCTAGACCATACATCTTTTTCACCACCTCCAAATGAATGACTCTAAATATCAGAACTGCATAACGGAAAATGATTTCACCCCAGTATAAACCTCCTTCTAATTTTGTGCCTAATTTTCATTGTCACTGTACCTATTATATAACAATTCACATGTTTATAAAGCCCACAAATACATGAAAGTATTTTTAATGTACTCATAAAGTATTTAAAGTTACTATTTATGGGCTGGGTGCAGTGGATCATGCGTATAATCCCAGCACTTTGCGAGGCCAAGGCAGGTGGATCACTTGAGGTCGGCAGTTTGAGACCAGCCTGGCCAATATGAAGAAACCCCATCTCTACTAAAAATATAAAAAAATTAGCCGATTGTGGTGGTGCATGCCTCTAATCCCAGCTACTCAGGAGGCTGAGGCAGGAATTGCTTGAACCCGGGAGGTGGAGGCTGCAGTGGTGCGAGCTGAGATCACGCCACTGCACTCCAGCCTGGGCAACAGAGCAAGACTCCGTCTCAAAAAAATAAAAAAAAGTGACTATTTATGATTTTAAGCTGGTCTGGTTTTTTGGGGTACACAGAATTTCAAACCCAAAAAGGTACTTACAGAAGGTTTAAACAGCTTTCTATCAGAAAGAAAGGCTTCTCGAAACACTTTTATGATCATATTTAATTCCCGTAGATACTGTCTTTCTTCTGCGATTTCAGTTCTGACAAGATCATAGTAGTTTAATTCACCAGAAGAACTAGGTTCATCTTCACAGAGAGAAACCAAACCTATGTCATCCTGATCAAACATGTCCATCAAAACCTGAGAAACAGAAATCAATAATGTATAAATTTATTTTCTTTACTTTTATAAAAACTGCCTCAAAGTACTTGAAATCTATACGTTATTAAACAGGGCTGGGTGTTGTAATCCCAGCACTTTGGGAGGCCAAGGCAGGAGGATCACTTGAGGTCAGGAGTTCAAGGCCAGCCTGGCCAACATGGTGAAACCCTGTCTCGACCAAAAATACAAAAAATTAGCCAGGCGTCATGGTAGGCGCTTGTAATCCCAGCTATTTGGGAGGCTGAGGCAGGAGAATTGCTTGAGCCTGGGAGGTCAAGGCTGCAGTTGAGTCATGATCACACCACTGCACTCCAGCCTGGGCGACAGAGCGAGACTCCATCACACACACACACACACACACACACACACACACACACACACGCACACACAAATATTACACAATGAGTTGTGTGTATTATAAGTAAATTTATATGATAAAACCTAGAATAAAAGGAAAAAAAGTTGTTGAAGGTGGGAAATATTCAAATAAAATCGAGTATGGCAAAATAAATATTTCTGGAGATATGAACTAATGGTGAAATATGTACTAATACATATGTATATGTATATATGTATACTGTAATACACACACACACACACACATAATAGCAAAAAAAAAAAAAAAAAGCAAGCCTGTCTTTGGGGAACAATAACCCGAGCCAAAAATCCCAGTTCAGCCACTACTCGACTATGATTATGAACACATTTATTCTTTTGAAAGTCACATTCCTTATGAGTAAAATGTAGCTGATAAGAAGAATTCAATGTGGTAATGTATATAAAATGCATACTACTACATCTAGCAAATAGTAGGTATTCAACATGGTAGTTCCTTGCCATATTATAAGGATGACAGTACATATTTGAGTAGGGTTAAAAGGAGAAAAGTGAAATGCTACTATGGTAGAGGCACACGATAGATCAGTGCGATGCATTTCTGATGCACATTTACTACAATGACCACTGCTATTACGTTCATTTGCTAAACCCAAACATCTCACAGATGCTTAAATTGTTGTAGCAACCACTTCTTCTTTCAGAAATGCTACCATGGACTTAGGTCAACCAACAGGCAAGAACTAGCTATAAATCAAAGTGAAAAAGAAAGTTGACTATACTTTATTTTTTATTTTTTTTTTTTTTGTGAGACACAGTCTTGCTCTCTCACCCAGGCTGGAGTACAGTGGCATGATCTCAGCTCACTGCAACCTCCGCCTCCCAAGTTCAAGTGATTCTCCTGCCTCAGCCTCCTGAGTAGCTGGGATTACAGGTGCACGCCACCATGCCTGGCTAATTTTTTTTTGTATTTTTAATAGAGACGGGGTTTCACCATGTTATTCAGGCTGGTCTCGAGCTTCTGACTTCAAGTGATCCACCTGCCTCAGCCTCCCAAAGTGCTGGGATTACAGGTGTGAGCCACTGCGCCTGGCTGTGACCATACATTTTATAATTAATAATACTTTTTTTTAAAAAAAATGATTGGACCTAGTTAATTATATATTTAAGACTGACCGAAACGTACCCAGAGAGTTCAGCATAAAGGTATACCCTGAAAAGGAAACTACAAAAAGTAAAAACTTCAAAGGGATGAGAGGAAATTCTGACAACACAATAACAGATATTCATTCATTCATTCTGAAAAACATCTACTGATCACCATAAACTGTACCACATGTTGGTAAAATATGCTAATAAAGTAAACATGAACTCTGCCTTCCTAATCTTTTTGAATCTAACTCAGAAATATCTTATAAGCATCTTTTAAATCTGGTCAGCTCTCTCCATCTTACCGCAGGCTTTAGATTACTCCACTAAACAATCACCATCTCTTAAAAAGATACACAAGTTTCATAATTTGATCTGCCTGCCACAGGTCTTCCCAACCCCAGTTCTAAAATCATGTTACTAAAAATAAATGATACATAAAAATGATACTGGATTTCATTGCCTTCTGCATAAAATCCTAACTTCTTTAGGATAAAGGCCATTCATAATTTAACTCCAACCCACCTTCCTAATCTCATGTTCTGTGACACTCTCAAATCCCTCCCTTCCCCACTGCTTACTCCATGCAATCCACCTTCTTGTCATTGGAGACCATCATCCCCACTTCCCAGCCACTTTAAATTTAAAGAAACCAGTAAGGCTACACAGGGAATTTGGTGATGAACTCTGATTTCAAACAGACATGCAAAATAAAGGAAGACATAAGACATAAAAACACACAGAAGAGCTACCACCCTCTTCTCTTCCCCACCAGAGACCCTTTTAGAGTAGGTCATACTTGCTAGCTGTAACTTCTTGCTCCCATTCACTTAGCAAGCCCATTACTATATTAAAACTGCTCTCACTATTGATCTAGTGTCAAATCTAATGGTGTGTTTTAGTCTTCCTACTTGTTTTCTCTAGTTTTTGACACAGCTGACCATTCTCTCATTCTTAAAACTCTTAAAACTCTCAGGGCGAGGCATGGTGGCTCATGCTTACAATCTCAGCACTTTGGGAGGCCGAGGCAGGAGGATCACTTGAGGCCAGGCATTCAAGACCAGCCTGGGCAATATAGCAAGATTCTATCTCTACCAAAAGTAAAAAAAAATAATAACCAGGTATGCTGGTAGACACCTGCGGTCCTAACTACTCTGAAGGCTGAGGTGGGAGAATCACTTGAGCCCAGGAATTCGAAGCTGCAGTGAGCTAATATTGTACCACCACATTCTAGCCTGAGTGACAGAATGAGATCCTATCTCTAAATAAGAAAAAACACATATAAACCCCCCAGCTCCAAACAATTTTTCTCTTCTTGGCTTCTGATACACCATTCTGTCAGTGGGGCCTCCTCTATGACTTACCTTCTCTACCACCCACTCCAGAGTTCCATTCTTAAAACTCTTTTGGTCACATAATACCAAAGTTCCTGAATTTAAATGCTACAGGGGTCAGGCAAGTAACATTATAATATATAAGAAACAGTGGGGATTATGGTAAACCGGAAGGTACATGCACCTAAAGAGGAAGTGTGCTGCTCAGTGCCAGCTGTTTTCTGTTAGGCATTCTGATTTTCTTTTTTCATGAAAAGTCTGGGATTTACATTTTTATGTAAAATTTTTAGATCTGTAAATATAAATGGATGGCAAATAATTCAAAAATTTAAAAAACAAACCTAGAGACCCTATTCACTAGAAGGTCACCAGTCTGAAACTGGGAGGATTGCTTGAGCCCAGGAGTTCAAGACCAGCCTGGGCAACAAAGAGAGACCCAGTTTCTACAAAAAAATTTTAAACACAGCCAGGCATGGTGGTTCAAGCCTGTGGTCCCAGCTACAAAGGAAGCTAAGGCATGAGGATCACTTGAGCTCTGGAGGTTGAGGCTGCAGTGAGCCGTGTTCACACCACCGTACTCCGGCTTAGGTGAGTCCTTGTCACAAAAAAAAAAAAAAAAAAAAAAAAAAAAAAAAAGGAGCGAGCAAGCTAGCTCTTGAAACAGATGGAGTAATACTACCATGAAAGAGAAAATATATTCATACCCCACTCCTGTTAGCTTCAGATTTTTCTGGCCAGGCATGGGTGGCTCACGCCTATAATCCCAGAACTTTAGAGGCCAAGGTGGATGGATCACCTGAGGTCAGGAGTTCAAGACCAGCCTGCCCAACATGGCGAAACCCTGTCTCTACTAAAAGTACAAAAAATTAGCCAGGCATGGTAGCACGCACCTGTAATCCCAGCTACTCAGGAGGCTGATGTGGGAGAATCGCTTGAACACGGGAGGCAGAGGTTGCACTGGGCAGAGATTGCGCCACTACACTCCAGCCTGGGCGAAAGAGCAAGACCTTGTCTTTAAAAAAAAACAAAAACAAAAACAAAGGCCAGGCGCAGTAGCTCATGCCTGTAATCCTAGCACTTTGGGAGGCCAAGGCAGGCAGATCACTTGAGGTCAGGAGTTCGAGACCAGCCTGGCCAACACGGCAAAACCCTGTCTTTACTAAAAATACAAAAATTAGCCAGGCGTGGTGGCAAGTGCCTGTAATCCCAGCTACTCAGAAGGCTGAGGCAGGAGAATGGATTGAACCCAGGAGGCAGAGGTTGCAGTGAGCCAAGATCACGCCATTATACTCCAGCCTGGTTGAGAGAGTGAGAGTCTGTCTCAGAAGGAAAAAAAAAAGTATAATTCAATAGGTTAAAAACAAAAGAAAGAAAATACAGAACTCAACTGCTAGTATATCTAGATCTGGTGAACTAAGCTTCCTCAGAGCAGCTTTGTGCCCTCTTATTCTCTCACCTTTTTTTTGGTTTTTTTTGTCCACTGTTGCCCAATGGCACAATAATAGCTCACTATAGCCTCAATGTCCTAGGCTCAAACAATCCTCCCACCTCAGCCTTCCAAGTAGCTGGGATGCACCACCACACCCAGCTAATATTTTTTTTATTTTTAGTAGAGATGAGGTCTTGCTATATTCCCCAGGGTATCTCACCTTTCTTTCTTTGTTTCTTTTTTTAAATTTTTTGTAGAGATGATGTCTTGCTATGCTACCCAGGCTGGTCTCAAACTCCTGGGCTCCATCTATCCTCCTGCCTCAACCTCCAAAAGTGCTGGGATTACAAGCGTGAACCACTGTGCCTGGCCTTTACCTTTCCTAAACATCAATTTCCTTCTTAAGCATTTATGTTCAGTTTTTCCAGTTTTAAATACTATTTTCATTAGTAGTAACTTATATACTAGAAGTTAAATTCTATGGTTCTTTCCTATGATCATCTAATTCTCAGCAATCTTTGATATGCTAGAATACCTCATATAGCCACATGTTATTTTTATTTTTAACTGTAAAGAAATAGGGTTGATTCTCAAGTTCTCTGTCTGGCAAATTAAAGATATCCCTAGAAACCATATATTCAAATAATTTATTAAACAAATGGTCTGTGAGCTCTTGAACTAGTGATCTCTAGATATCAGTTTGGATATACTAAGATCATACCACATCATACAATCTCATTACTTAGGGTTACATAACTAGACCCACATATCAAGTCATCGGGATTTTTTTTTTTTTTGAGACATAGTTTCACTTTGTTGCCCAGGCTGGAGTTAAGTGGTACTCGGCTCACTGCAACCTCCGCCTCCCAGGTTCAAGCAATTCTTGTGCCTCAGCCTCCTGAGTAGCTGGGATTATAGGCAATCGCCACCACGTCTGGACGATTTTTTGTATTTTAGTAGAGATGGGGTTTCACCATGTTGCCCAGGCTGGTCTCAAACTCCTGAGCTCAGACAATCTGCCCGTCTTGGCCTCCCAAAGTGCTAGGATTACAGGTGTGAGCCACCACGCCCGGCCAAGTCATCTGGATTTTAGCTAAGCATATGACAGTCTCTTGTGACAAATAGGGGATCATGACAGGAATGTCTGAAACAAGGACCAGCAAACTACAGGCCAAATCCAGCCTGCAGCCTGTTTTTGTAAATAAAGTTTTGCTGGAACATAGCCCATGCTCATTCATTTATGGCTGCTTTCATGCTACAAGAGCAGAGAAGAGTAGATGCAAGAAAGACGTATGGCCCACAAAGCCTAAAATATTTATCCCCTGGCCCTTTATAGGTAAAGTTTGTTGACCCATGAATTAAATAAAATGTGAAATAATAGCTAACTAAAAGGCAGGAATGAAGAAAAGTGGTAACTTTTAACCTAGAAGAATGCCACTAATAACATATGTTGGAAATCTCATTTCTTATATAATCCCTTTCAATTTTTTTTTTTTTTTTTTTTTTTTTTTAAGATGGAGTATTGGCTGGGCGCGGGGGCTTACACCTGTAATCCCAGCATTTTGGGAGGCTGAGGTGGATAGATCACCTGAGGTCAGGAGTTTGAGACCCACCTGTCCAACATGGTAAAATCCCATCTCCACTAAAAATACAAAAATATTAGCCAGGCATGGTGGCAGGCACCTGTTATCCCAGCTACTTGAGAGGCTGAGGCAGGAGAATTGCTTGAAACTGGGAGGCAGAGGTTGCAGTGAGCCAAGATCACGCCACTGCGCTCCATACTGGGTGACAGAGCAAGACTCTGTCTCAACAATAAAAAATAAATAAATTAAATAAAATAATATGGAGTCTCGCTCTGTCACCCAGGCCGGAGTGCAGTGGCGTGATCTCGGCTCACTGCAACCTCCGCCTCTCAGATTCAAAGGCACCTGGCCTTTTCAACATTTTTACTAAATAATTTTAATTCAAGGTTTATCAGACTTGTACACTTTACAAAAACCTGGGTAGAGTATCTAAAATGCTGAATGACAGAATTCAATTTTTAAAATATCTACATATGCTGGAACATAGCCTCAATAACAGTATGAAGTTTTCTAGGGATAAATTCACGTTCATTCTTACAACAATAACAAAAAATCAACAAGCACAAGTTGGAGAAATCAAAGACCTAACATAATGGTACTTCATGTGGAACAGTCCTCGGGAGTTTAGAAATCTGCAGACTCAACAAGTACACAGAGTAACGTGGTGCCAAAATATTAATGCTGAAATTATTAAAGAATAGCATATAGAATGAAGGATACGTACATGCATTTCAATATACTCTGTTGGTCAGACCAAATCTGGACTATTGTCTTCACAGTTTTAGAAATCAGTCTAAAAGCAATATAACAAGGGGATCTGAAAATCCTGCCACATGAAGATTTTTTTAAACTCTCAAAAGGTGAAGATTTAGGACATGGAAAAATGCTTCAAATAAAGGAATGACTTATTAAAAAAAAATAGTTTATGGCCTGGTGCAGTGGCCAACACCTGTAATCCCAGCATCTTGGGAGGTTGAGGCAAGAAAATCACTAGAAGCCAGGAATTCCAGACCAGCCTGGGCAACATAGCAAGACCCCATTCCTACAAGAATTTAGAAATTAGCTGGGCATGGTGGCAGGCACCTATAGCTCTAGCTACTTGTGAGGCTGAGGCAGGAGGATTGCCTGAGCCCAGGGGTTTGAAGCTGCAGTGAGCCTGGGTGACAGAGGGAGACTCAAGCTCTCAAAAACAAAGAAGCTGGGTGTGGTGGCTCAAGCCTGTAATCCCAGCACTTTGGAAGGCCGAGGCAGGCAGATCACAAGGTCAGGAGTTCGAGACCAGCCTGGCCAACATAGTGAAACCCCGTCTACTAAAAACACAAAAATCAGCCAGGCATGGTGGTGGGCACTTGTAGTTCCAGCTACCTGGGAGGCTGAGGCAGGAGAATTGCTTGAACCTGGGAGGCGGAGGTTGCAGTGAGCCGAGATCACACCACTGCACTCCAACCTGGGCGACAGAGTGAGACTCCGTCTCAAAAAAGAAAAAAAACAAAAACAAAAAACAAACAACAAAGAAAATGCATATGTGTTTTCACTTACATGTGGAATCTGGAACAAACTCATAGAGGCAGAGTAGAATGTGGTTACCAGAGGCTGAAGGGAAGGGGGACAAAACCTCAATTAGGAGGAATTGGGTCTTTTTTGTAAGATTTATTGCACAGTATGGTGAATATAGTAAATAATAATGTATTTACATTTCAAAATTGCAAAAAGAGTAAATTTTTTTGTCATTTCAATTTTTAAAAGAAATTTTTGTGGGTACATAGTAGGTGTATATATGTATGGGGTAAATGCAGGCATATAATGCACACATCAGAATAAAATGGAGTCTCCATCACCTCAAGCATTTATCCTTTTTTTGTGTTACAAACAATCCAATTAAACTCTTTTAATTGTTGTAAAATATACAACAAATTATCGTTGACTGTAGTCACCCTGTTGTGCTATCAAATACTAGATCTCATTCATTCTAACAATATTTTTGTACCCATTAACCATCCCCATTTCCCCCACTCCAGCTACCTTTCCTAGCCTTGTAACCATCATTCTACTAGCTAAGAGTAAATTTCAAATGTTCTCACCACAAAAAATAAGTATTTGAGGTAATAAATGTTAATCAGCTTGATTTAATTATTCCACATTTTCTTTGTAATCATAACATTACCTTGTACTCCATAAATATATACAACTATAATTTGTCAATTTATAATTAAATAAATTAATAAATAGGAAGGGGAAAAGAAAATAAAGTGCTCAAATAATGACAGGAACAGAAAAACCAAGCTAGGGCTCCTAATAACCAAATCTGGAACAACCGGAACTTTTTTTTGTTTGAGACAGTGTCTCACTCTGTCACCTAGGCTGGTGTGCAGTGGCGTGATCTCGATTCCATGTAGCCTCAACCTCCCGAGCTCCAGTGATTCTCCCACCTCAGCCTCCCAAATAGCTGGGACTATAGTCACAAGCACACGCCCGGATAATTTTTTTTATTTGTAGAGACATGTTGCCCAGGCTGGTCTCCAACTCCTGAGCTCAAGCGATCCACCTGTCTCAGCCTCCCAAAGTGCTGGGATTACAGGCATGAGCCACGGTGCCTGGCCTACAACATCTAAATAATGAAGTAACAGATTATGACCCATTGAATAAAATAACAATTCATTAGTCCATATTAAATTTGAGTGTGATAAAGAATAAGATACACAGTTTCAAAGTACTCCACAAAATATTCATTTATTAATTACAAAAGGGAAAACAGTAACTTCACAGATGAAAAGCCTGGCAGATAACTCCTTAATCAAGTCATCGAAGTCAACATCACCACCACTAATGAGACACAATGAAATCATGTGCCTGTGTGCCATCTGAGAAAATGCAATGAGAAGAACACAGCACAATTTCTATGATATTCCTGCTAAAGACCATTACCTGATTCTAACCAAGAGAAAACAACAGAGAAAACCGAAATTGAGGGACATTCTACACAGTAACTGACCTGTAACTCTCAAAAGCGTCCAGGTTATAGAAGTTAAGGGAGGAGAGTTGATTCTAACATCTCTCTCCCCAACCACAGGATTACACTGCAGTGGTCCCTGTGCCTATTGCCATGGCCTCTCTTGAATAAAGTCAGCTTTACCACCTTTTTTTTTTTTTTTTTTTGAAACAGTCTTGCTTTGTCACCCAGGCTGCAATGCAGTGGTGCAATCTCAACTCAGTGCAAACTCTACCTCCTGGGTTCAAATGATTCTCGTGCCTCAGCCTCCCAAGCAGCTAGGATTACAGGCATATGCCACCATGCCCAGCTACTTTTTTTGTATTTTTAGTAGAGACGGGGTTTTGCCATGTTGACTAGGCTGGTTTGAACTCCTGACCTTAAGTGACCTGCCCGCCTCAGCCTCCCAAAGTGCTGGGATTACGGGCGTGATCCACCACCTGGCCTGCTTTGCCATCTTTTTTTTTTTTTTTTTGAAGTTAAGGGAGGAATGAGGAATTATTCCAGACTGAAGACGATAAAAATACATGACACATAAACAATATATGATTCTGGAATGAATGATTTTGGTAAAAAGATCATTAGGATATGTGACAAAACTTGAATGATGTTTGAAAGTTAGATGGTATAATGTATCAAATGTATTCATTTCCTGGATTTTGACTGTCAGTCATACTGTGGTAATGTAGCAGAATGTTCTTGTTTATAGGACATACTATATTGGCAACTTACTCTCATATGGTTCAAGTGGCAAGGGCTTACTTTTTGTTGTACTTCCAACTTTTCTAAAAGTCTAAGATATTTTCAAAGTAAAAAAAAAAAAAAAGTAGCCATAATTTTGTAAGTCAAAATAGAGATAACAAGGAATTGCTACCATGATGTAAGTGAAAAGTCATTTCTGAAATTATGGCATCGTACAATCGGTCTCAGTCATTATAACTGCACATCAGAATTACCTGGAATGCTTTCAAAGAACACTGAGGTTTGGAGATCCAATCCAGGCCAATTAAATCTCTGGGGGTGATATGCAGGCATCAGCATTCTTTAAAAAGCTTTCTATTAATTCTGATGTGCAGTCAAGGCTGAGAACCACCAGCATGTGCTAGGTCCTGAAGGTTGTTCACCCTGAGAGAGTTTCATTTAGGCATTTTCTCTGTAGTCTTTCTGGCCTCACCCGTGCTAAAGTTCATTACTTTCTCCACTGTACCTTGGACTTACTAGTATGATAGTTTTAATCATATTGTTCTGTAATTATCTGTTTATAATATTTTTATTTTGCAGTAAAATAAATACCTTCTAACACAAAGATTGCTATGTTATTCAGCGTTATAGCTTCAGTGGGTGCAGTGGCTCATGCCTATAATCCCAACACTTTGGGAGGCTGAGGCAAGCACTTGAGCTCAGGAGTTCAAGACCAGCCTGGGCAACATGGTGAAACCCTATCTCTCCAAAAAATATAAAAACAGCTGGACGTGGTGATGCACGCCTGTGGTCCTAGCTACTCGAGAGGCTGAGATAGGAGGATCGCTTGAGCCAGGGAGGCAAAGTTTGCAGTGAGCTGAGATTGTGCCACTGCACTCCAGCCTGGGTGACAAAGTGAGACCTTGTCTCAAATAACAGGAAGAAGAATAAGAAGGTAAGTAAAGGAATATAGAAGAATATGGAAGACTCAATTTCTTCCCACAAGTAGCTTACAGCCAGGAAAGAAGACAGATATAAAAACAAAAAAATGATCAGAGGGGAGTAACTTCAACATTGCAGTCTAATTTTCTCTCCCCTGTGCCTCACTAAGCTATGCTGTGAAACCAAAGTAGGGTCTTCAAAATTACTTACACTTAAAAGTACCTGAGTAGAACTCTATATATTCTCTTTCTAAAAATATAAAACTGAAACTACTTAAATTGTTTTGAGGCCTTGGATGTTTTTTTTCTTGTAAGTAAAAGATTCTTGACCAAAAAAAGAGATCCCCATCCTGCCATATGCTTAAAAACCTGGAAATATCACGGTTACTCTGTAAAGCCAGGATTTTTCTCTCTTCCAGTACTAGCAATTATAAAGATTACTTATCTAATAATGTACACAAAAAGATTGAGGCAGAAATTAGTATAGTTGCTATTCAAGTTAAATTTAAATACCTTGTAACACTTACCTTATCCGCACACATTGACACTTTAATGTCCTGCTGAGATATTTCATAATGCCGGATATTAAAAACATAATTACCAGCCAATTTTAAAATATCAGCTGAGATATACTCTAGTACAGCCACAATATATAGGGATACATGGTAGTCCACTTTGTACCCTAATACTTCCTGTGAAAAGAATAAATAATTTAATTGCAAAATGTAGCACTGTCAAGTATTACACACTTAAAAAATTCCTATTTAACATCCTTGCTTATAAAAAATTTTCTATTAACTACATGTCTAAATGTATGGGTACCACGGGATATAAAATGAATCTTTGGTCCCTGTATTAGGGGATTTTTTTTCTTTTAAGAGACATCTAATCTAACAACTCTGCCTTTTATCAAACAACAACAGTTGATCTTGATATAGAAATCTTGGGTTGGACTCCACTAAAAGCCTCTTAATACATTAACCAAAATTCATCTGACAAATATCAAAATATCTGCTATCTTCAAGGACTCTGCTTTAAAACCAGTATCCCCTAATTACAGTAGTTTCTACTGAGGGGAGGTATGGAAGTGTCTGTGTGTGTGAGGCAGGCGGGGCGGGGGGGGCTTGAATTTGCTACAAAACTCTTAAAATCCATATACACCAAACATATTTTGCCCTATGCGTTAATATGCAATAGCCAAACTAGGTCCTAGTCCACTTTTCCAGTATATAAAAAATAATCTGTGATAATATAAATTAATTTTAAAGACAGTTCTGAACTCACAGTAGCTTCTGAAATTATACACTTTCTTAATCAACAAATGACTGAGAATCATGGCCTACTACATAGGAATTAGTCAGAGTAGCAGTCATTGGAAGATGCCATAAAGATGCCACAATGGGCCAGGCCTGATGGCTCATGACTCTTATCCTAGCACTTTGGGAGGCCAAGTAGGTGGATCACTTGAGCCCAGGAGTTTGAGACCAGCCTGGGCAACACAGCAAGACCCTGTCTCTACTTAAAAAAAAAAAAGATGCCACAAAATAATAGTAATGCATTATCACTATTAATAATTTTTAATATTGTTTGAAAAGCAATCCAATTTCACCAGAGCATAATCATTTTGTATACATATTAATATATGCGATGTGTATGTACAAGCATACATATGGAAGTGCACATATACACACTAACACAGACCATGCTACATTAATGCTTTATAAATATAGAAATAAAATATTACTTGTTATAAAGAACACCCCCCAACTAATGTTTAATCTTTTGTTACCTTCAACGAAGGATGGATTTTGTCCACAGGCAGTAAAAGAGGATTTCTTCGTTTTCGTTTTTCTATAGCAGATTGTGCATCAGCAATGGCCCATTTATCAATTGGGTGAGGAAAGGTCTTCTGAACTCGCTCCTGCTCAATCACAGCAGAACCATTGTAGTATTAATAAAAGTGTTCATAAATAGGAAATTCATACAAAATTCAACTTGATCTCTATTCTTAATGCTAGCAGATAATAGTGACACAATACATTCTGATTCCTGTAATAAATAAATTTTTTGGCTTAAAAAAAAGGTCAGGCTGGGCGCGGTGGCTCACGTCTGTAATCCCAACACTTTGGGAGGCTGAGGCAGGTGGATCACTTGAGCTCAGGAGTTTAGACCAGCCAGGCAACACGGTGAAACCCCATCTCTATTAAAAATACAAAAATTAGCCCGGCATGGTGGTGGTGCATGCCTATAGTCCCAGCTACTTCAGAAGCTGAGGTGGGAGGATTGCTTGAACCCAGGAGGCGGAGGTTGCAGCAAGCCGAGATCATGCCACTGCACTCCAGCCTGGGTGAGAGGGAGACCCCCAACAGAAAAAAAAAAAAAAAAAAAGGTCAACAGGACTATCAAAATTTTTCCACATAATTTTCATGGATAAAACAAAAAGGTAAACTTCAAAAAGAAAGCTTTAAACATAATTAAGATGAACCGGAAAAAGGAAAAAACAATACATAGGATATATAAGAAAGATTAAAGCGAACATGAAATAGTGTATTAGTGATTTTAAGTTAGGTTTCTAGAGTTAAAACTATTTACCTAGCAGAGCAGAAATTGTTCATTCATTTTTAATCATTAGTATACAGCCACTCTCCTTTCGTTAATCTTAGAGCTTCAAATAAAAGAGGTCATGTATCTCTTGGAAGATGAAATGGGTGAGAGAGCTCAGAATGGCTTATGAAAATACGTACCTTGACAAAAACAATCTTAGCCTTTGTGTTCATCTTGCTTTTTTGTTTTTGGAGACAGGGTCTCACTCTTGTCACTCTGTCTGTGTCACTTCTGGCTGAAGTGCAAGTGCAGTGGCGGGATCTCAGCTCACTGCAACCTCCACTTCCCAGACTCCAATGATCCTCCCACCTCAGCATCCCGAGTAGCTGGGACTACAAGCACATACCCCTACTCTTGGCTAATTTTTCTATTTTTTGTAGAGACAGAGTTTTGCCATGTTGCCCAGGCTAGTCTCAAATTCCTGGGCTCAAGTGATTGTGTCCACCTCAACTTCCCAAAGTGCTGGGATTACAAGTGTGAGCCACTGCACCTAGGCAGTTCATCTAATTTTAATTTAATCAGTGATTCATTGGCATGAAAAACAAGAACTACTGAGATCTGAATTAAACTCTAATTTAGCAGGGTTTCCTATATTTATAGTTATAGTCTCAGATTTTAGCAAATTTAGCTATTGAAAAATATGCTTTCAGTCTGTTTATTTCATGTTCAAAACTAGTAGCAGAGGCTGGGCATGGTGGCCCATGCCTCTAAGTCTCAGCACTTTGGGAGACTGAGGTGGGAGGATCCCTTGAGGCCAGGAGTATGAAACCAGCATGCGCAATGTAGGGAGACCCTGTCTCTACAAAAAAATTTAAAAATTAGCCAGGCATGGTTGCATGCACTTGTAGTCCCAGCTACTTGGAAGGCTGAGGCAGGAGAACTGCTTGATCCCAGGAGTTCAAGGCTACAGTGAGCTATGATCCTGTCACTACACCCTAGTCTGGGTGATAAAGCAAGACCCTGTCTCTTAAAACAAAACACAACAAAACCCAAACAATTGGCAGCAGAGAACAGGGGAAAAAAATGCTTTAATTCCAAGAATCCTGGAAAATCTTAATAGCTCAATCACTACAAATTAAGATTTTCCTTTATACTGAAAGTTGTTGTAGCTGGGCATGGTGGCTAACACCTGTATCCCAGCACTTTGGAAGGCTGAGGAGGGAGGATCACTGAAGGCCAGGAGTTCAAGACCAGCCTGGGCAACACGGCAAGGCCCAGTCTTTACAAAAATAAAAATAAAAATTAGCTGGGCGCAGTGACACGTGCCTGTAGTCCCAGCTACTCGGGAGGCTGAGGCTGGAGGACAACTTGGGCCCAGGAGTTCAAGGCTACAGTGAGCTATGATCATGCCACTTCACAAAAAGAAAGAAAGAAAGTTGTTGCTTATAGAAACAAATTTCAAAAAAAAAGGAAATGTAAACAGTATAGTATAAAAGTAATTTTTGAAAATATAAAAATTAGCCTGGGGTGCACGCCTGTAGTCCCAGCTGCTTGGGAGGCTGAGGCAGGAGAATAGCTTGAACCTGGGTAGCTGAGGTTGCAGTGAGCCAAGATCACACCACTGTACCCCAGCCCGGGCGACAGAGTGAGACTCCATCTCAAAAAATAAAAATGAAAATAATTTTTGATAGCTGTACTATTAGACATTTGTTTTTAGCAGGAGAAAATAATACCAATTTTATTAATATTAATTTTATGTGCACAGGGTGCTTTTATACAAAAGAAGTAAAACTCTCCCTAACAGATATTGCTAAAAATCCAAAAATACTCCCATGTAACCAAGGCAAAACAATTATTTTAGTACTAATTTAAACAGTTTTTCAGATATATATATATATATACACACACACATACATATACATTTTTTTAAATCACTGAGCAAATGTCCTCAAAATTTACACTAATCTTTTATTGAGGTAATATTTATATGCAGTAAAATACACAGATCTTAAAATGTACAATTTGTTGAGTTTTAGAAATGCTTATGTCTGTGTAACCATCATCTCAACTGACATAGAGAACATTTTTTTTTTGTTTTTTTTTTTTGAGACGGTCTCCCGCCTCAGCCAAAGTACTGGGATTACAGGTGTGAGCCACCGCACCTGGCCTTATTATTCAATATAAAGTACTATGTTTTGAGTCCTCTCTAAAAAATATGTGCCTAAACCCAGGTTATGAAGATATTTTCCAGAATTTTCTTCTAGAAACCTTGTAGTTTAGCTGTTATGTCTAAGGCCATGATCCATTTTGAATTAATTTTTGTCTACGGCATGAGATAGGTTTCAAGGTTTTTTCCCCTCATAAATGTACCCAGTTGTTCTAAGTTTTTTTTTTTCTGAAAAACTTGCCTTTCCTCAATGAACTGCCTTGACATTTTTGTCAAAAACAAACTGACCATATATATCATACATAATTTCAGTGGTTTTAGTTTTCACAATAAATTAGAATGATATAGATACAAAAATTAATTCATACAGTGGTTGAGTGACTTTTTGAAATGACAAAATAATTTTTACCTCTACATCTTGAACAGTCCTTGGCTGGGCCATGCATAATTTATTAAGCAGCTGAAAAATCAGCTCTTCAATATAATAGAGAGACTCTTCATTAGCTGAGAGAGTGGGATGCACTTGTTCCTGAACCTTTAAAAAAAAGTTATCAGTTAAAGTAATGGCAAAATAATATAAATTGAACAAAAGTCAAAGAGAATCTTATATATAATATTTTACTATAATGGTTACTCAAAACAGACATAAAACACAAAATGAAGAAAAAAACTATTTGTTGGTCTCTGTAAACTTTTCTTAACCCACAGAGCAGTGGTTCTTAAGCATTTTTGGACCCTTTGAAAAATCTATGGAAAGCCATTGAACCCTCTCTTCCCTATCACCAAAAAGCATATACACATAAACTATTCTATACAATTTCAGAGGAACTGTGGATACCCTGAAGTCAATAAACCTACTTGAAGTCTACGCAGGTCATGAATCCCAGTAATAAAGGTAACATCTGAAAAACCATACTCCTTTACAAATTATAGAGGTGCTCTGTGAAATAGGTGCTACTCAGCTTTCACAATAGCACTGTCACCACCAGCTATGCTAAGCACCCCACCTTTTTTTCTTTTTTTTTCTTTCTTTTTTTTTTTAAGCAGCTGCATCCTTCTAGGGATGAGCCGTTTTTGTTTCTAAATTTTCTGTCCTAAATAATAATCCAGTCTGACTGGATATAAGAAATATGGTAAATAATAGTACCTAGCATACAGTAGGTGTCCTATAAATATTTGTTGAAAGAAATTTAAAAAAGTATTGCTTTCCTTTCTTTTCTTTTTTTGAGACAGGGTCTCACTCTGTCACCCAGGCTCACTGCAGACCTGGGGTCAAGCAACCCTCCCACCTCAGTCTCCCAAGTAGCTGGCACTACAGGTGTGTGCCACCATGACCTGGCTAATTTTTAAAACTTTTTGTAGAGATGAAGTCTCACCATGTTGCCCAGGCTGATCTTGAACTCCTGGGCTCAAGTGATCCTCCCACCTCAGCTTCCCAAAGTGCTGAGATTATAGCATGAGCCACTGCACCCAGCCTGCTTTAACTTTTTATGCCATGAAGTCAGAAGGATATCAGAAGCACTAACACAAAAATAGATAACTTGAATAGCCTCATAGTTAAGCAAAAGTAATTTAAAACCCTCCCCACAAAAAACACAGCATTGAAGTTAACCATTTTATTTGAAGTCTCAAAATTTACCATAGAATTCTTCCTAACATCACATCACGTGCCACCACTAAACCAACCATTGCCAAACAATGATTAGTCTACGATTTAGACTTTGCCATTTCCTAAGAGATCCATGCCTGAACAAAATGAGAGTTTTAAAAAATTAGCATAGGCACGGTGGCTAACACCTGTAATCCCAGCACTTTGGGAGGCCGAGGTGGGTGGATCACCTGAGGTCAGAAGTTTGAGACCAGCCTGGCCAACATGGTGAAACTAAAAATACAAAATTAGCTGGGTGTGGTGGCACGTGTCTGTAATCCCAGCTACTAAGGAGGCTGAGGCAGGAGGATTGCTTGAACCTGGGAGGCAGAGGTTGCAGTGAGCAGAGATCGCACCACTGCACTCCAGCCTGGGCAACTCCATCTCAAAAAAAAAAAAAAATAGCATAAAATTGTGCATTATAGCCTCATATTTTGTAAGTCTATAGGATTTATAGTAAAAATCCCTTCTTTCATTTCTAATATTAGTTATTTGTGTATTCGTTCTTTTCTTGATCAGCATCTCAGAGGTTTATCAATGTTATTAATCTTTTAAAGAACCAACTTTTGGCTTTTATGATCCTATTTTATGTTTGTTTTATATTTCATTTATTTTTGCTTTATCTTCATTATTTCTTCTGCTTTTTATGTTCTTTTGCCAACTTCTTGAGATGGATACTTTGCTCATTTTTGTCAACCTTTCTTTTCTAATATGTATGTTTTCTCTAAAACTACTTTTGTAAAAACACACATATTTTCATATGGAATATTTTTGTAATCATCCAGTTCAAAATACAGTCATCCTTCAGTGTCTGTGGGAAATTAGTTCCAGGACACCTGTGGATACCCAAATCCATGGATGCCCAAGTCCTTTATATATAATGGTGTAACACTGTATACAACCTACACACATCCTCCCATATACTTTAAATCATCTATAGGTTACTTGTAACACCTAATACAATGTAAATGCTATGTAATAGTGGTTATATTGTATTGTTTAGGAAATAATGACAAGAGAAAAGTCTGTATGTGTTCAGTACAAATGCAACCATCCATTATTTTCCCAAATACTGTTGATCTGAGGTTGGCTGAATCTATGGATTAAGAACCCAAGGATAAGAATGGTGGACTATAGTTTCTAATTTCCATTATGGTTTCTTCTTTCACCTTAAGAATCTAGAAGCAAATTTCTTTAATTTTTAAACATGAGATTTTTTAAAAGGTTTTTAAAATTGATTTCTATAATAATCACGTCGTCAGAAAACATACTTTCTTTTTCATTTTTATTTAGTTATTTAATTTTTTTGAGACAGAGTCTCATTCTGCCACCCACGTTGGAATGCAGTAGTGCAATCATGGCTCACTGTAGCCTTGACCTCAAGCTGGTCTTGAACTTGTGAGCTCAAGCTATCCACTCACCTCTGCCTCCCAAAATGCTGGGATTACAGGCATGAGCCACCATGCCTGGCCAGAAAACATATTTTCTATGATTTCAATCTTTTGAAATTTGTTGAGACTTGCATTATAGCCCATTATATGGGTCTACCTGGCTTCATTGACAAACTCATCAAACATAAAGGAAGCAATACAACAATCTTAAGCGAACATTTAGAAAATTTTTTTTAAAAAGATACTCTCCAATTTATTTTGGGACTAGACTTTATATAAAAACTCAAAAAGAAAGATGAAAATTATAGGCCATTTTTAGCTCAGCACAGTGGTTCATGCCTGTAATCCCAGCACTTTGGGAGGCCAAGGTCAGAGGATCGCTTGAGGCCAGGAATTCCAGACCAGCCTGGGCAACATGGCAAGACCTCATCTCTCCAAAATAAAAAAATTAGCTGGGCATGGTGGCATATGCCTGTAGTCCCAGCTACTCAGAAGGCTAAAGCAAAAGGATTACTTGAGCCCAGAAGGTCAAGGCTACAGTGAGACATGATGGTGCCACTGCGCTCCAGCCTGGGGGAATGAGCAAGACCTCATCTCTAAAAGAAAACAAAATTATAGGCCATTTTCACTTATGAATCCAGAAAAAAAAAAAAGCCTAAGTAAAGTGTCACCTAACTAAATTCCATAATGTATACAAATAAGATTATACAATCACAGCCAGGCATGGTGGCTCGTAATCCCAGCACTTTGGGAGGCTGGAAGTGGGTGGATCATCTGAGGTCGGGAGTTCGAGACCAGACTGGACAACCTGGTGAAACCCCGTCTCTACTAAAAATAAAAAAATCAGCTAGGTGTGGTGGCACAGGCTTGTAATCTTAGCTACTTGGGTGGCTAAGGCAGGAGAACTGCTTGAACCCGGGAGACAGACGCTGCCGTGAGCTGAGATCACTGCAATCCAGCCTGGATGACTGAGCGAGACTCCATCTCAAAAAAAAAAAAAAGAAAAGAAAAAAAGAAAAATAATATGACCATCCCAATATATATGTAAAAAAGCCATTTGAAAAATATTCAACATTCATTCATGATAAAATCTCTTTGTGGGCCCGGCACGGAGGCTCACACCTATAATCCCAGCACTTTAGGAGGCCGAGGCGGGTGGATCACTTGAGGTCAGGAGTTCAAGGCCAGCCTGGCCAACATGGTGAAATCCCATCTCTACTAAAAATACAAAAAATTAGCCACGCATGGTAGAAGGCGCGTGTAGTCCCAGATACTTGGGAGGCTGAGGCAGGAGAATCGCTTGAACCCGGGAGGCGGAGGTTGCAGTGAGCCGAGATAACGTGCTGTTGCACTCCAGCCTGGGTGAGAGTGAGACTCTGTCTCAAACAAACAAATAAAAAATCTCTTTGTGAACTTCTTTCATTTGATAAAGGATGTATACTAAAAAGCTACAATAGGCTGGGTGCGGTGGCTCAGACCTGTAATCCCAGCACTTTGGGAGGCTGAGACGGGGGGATCACAAGGTCAGAGTTTGAGACCACCCTGGCCAATACGGTGAAACCCCGCCTCTACTAAAAATACAAAAATTAGCCGGTGTGGTGGCAGGTGCCTGTAGTCCCAGCTACTCGGGAGGCTGAGGCAGAAGAATCGCTTGAACTGGGAAGCAGAGGTTGCAGTGAGCTGAGATCATGCCACCGCACTCCAGCCTGAGCGACAGAGCAAGACTCCATCTCAAAGAAAAAACAAAACAAAACAAAAAAAGCTACAATAAAATCATAGTTAATAGTAAGACAAGACACTGACAGCTTTCCTTTGGAGATCAAGGAAAAGGATATTTTCTATTATCATTTCTATTCCACATTATATTTGGAGGTCCTGGCTATTGCAGTAAACCAAGAAAAAGAAAATTTCAGAATTGGTAAAGAAGAAACAAATTTGCAGATCATCTGACTGCCCATTGTGATGGTTAATTTTGGGGTGCCCATATAACTGGTTACACACTATTTCTGGGTATGTCTGTCAGGGTATCTCTGGAGGAGATTAACATTTGAGTTGGTAGACTGAGAAAAGCAGACTACCCTCCCCAGTGTGGCCTTATCCACTTGACTAAAGGCCTGAATAGAACAAAAGGCTGAGAAAGAATTCTTTCTCTCTGCCTGACTGTATTTGAGCTGGGACACCGGTCTTCTGCCTTCAGACTGATACTCAGACTGGAATTTATATCATCAGCTCTTCTGGTTCTCAGGCCTTCAGACTAGGACTAGAATTATACCATTGGCTTTTCTGGGTCTGCAGCTTGACAAATGCAGATCTTGGACTTCTGGGCCACCATAACCTCATGAGCCTATTTCCTTAAATGTCGTGTGTGTGTGTGTGTGTGTGTGTGTGTGTGTGTGTGTGTGTGTGTGTCTCCTATTGGTTCTGCTTCTCTGAAGAATCCATGCACCCATGGAGGACAAAATAATGTACCCATGCAGGACAAAAATATTGTACACATAAATTACCTGAACTCATAAAAAATAAACTTTTCTTTCTATGTACCAGCAACAAAGCTAGCAAACAAAATTTTTAGGCCAGGTGCGGTGGCTCACTCCTGTAATCCCAGCACTTTGGGAAGCTGAGGCGGGAGGATCGCTCGAGCCCAGGAGTTCAAGACCAGTCTGGGCAACACGGTGAAACACCACTTCTACAAAAAATTAGCCAGATGTGGTGGCACGCAACTGTAGTCCCAGCTACACGGGAGGCTGATGTGGGAGGATCACCTGAACCCGGAGGTCGAGGCTGCAGTGAGCCATGATTATGCCACTGCACTCCAGCTTGGGTGAGAGTGAGACCTTGTCTCAAAAAAAAAAAAATTAAATAGCATTTACAGTAGAATTTAAAATACCGTGTACCTTGAGTACCTGATAAGGTACACATGACTCCTAGGGAGAAAACTAGACTTTAAGAAAAATTAAAGAGCTAAATAAATGAAAGATGATACCATGTTGGTGAACTGTCAGACTTAATATTGTATACAACTGAATTCTCTCAAAATTGATACATGCAGTTATAAAATCACAATCAAATCCAAGCAGGTTGTTTTGCTAAAAATGCCAAGATAATTTCAACATGTAAATAAAAGTGCAAAAAGCTAAGAAAATCAGTCATATATTCTTTTTTTAAAATTACTAACAACAAAGTCATATGTCTGTAAGGAAGTACAAGGATTTGCTCCAATGGTTGTCAGGATTTATTACAAAGCTATAGTAATGAAGAATGTGACAATGGCATAAGGATAGAGAAAGAAATCAATGGGACATAACAGAGTCCACAAACAAGTCCACATATATATAGACGCTTATTTACACAGATGGCACTGTAGAGTATGAGGTGTGGCAGAGAGTTGCAGGGAGGCAGGGAAGTGTATGAATAGTGTTGAACCACTGCAGAAAAAGAAAATCAACTCCTACTTCAACCTTTACCCAAAAATCAATCCTAGCTGCATGTTAGGCCTAATAAATAAATATACCCAATAAAGCTCTGACAGTGTAAAACTAGATAATATCTTCATGATTTCAGGATTGAAAAAGATTTCTTATATAGGACACAAAAAATTACTAGCTATGAAGGAAAGAACTGATAAACTTTATATTAAACTTTAAAATTTAGGTTTCTCAAAAGACATCTTTAAGAAAGTAAAAAGGCAAGTTACAGAGTTGGAGAAGATATATGTAGTACATGTAACAAAAGGCTCATATCTAGAATATATAGAGAACTCCTAAAAATTCAGTAAGAAAAAAAATGATAAAAATCCCAAGAGAAAAAATGGGCAAAAAACCCTTAAACTAGCACTTCACAAAAGAATAAATTCAAATAGCCTATATATATATTAAAAAGTGCTCTAGCTCTTAAGTAATCAGAAAAATGTAAATTAAACGACCATGAAAACTATCCACTCACCAGGCAGCAAAACTAAAAATTCTGATAATATCAAATGTTGGTAACTATGTGGAGCAATGGGAACGATCACACACTGCTACTGGAATGTAAAATGTTTCAATCACTTTCAAAAACTTTGCCATTAAGTACTAAAGTTCAAGATATGTATAGTCTATGACTGAGCAATTCCACTATAGGATATATATATATATATTCAGGATAGATTTACATATATTTCTTTAGAGCTATACAGTCCAATATAATAGACGCTAGCCTCATGTGGGTACTGAACACCTGAAATGTAGCTCCACTGAGTTGAAATGGGATGTTGGTGTAAAATACAAACCAGATTCAAGGATTCAGTATTAAAATAAGAAGTCAAATTCTCAATTTTTATGACACATGCTGAAATGATTAGATTGGGTTAAAAATATGTTATTAAAATCAACTTCATCTGTTTCTTCTTACTTTTCAACTGTGGCTATGATAATTTTCGTTTTTAACTTTTATTTTAGATTAAGGGGGTATATGTGCAGATTTTGTTACCTAGGTATATTGTGTCATGCTGAGGTTTGGGGTACAAATGATCCCATCACCCAGGTACTGAGCATAGTACTACCTCCTCTATTAGTCCCCGGTGTCTGTTGTTAACATCTTTATGTCCATGGGTACCCCATGTTTAGCTCTCACCCGTAAATGAGAACATGCAGCATTTGTTTTTTTTTTGTTCCTGCATTAATTCACTCAGGAGGGAAAATTTTATTTATTTTTTAATTAATTATTATTATTATTATTATTTAGATTTTTGAGACAGGTTCTCGCTGTGTTGCCCAGGCTGGCCTTGAACTCCTGGGCTCAAGCAATCCTCCTGCCTTGTCCTCCCAAAGTGCTGGGATTACAGGCATGAGCCACCATGCCCAGCCTAGGAGGGAAAATTTTAAATTACATGTGTGGCTCACATTGTATCTCTTCTAGACAGCAATGCTCTAGAGAAATGTTTACCAGAAGACATACGCTAGAAGGCTCATAAATAACATTATTAATAATACCTTCCAAAACTAGAAAAGAATTCAAATATTCATCCAGAATGGGACAGATAAATTGTGGCTTATTAATACAATGGAATACACACAGTCAAAAAAATGCAGTAATAATGACAGCTACATAAAATGTGGATGCACCCTGAAAAAATGTTGGCAGAAAGAAGCCAGATAAAAAGAATACATACAATGGGATTCCATTCACAAAGTCAGACAAAATTAAATACAAAAATAAAAAATAAACAAATTCAGAACAAATTAAACAATGGTGTTAAGGGATACACGCTGAGATGGAAAAACTATTAAGAAAATCAAAACAGGCCAGGCGCGGTGGCTCGCGCCTATAATCCCAGCACTTTGGGAGGCCAAGGCAGGCGGATCACAAGGTCAAGAGATCGAGACCATCCTGGCCAACACGGTGAAACCCCGTCTCTACTAAAAATACAAAAATTAACTGGTCATGGTGGTGCACACCTGTAGTCCCAGCTACTCGGGAGGCTGAGGCAGGAGAATCGCTTGAACCCAGGAGGCGGAGGTTGCAGTGAGCAAAGATCATGCCACTGCACTCCAGCCTGGCAACATAGCGAGACTCCGTCTCAAAAAGAAAGAAAATCAAAACAGTGAATACCACAAAAACGGTTACCTTTTGGAGAGTTATCCTGAGAAAAGTGCTGACAATGTTCTGTCTTCTTACCTGAGTGTTAAATAGGTGTTCCTTAAACTGTATATTTATCCTTTACACATTTTCTGATTATATGTTACACTTCACCATAAATGAGGTTTTCAAAAGTTTGAGAATCATCTAGCAAACAGAGGAAATTGAGGGGGGAAATTATCAATAAAATAAGTCTAAAGGGCTTTTCTAGTGCCCATGTCACTGAACAAAATTTTAATGTCAGGACCCTGGAGACAAAGAGAATATCCTACAAGACTGGGAGGACAGGGAAGTGAGGAGGAGCAGATTATATATGAGAAGCAGACATTAGCTTCAGATTTCAACAGTAATACTAGAAGCTAGATGGTAATGATGTTCAGCCTGGAATCCAAGATACCAGCAATATCAAACGCCATGCTAACGTGACATTCTTAGATAGAATAAGGTCCAAAACTTTATCTCTCACGTAGTCTTTCTCATTAACCTTCTGTCATTTGTACTACACTAAAACAAGGGTATGAATCAAGAAAGAAAAATATGGAATAAAGAAAATAAAGGAATCAATAGAGAAGAAAGGTCAAAGGAATGCCCAGGATAAAATGAAAGGAAATTATAGGATGAGAGCTGTAAAACAGGAATAAAGGTGACCAGTCCACACTGGTGCAGGTCAGAAGGCTCTGGGAGAGACTGTCTCAAGAAAACAAACTTGACAGAGTATGCAATGGGATGAAAATCTTGATAGGATATTTAGAAAACTGGTAAAAAGTTTGAATTTGGTAATAAGTGTACTACATAGAAAAACACACAAACAAGAAAACAAGATAATTAATAACTCCAGTAAAAGCAGTGAGTTAGAAAAGAAAAAGCAGATTAAATAGCATTTATAGGCCGGGTGTGGTGGTTCATGCCTATGATCTCAGCACTTTGGGAGGCCAAGGTGGGGGTGGATCACTTGAGGCCAGGAGTTCAAGACCAGCCTGGCCTACACAGTGAAACCCCGTCTCTACTAAAAATACAAAAATTAGCTGGGCCTGGTGGTGCGTGCCTGTAATCTCAGCTTGAACCCTGGAGGTGGAGGTTGAGGTGAGTGGAGATTGTGCCACTGCACTCCAGCCTGGCCGACAGAGTGAGACCCTGTCCCCCCCACCCCAAAAAAAAACCCCAAAAATAGCATTTACAGTCATAATAATGTAAACTTTGAATATTAATCCAACTCAAATTAAGATATAACTTTGAAGTGGGGGAAGAGAAAGTGGAAAGTGTGTGTGTGGTTGGAGGGGAATGTATGTGCATATTAAAGAATATTAAATCCTTTGTGCCACTGCACTCCAGTCTGGGCAACAGAGTGAGTCCCTGCCAAGAAAAAAAAAAAAAAAGAGAAAAAAGAGAATATTAAATCCTTACCCTCCGTGGTAGGAAGTCAACAGATAACATCCAAAACAGAAAAAAACATGAAATAGCAATATAAGCACTTTTTCTTTCTTAGAAATATAGAAGTAAATAAATCACTTTGAAAAGTTAAAATGGTTTTCTCTAGGAAACAGAAAATTTTGTGTTTAAGGGGGAAGTAATGCTATTTTTCATAACAAGCTTTGCAGAGCGAATTATCTTTTTATTTACATAAATAATTTTGACAAAATACAAACTAATTGATAAAGAAAAATAATTTTGAATTGGGGAATGGGGAAGTGGAAGGCCATAGTAAGGAAAGACTACTCTTTGAAGAAGTCTGGTCCAAAAAGTCTAGCAGTAAGGCAATTAGAAATTCATATAGGACCAATAATAAAAAAAAAAAATCAGGCTTTCTAATGTATTTCTATGTTAGAAATATGTTTCTAACATATTTTCTAATAAATTCAAATTAGGTTTTGGAGAAATAAATATTTCCTCTTATACCCTGCACTTCTTTAACACAGCCAGAGATAACTTAATTACATTTTAGCCATACATTTCTAATAGATCAATCGACTTTTAAAAGACATTTTTAAAAAAGTAGACATTTAACTAGGCGTAGTGGGGTGTCTGTAGTCCCAGCTACTCTAGTGGCTGAGGTGGGAGGATTCCTTGGGCCGAGGAGTTTCAGGCTTCCAAACATAATGAGACTCCATCTTTAAATAAATAAATAAACATTTACATTGTAAGTGTGGCAGTAGACTTCATAAGGCCGTTTCTTTTTTTTTTTTTTTTTCTTTTTCTTTTAAAGATGAGGCCTACCTAAATTGCTCGAGCTGGTCACCAACTCCTTGGCTCAAACAATCCTCCTGCCTCCTCAGGCCCCCCTCCCTGAGGCAAGGTTGTTTCTTTCTTTCTTTTTTTTTTTTTTTGAGACGGAGTCTTGTTCTGTCCCCCAGGATGGAGTGCAGTGGCGCGATCTCAGCTCACTGCAAGCTTCGCCACCCGGGTTCACGCCATTCTCCTGCCTCGGCCTCCCGAGTAGCTGGGACTATAGGTGCCCACGGCCATGCCCGGCTAATTTTTTGTATTTTTTAGTAGAGACGGGGTTTCACTGTGTTATCTAGGATGGTTTTGATCTCCTGACCTCGTGATCTGCCCGCCTCGTCCTCCCAAAGTGCTGGGATTACAGGCGTGAGCCACCGCGCCCGGCAAGGTTGTTTCTTATAACATCTTTCCATAAAAAGCCAAGGGCCCCACTCAGTGAAAATGATTGAACATGAGAATTAAGATAATGTCTAACTGGGATGGATTCTTTTTCTGTGATTATGATTTTGTTAAATAAGCTACAAAGCAATTTGAACATCAAGCATCAAAGTTTCTTATGCCAAACTTCTTAATTTCAAATATGAAAACAGTCATAAAAATAAACACACAATGTTAAAATCTCACCCATAAATGCTGTAACAGGACATCAAGAGGACAATGGAAGAGAACCATGCTTTACACTTCTACAGAGACAGTAAACATAAAATTACCACGACAGAACCAATTTGCCTATCATATTTTTTGAAAGCCTAGTCAGAAAAAGAGCAATTAAAATAATTTCCAGTCTTTAACAGTAGATTAACAAGTCAGACCTGTATTTTAGTTACACCATATTTTCAAATTGCCAGAAGGCATTTCCTTACTGTAACACTATAAATAGAATTGTTAGTGGGTGCAGCGCACCAGCATGGCACATGTATACATATGTAACTAACCTGCACAATGTGCACATGTACCCTAAAACTTAAAGTATAATAAAAAAAAACAAAAAACAAAATAGTCTCATACTATAAATCCATGTGTAGACACACACAAAAGCACTTTAACTTTTTACCCTGATAAACCACTACATTTGACAAGTTATAGAAATGTTATTTCCTAATTTATATTTTTCAGTTTTCCATCTTCACATTTAAATTAAAAATCTTGCTAATGCACTTGTTCAGTAATTAACATTTGAGTTTCAGGTACAATGTGGAAATAAATCCTTTTGGATATAGAGTCTGACTGATATTTATTTTTGCCAAATTCTTCATTGTGCTGCCAAGATTTCCACAAGGATGCAAATATCTCAAACATCAATTAAGAATACTGGCAATGTTTTCATTATTAAATGTTTTGGGTTTTTTTTGTTTTTTTTTTTTGAGATGGAGTCTCGCTGTTTCACCCAGGCTGGAGTGCAGTGGCAGCAATCTTGGCTCACTGCAACCTCCACCTCCCAGATTCAAGAGATCCACCTGCCTCAGCCTCCCAAGTAGCTGGGACTACAGGTGTGCACCATCACGCCCAGCTAATTTTGGTATTTTCAGTAGAGACAGGGTTTCATCATGTTGGCCAGGCTAGTCTTGAACTCCTGAGCTCAGGTAATCTGCCTGCCTCAGCCTCCCAAAGTGTTGGGATTATGGACGTGAGCCACGACACCCAGCCCATTATGAAATATTAAAATTCAATTTAAAAAGAAAATAAAAATTTTAGTTGAAGTATATATACTAAAACTACAAAATACTGGCAGAGCAAGGTTGCTCACACCTGTAATCCCAGCACTTTGGGAGGCCAAGGCAGGTAGATTACCTGAGGTCAGGAGTTTGAGACCAGGCTGGCCAACATGGTGAAACCCCGTCTGTACTAAAAGTACAAAAATTAGCTGGGCAGCTACTCTGGAGGCTGAGGCAGGAGAATCGCTGGAACCCGGGAGGCAGAGGTTGCAGTGAGCTGAGATCGTGCTGCTGCACTCCAGCCTGGGTGACAGAGTGAGACTCAATATCAAAAAATAAAAACAAAATACAATAAACATGAATAAATAAAAATAAAAATAAAAATACAATATACTGCTGATAGGAATTAAAGACTTAAATAAATGAAGAGATTAAACTATGAGTTGGAAGACTCAACATTGTTCTGATGTCAATTCCTCCCAAATGATCTGTAGATGCAACACAATCTCAATCAAAATTCCAGCAAGCTTTTTTGTAGAAATTGATATGTTGATTAAAACATTCTCATGGAAATACAAAGGTCCTAGAATAACTGAAACAACTCTAAAGAAGAACAAAGTTGAAGGGCTAACACTACCTGATTTCAAGGATTTCTATAAAGCTATGGTAACCAAAACAGTACGGCACTGACATAAAGATAAGGAAAACAATCAATAGAACAGAATAGAGAATCCAGAAATAAAACCACACATATATGGGCAACTGATTTTTTAAATAAAAGCATGAAGACCTTTAGCAAAGGAAAAGGACAGCCTTTTCAATAAATGGTGACAGAACAACCAGATATCCATATACAAAAAAACAAACATACCATATACAGAATTATCACACCATATATAAAATGATTCAATCAGCACCATAAGACAAGGTGAGATTTTTTTAAAAAAGAAAAAGTGATTCAAATGAGTCATAGATATAAATATAAAATTTAAACTATAAAATTTCTAGAACAGGCTAGGTATGGTGGATCACACCTATAATTGCAAAACTTTGGGAGGCCAAGGACAAAGGATCACTTTAGATCAGGAGTTCGAGACCAGCCTGGGCAACATAGTGAGACCCTGTCTCTATTTTTGAAAATTAAAATAAATAAATAAAAAATTTCTAGAAGGGAAAATTTTTGTAACCCTGGGTTAGGCAAAGATTTCCTTGATATGACACTAATGGCACAGTCCCTAAAAAAACAAATTGATAAAAATTTAAAACTTTTGGCCGGGTGCGGTGGCTCACGCCTGTAATCCCAGCACTTTGGGAGGCCGAGGCCGGTGGATCACGAGGTCAGGAGATCAAGACCATCCTGGCTAACATG